>NC_000016.10:66380682-66683712 GCF_000001405.40 Homo sapiens | reverse complement strand
AAGGTCAGCTCCATGAGAGCAAAGACTTGGCTTTCAAGTTCCCTGCTGTATCCCGTGTCTAAACCAGGGTCTGGCACATAGGTGTTGAATAGACAGTTGAATGTATGTGTTTGTTTAATAAAAGAAAAAAAATGGGCCGGGCGTGGTAGCTCCCAGCACTTTGGGAGACCGAGGCAGGCGGATCACGAGGTCAGGAGATCGAGACCATCCTGGCTAACATGGTGAAACCCTGTCTCTATTGCAAATACAAAAAATTAGCTGGCCGTGGTGGTGGGCGCCTGTAGTCCCAGCTGCTCGGGAGGCTGAGGCAGGAGAATGATGTGAACCCAGGAGGCGGAGCTTGCAGTGAGCCGAGATCACGCCACTGCACTCCAGCCTGGGTGACAGAGCAAGACTCCGTCTCAAAAAAAAAAAAAAAAAAAAAAAGAAAAGAAAAAAATGGGTTATTAATGTAGTTTGTAAGGTCAAGTTTTTGAAAACATGGAATCCATGGGGAAAATTTATATATATAT
The DNA here is from genome assembly GCF_000001405.40 of Homo sapiens. Classification (NCBI taxonomy): domain Eukaryota; kingdom Metazoa; phylum Chordata; class Mammalia; order Primates; family Hominidae; genus Homo; species Homo sapiens. The sequence goes on along the minus strand of NC_000016.10, from coordinate 66,683,200 downwards.
ATATATGTATATATATATACATATGTATATATATATATACGTATATATATATACATATATATATATATATACACACACACACACACACACAACTAGACTCTATTTGAGGTGGAAAATATTGGAGAGAAACTATGGAAATAAAATGCCATCGTAATTACTTTTTCTTTTTTTAACTTTAAGTAGACTATCTACTGCTACTAGGAAACAGAAGATTTTGCTTAGGAGACAGATTTTTGTAAAAGTTGGGGAAACCATAAGAGGCTTTGCCAATCTTTTTGCCTAGAAAAGTGTAAAATGAAAACCAGGATTCTGTAATTATTATTGAAGTTGTCTGCTTTCTGATTAACACATTCAGAAAGAGAGAGGCTTGTATCTGTCAAGCAAGTATCTTTCAAGAGACACTTTTCAGGCAAAGAAAAAGTCACAACTGGCATTGAAGCTGAGGGTCATAGTGATTTTTTTTTTAAAGCTTTCTGATTAAAATAAAAGAACAACCGTTCCATGAGGCCTGCAAAGGGAGGCTGGCGATCTTCAGTGAAGGCTAGAGAAGGCTATGGGAAATACTGTTAAGCCAGCATTTTGTTGTTGACAATTTCAAATGAATGGTTAAGTTTGAGAATTAAATGAGTTAATAAACACTTAAAATGTTCAAAGTTTAATCAAGTGTGGATAGTTCTGGATGTTTTCTTTACTGCCACTGCGATTTGATGACTGGTGCAGTGGAAGCCTTCATTTTTGTGGTTTCCCATTTATTCCAGCACCACTGTGAAAAACAGTTTAAGGCTAAAAGATTTTTGTGCCAGTGGAAAAAAAAAAAGAAAAACAACCCAGAAACAATGGCTCTTCCAGGGGTAGTTGCTTCCTCAGCTTGTCTACTTTCTTTCACCCATTTTCAGGCCAAGCCCTAGAAATGTGTATAACTTGAGATTAAGTGTTGGCTAAATAACTTGAAAGTTAAATCAAGATCAGTAACTAGATGTCAGTAAAAATGCTATCATTCACCCCTTTTTAAAAAATCCATACTTTATATACATTTGAGTGCCTAGGGTGGGCCAGGTACTATTAGAAATAAGACAAAAATCTCTGCCTCCAAAGAGCTCCCAGAGCTCTTGGGAGTAAGGGTTTGGAGTGGGGCAGACAAAAGTACACAAACCATTGGACCACCTGAGCCAGGGGCTGTGATAGAGGCCTGGCGATAGTGGGCTTGGCAGGAAGCACTTGTGGCCATTTGGGAAAGGGGCACATTGCTGTAAGATGCTGAATGGCCAATGCCTGGAATAAGGAGGGTGTGCCTGTGGCAAAGGAATATCCCAGGTGCTAGGGTCCAGCCCAGAAAGGCGTGGTAAGAGGTGAGTCAAGTGTGGTTCACCAGGCAAAGGTATGGAAGGGAAGGGCAAGTGATTTGACAAATGGGGCAAGATGAGGGGGACCCAGGCTGGTGAGGGGCCGATTTGTTAGCCTGATGAAATTGGATTTTTCTAAAAGAGATGGGGAACAGTTATAACTGTGGCTATTGAGCGCTTGAAATGTGGCTGGTACGAATTGAGATATGCATAAATACAAAATACACCCTGGATTTTAAAGATTTAATAGGGAAGGCTGGGCGCGGTGGCTCACGTCTGTAATCCCAGCACTTTGGGAGGCCAAGACGGGTGGATCCCAAGGTCAGGAGATCAATACCATCCTGGCTAACATCTCTACTAAAAATACAAAAAAATTAGCTGGGCGTGGTGGCGGGTGCCTGTAGTCCCAGCTACTTGGGAGGCTGAGGCAGGAGAATGGCATGAACCCGGGAGGTGGAGCTTGCAGTGAGCCAAGATCAGGCCACTGCACTCCAGCCTGGGCAACAGAGCAAGACTCGGTCTCAAAAAAGAAAAAAAAAAAGATTTAATAGGAAAAAAAGCATGTCAACTATCATTAATAATTTTATACTGATTATATATTGAAGTAATATTTTTCATTTGTTTTTCCTTTATAGAGACAGGGTCTCACTGTGTTGCCCAGGCTGGTCTGGAACTCCTGGCCTCAAGTGATCCTTCTGCCTCAGCCTCCCAAAGTACTAGGATTGCAGGTGTGAGCCACTGTGTCTGGTCAATATTTTGGATATATTGGATTGCATAAAATATACTATCCAAATTCTACTTTTTTACGTTTTAAAATATGGCTATTAGAAAATTTTCAGTTGCATGTGTGGCTTACGTATTTCTGTTGGATATTTCTAGGTTAGAAGGTGTGTGCAATGGCTTTGAGAAGGGTGAGATTATTGCAGCAGGACCTGGTCAGAGACTTTGAGTAGATCCAGTGAGAAAAGAAGGCTTAACTAACTGGTCTTTTGGCAGTGGAGATGGAAAGGACATAACTAAATGAGAGAGAGTTAAGAGGTGGAGGTGGCCATTATGGTTTTTTTTTTTTTTTTTTTTTTTTTTTGAGACGGAGTCTTGCTCTGTTGCCCAGGCTGGAGTGCAGTGGCACGATCTCGGCTCACTGCAAGCTCTGCCTCCCAGGTTCATGCCATTCTCCTGCCTCAGCCTTCCGAGCAGCTGGGACTACAGGTGCCCGCCACCACGCCTGGCTAATATTTTGTATTTTTAGTAGAGACGGGGTTTCACCGCGTTAGCCATGATGGTCTCGATCTCCTGACCTCGTGATCTGCCCGCCTTGGCCTCCCGAAGCGCTGGGATTACAGGCATGAGCCACCATGCCCGACCTTTTTTTTTTTTTTGAGATGGAGTCTCACTCTGTCACCCAGGCTGGAGTGCAGTGGTGTGATCTCGGCTCACTGCAGCCTCTGCCTCCTGGGTTCAAGCAATTCTCGGGCCTCAGCCTCCCGAGTAGCTGGGATTACAGGCACCCACCACCACACCTGGCCAATTTTTGTATTTTTAGTAGAGACAGGGTTTTACCATGTTGGTGAGGCTGGTCTGGAACTCCTGGCCTCAAGTGATCCATACGCCTTGGCCTCCCAAAGTGCTGAGATTATAGGCATGAGCCACTGTGCCTGGCCGGCAGTTATGATTTATTATATTTCTTGCTTTTAGTTTACAGTACATTAAATTCATTTCTCAATCAATAAATGATACTAAAGGTAGCACTGAAGTGTGCATTGCTATGTGCCAGATTGCTAAGTGTTTTATTTGTGTTACCTCATTTAACGTTCATGGCAAGCTTATCAGGCAGGCACTGTTAATGTTGCCATTTTACAGATGCAGAAACAGAAGCCTATTGGGGTCAATAACTGGCTAGCTGGTGGGGAGCTGTGCAGTCTACCTTCCAAGGCCAGAGCCCCCGTGTGAGTTTGTTTCTGTAACCATTAGGCGGATTGTGAGCATTGCTCCAGCATCACTCATCGGTCTCATCTTTTTTTTTTTTTTTTTTTTGACATAGAGTCTCGCACTGTCACCCAGGCTGGAGTGCAGTGGTGTGATCTCAGTTCACTGAAACTTCCACCTCCCAGGTTCAAGCGTTTCTCTTGCCTCAGTCTCCCGAGTAGCTGGGATTACAGGCACCCAGCACCACGCCCGGCTGATTTTTATATTTTTAGTAGAGACAGGGTTTCACCATGTTGGCCAGGCTGGTCTCGAACTCCTGACCTCTAGTGATCTGCCCACCTCGGCCTCCCTAACTGCTGGGATTACAGGCATGAGCCACCATGCCCGGCCTCATCAGTCCCATCTTACATTGACTTGGTCCGTTTCTGTTTTCCCCTCTGCTGGCTCTGCTCCTGGGGGGGTCTCCAGCCTCAAGAGAACCCTTTTTGCATAATTCAGGGGTCACATCTCTCAGAGTCAGGGGAGAAGGGGGGCCCTCAGTTCTTCTTTCTCCTTGGATTATTGATAAAATTTAAGAATTGCTAAAATCAGAACCAGTAAAAGTGATGAGGAAGCTGGAAGCCATCTTTTCCCATGGAGCGGGGTAAAGAAGTGAAAATTGAGACTTGATTGTCATCCTTCTTGCCAGCAGACTTCAAAGTGTTTGGGGTTGGATGAATTATTGACCTAGAATTTTTTTCTTTACTTCTTAGAACAGCGAATACAGAGTATTGGCACTTGTTTTGGACTTTAACTTGTTTGTAGATATTAAAGGATAATTTTTTTTTTTTTTTTAGATGGAGTCTTGCTCTGTCACCCAGGCTGGAGCGCAGTGGCATGATCTTGACATACTGCAACCTCTGTCTCCTGGGCTCAAGTGATCCTCCCACCTCAGCCCCCCAAGTAGCTGGGACCACAGGCGTGCACCACCATGCCTAATTTTTGTACATTTTGTAGAGATGGGGTTTCGCCATGTTGCCCAGGCTGGTCTTGAACTCCTGGACTCAAGTGATCCACCTCAGCCTCTCAAAGTGCTGGGATTACAGTCGTGAGCCACTGCTCCTGGCCAAAGAATAATTTTTTAAAGATAAAATCATGACTCATACAAATGTAAAGTATTTTATTAATTAATGAGGGAAACAGTAGGACATTACAACCAGCCAAAGGAAAATTCAAAGAGCAGACACATGCACACACATGTTCCATGAAATCAATTTCAAATACATGCAACTCTGGCTTGGAGTTGAATCAATTGTCTCTCCACCAGACAGAATTAATTTGCCTATTTATAGATGAGGATCATTTGCATTGCTGTCAGTTATGTACAGTTTAACAGAGTTACAAATAGCTCAAGGACAATGAAAGGTGCAAATACCATAGGATCAGATAACTTGGAAAGTTATGTTCTAACAAGGCCTAGTTTTCCATCAAAGATACTTGGTATTTTTGGTTCATTTCGAAAGCATTCACAATTTATGTTGAAATGGGGACTATGTGGCGAGAGGGGGCTGGATTTTTATCCAGCTCATCATGTTGGAACCTCCCAATTTCATTTGTTTCTTTCTCTCCCTTTCCTCTGTTCCTCTAGCCTGAGAGGGGAGCCCTGCATCTCCGGGTTGCTGGAGGAGCATTCTTTATGGCTTTGTGCTCTCCTCTCTGGATTTTCATTTTTCTCTTTTTCCCCTGATGGCTTTGCTTTTCATTTCTTTTGTTTTTAGAGATGAGGCCTCACTGTGTTGCCCAAGCTAGAGTACAGTGGTGTGATCATGGCTCACTGCACCTTGAATTCCTGGGCTCAAGTGATCTCCTGCTTCAGTTTGCTGAGTAGCTGGGAGTATAGGCACGTGCCACCACACCTGACCCTGGTCACTTTTCTTCACGAAAATAGATCTTGAGGCCGGGCACGGTGGCTCATACCTGTACTTCCAGCACTTTGGGAGGCTGAGGCGGGCAAATGACCTGAGGTCAGAAGTTTGAGACCAGCCTGGCCAGCGTGGTGAAACCCAAACTCCAAAATATAAAACTTAGCAGAGCATCATGGCACATGCCTATAATCCCAGCTACTTAGGAGGCTGGGACAGGAGAATCACTTGAACCCAGTAGGTGGAGATTGCAGTGAGCTGAGACCATGCCATTGCACTGTAGCCTGGGCAACAGAGTGAGATTCTGTCTCAAAAAAAAAAAAAATCTTGACCACCTACACTTAGGACCATGCCCTTTAGGCCTCAGCTTGGCCTTTAAGGGCCTGTGTCAGGCTAGAATGATTAGGAGTAGGAGTACAGATAAGACTACCTGTCACCATAGGGTTGGTATGAGGTGGCCGTGGGAAACATTTGATGAGTGTTGTTATTGTTAAAATGTCCATGGGCGCTTAATTTAGCCAGGTTCTGGTCCAGTCACTTTCCCATTCAGATTCTCTCCACGTAAATCTGCCAGCCTCAGCCTGGCTGGAAGCTCTTGTTCCCCACAATAACACGCTGCTGCTGCAAGGCCGCTGCTGCCGTTTGCCCAGCCTACAGATGCCCCAGAAGTCAGTGGGCCAGGGTGAGGCAGGGCCTCATGTCCCCTTCCCTACTTCCCTGCCCCCACCTGTCTTCCTCTGGTCCTGCCATGCCTGGCGTCACTGGTTTTTCTTTTCTTTTTTATATATTTTTTTGAGACAGGGTCTTGTTCTGTTTCCCAGGCTAGAGTATAATGACACAATCATGGCTCACTGCAGCCTCAACCTTCCTCGTCCCAAGTGGTCCTAGACCCTCAGGCTCTAGAGTAGCTGGGACTACAGGTGTGCTACCACGCCTGGCTAATTTTGTGTTTTGTAGAGACAGGGTCTTAACATGTTGCCTCAGCTGCTCTTGAACTCCTGGGCTCAAGCTGCCCTGGCCCCCAAAGTACTGGGATTACAGGCATGAGCCACCACACCTGGCTGTCACTGGTTTTTCTCTGTTCTGATTGGTGTCCTGCGATGAAGCACTATTTTACATTACATATGTCCCTGACTCTCTGGGCACTGGCTTTCTGAACAGATTTGGATAATAAGGAATACTTATGTTCTACTGTAGTAAGTTTATAAACATCTGCATGGCAGAGGCCCAGTTTTCTTCTGTAAAGTGCTCACAGTGGTGATCACTTGGTAAGCATTTGCCGGCTCAGCCAAGTTCAGTTTGATGGTGTTGGGAAGTTTGGAACAAGTCACAAATCAAGGAAGAAAAGAAACAACTAATTCATGTTGAAGGTGAATACATGATATAAATCAATAACGAAGGGTCAAGGTGGCTCCAGTCAGAAACTCAAGAGTTTTAGACTCTAAGGGATCGTGAAGTTATTGTGCGCCTCCCTTGTTTTACAGGTGAGGAATCTGACCCCTAGAGAAGTTGGGACTTTCCTGTAGCTACCCCGTTGTTTGGTGGCCCTGGGAGCTGAGCCTCAGGGTCGCATTCTTTCCCCATGCTTTACTTTTGCTGCCATAGGGATGGAGGTTTGATCCTTTCTGTGAGGCAAGATGTGGGACAGTTCTGTGATTTGTGATCATCTTTCTTGTCCGTTATATGGTTATGGGGAGAGACAGAATTATGAAGAGCCTTAGGCGTTTTTTGGAATAGTAGTTTAGGAAAGACCGTATATGACACATCAACTCTTTGTGATGTTCTGTGTAAAGAGCAAGTATTTAACCAACTCAGGCAATTGCCCAAGTGAATGTACTGGGGCAGGCAATTAATTGACTGAGAGCCCCAAAGTTTGTATTGCAACAAAATCCTGGTGTTGGATATAACTTTGCCTTACTGTCTATGATAGTAAAGTGAGAACAGGATAATTTGACAGCAAATTTGTCTACATTCCCGTTAGAGTGTGATTTATTTATTTTTTTTTTAGCTGGGCATGGTGGCATGTGCTTATAGTTCCAGTTCCTTGGGTGGCAGAGGCGGGAAGAGTACGAGGAGACTGGGAGTACGAGGTTACAAGCTATGATCGCACCACTGCACTCCAGCCTGGGTGACAGAGTGAGGTCCTATCTTAAAAAAATAAAATAAGTATTTAAAAAATAAATAGTGTGGTTTTAGAGCTGGAACTGGGGAAACAGGCCCCCACTTGTCGTGTGTAAATAATTTGCACGGCTGTTCGGTCCTGCAGTGTGTGGCGCTGGTGGAGGTGGTGGTAAGTGGTTGCTGGTGGTGTGTTGCTCAAAGATGGCTGAGGAGTCACTGTGCATGTCCATGTCTCACCTTCACTAGATGCTTTGGAAAAGCTTCAGCTGTTGGTTTGGGTTGGGGGCCTAGGGACTGTCAGGCTGGTTAAATGAGTGAAGCCCACAAGAAATGACTAACTGCTAGGTCGCAGGGAGCCCAGCAGGGCCAGGGGTCTGCAGAACTTCTCCTTTGTGTCTTTGCCTCCATGGAGTTCTGTAGGTGGCCTGCAGGTTTTTTTTTTTTTTTTTTTTAATGAATAATAAAGTCTACCATTGTGTCTCAGATCAGATCAATATAAAGGAAAAAATTTTTGTTAAAATTCTGGCTGTTGGCTGGGCGTGGCTCACACCGGTAATCCCAGCACTTTGGGAGGCCCGAAGAGGATGGATCACCTGAGGTCAGGAGTTTGAGACCAGCCTGGCCAACATAGTGAAACCCCATTTCTACTAAAAATACAAAAATTAGCCGGGCATGTTGGCGCATGCCTGTAATCCCAGCTATTTGGGAGGCTGAGGCAGGAGAATCACTTGAACCCAGGAGGCAGAGGTTGCAGTGAGCTGAGATCACTCCATTGCACTCCAGCCTGGCCAACAGAGTGAGACTCTGTCTCAAAAAAAAAAATTAAAAAAAAAATTTTTTTAAGTAAAGAAAAGAATATGTAGCACCAGGCAGGTGCGGTGGCTCACGCCTGTAATCCCAGCACTTTGGGAGGCCGAGGCGGGTGGATCACCTGAGGTCAGGAGTTTGAGACCAGCCGGCCCAACATGGTGAAACCCCACCTCTACTAAAAATACAAAAAATTAGCTGGGTGTGGTGGCAGGCACCTGTAATCCCAGCTACTCAGGAGGCTGAGGCAGGGGAATTGCTTGAACCCGGGAGGTGGAGGTTGCAGTAAGCTGAGACTGTGCCACTGCACTCCAGCCTGGGCAACAAGAGCAAAACTCCATCTCAAAAAAAAAAAAAAAAAAAAAAAAAAGAATATGTAACACCTTTCAGCACTTGGTCCTCTGTGAGGTCTGTAGATGATGATGTATTCAACACCAAATGACGGAATGAACACAGATACACAGGTAGCTTGCTGACTCGTTTCGATGAGAGCATCCATTTGTTGAAATTCCACTTGAACCTAATTCCAGTGGAAATTAGTTTCCACTGAGAACCTAAGTTACCATCAGCATATCTGTCAAGCAGTTGATGTTGTGTGATGGGCAGTAGAGACTAATGCAGATAACCTGTTAGAATTTCCGCTGTAGTTGTCCCTGTCTGGGTGTGTGCACCGAGGGGCCTTTGTGACCATCTGGGCTGCTCCTGGGCCATGTCCGTCCCTGTCTCTGCAGTGTTGGCCTGAGTTGCCAGGAGCAGATACCTGGGTTCCTTTGGGTTTCCTGCAGGACTCACTAGTAAGCCAGGCCTTTGAGGGAGCCTTGGAAGGGCCAAGCAGCTGGGCCTCAGGAATCTTGGGGACTCATGAATCCAAAGGGACTCAGCTTTTCCATCTATCTGGTCAAGTGCAGCCTGTGGCCCCTGGGTCCCAAAGGCCTATGTCCTCCCTTCGCAGACCAGACTGTGACCCAACTGCATCTGAAAGAGAACTTGGCTCTGCCTAGCTCCATGCTAGCCTCACTAGCCTAAAGCCAACCAAGTGCTTCCTCCTCTGCCAACTGGGCATGAGAGGGATCTGCCCACCAAGCTTGTCTGGCAGGGGCTGATGAGCACTGGCTGCCTTGCTCTGAGAACTTGGGGGCAAAAACTGGCTGGTGGAATGCAGTGGCCATGGCCCCATTGTGGAAGACAGCACATGGCACTTTGTCTCAGATAACCAAGGACTGGCCACCATTGACCTCAAAGAATCCCACGACCAAGACTATTTCAGGACCTGAGCGGAAGTTGCAAACATGCAAAGGAAGGTGGTGTTCTCAATAAAATGTCAATCCCCTGTTTGGTTACTGCCAAGAAGAGAACACTGGCTGAGGAAAATACTGTGTTTTAAAGTAAGTAAACTGCAAGGAGTATGTAAAAAACATTGCTGTCTGGCTTGTTTGCAGTGGGAAACACAATCTCTTGCTTTAAGGAATGCCATATTAAGAGGCCCTGTGGAACAAACCACATTTCACTGTTAAGTAGCTGCACAAAAGTACAGTACAACATTGTGAATCTGCAGTGTGCACACTGAGGCATTTTCTGTAAATAATAGTATAACGTGGGCCGGGTGCAGTGGCTTATGTCTAATTCCAGGACTTTGGGAGGCTGAGGTGGGTGGATCCCTTGCATCCAGGAGTTCGAGACCAGCCTGGGCAGCACAGGGAGACCCTGTCTCTACAAAAAATAAAAAAATTAGCTGAGCATGGTGGTGTGAGCCTGTAGTCCCAGCTACTTGGGAGGCTGAGGTGGGAGGATTGCTTGAGCTTAGGAGGTTGAGGCTGCAGTGAGCTCTGATTGTGCCACTGCACTCCAGCCTGGATGACAGAGTGAGACTCTGTCTCAAAAAAAAAAAAAAAGACTGGGTGTGGTGGCTCACATCTGTGATCCCAGCACTTTGGGAGGCTGAGGTGGGAGGATCACTTTAGACCAGCCTGGCCAACATGTGAAACTCCGTCCCTACTAAAAAATACAAAAAAAAAAAAAAAAAAAAAAAAATTGGTGTGGTGGCGCGTGCCTGTAATCCCAGCTTCTTGGGAGGCGGGGGCAGGAGAATCACTTGAACCTGGGAGGCTGAGGTTGTGGTGAGCCGAGATTGCACCACTGTGATGGGAGCAAGACTCCGTCTCAAAAAAAAAAAAAAAAGCCAGGCGCAGTGGCTTACACCTATGATCCCAGCACTTTGGGAGGCTGAGGTGGGAGGATCACTTGAGGTCAGGAGTTCAAGACTAGCCTGGCCGACATATGAAACTCCGTCTCTACTAAAAATACAAAAAAAAAACAAAACAAAAAACTAGCTGGGTGTGGTGGCACGTGCCTGTAATCCCAGCTTCTTGGGAGGCTGAGGCAGGAGAATCGCTTGAACCGGGGAGGCTGAGGTTGTAGTGAGCCGAGATCGCACCACTGCAATCAGAGACTCCATCTCAAAAAAAACAAAAGTGTAACTCAAAAGTGACCCTTAAGAATCAGAGGAATAATAAAAGATTGTTTAGTGGAGTTGCAGGTATTACATTTTCTGAGATATGTTACTAACTTATATATTACATAGGTTATATTATCAGCCTATATATAATAATATATACATATTATATATATATAAGTTGTTGCAAAAGTAATTACGGTTCTGGTCATTAGGTTTTTTTTTTTTTTTTGAGACGTAGTCTTGCTGTGTCTCCTCCCATCTGTCTCCCAGGCTGGAGTGCAGTGGCTCAATCTCGGCTTATTGCAACCTCCGTCTCCTGGGTTCAAGTGATTCTCCTGCTTCAGCCTACTGAGAAGCTGGGATTACAGGCGCACACTGCCACACCCAGCTAATTTTTTTTTTTTGTATTTTTAGTAGAGACAGTGTTTCACCATGTTGGCCAGGCTGGTCTCAAGTTATCCACCTGCCTCGGCCTCCCAAAGTGCTGGGATTTCAGGCATGAGGCACTGTGCCCGGCCTGGTCATTACTTTTAATGACAAAAACTACAATTACTTTTGCACCAACATATGTGTTATAAATATATCCTGATAGATTATATATACGTGTGTGTGTGTGTATTTTGAGACACGGTCTAACTGTGTTGCCCAGGCTGGAGTGCAGTCATGATCATGGCTCACCACATCCTCGACCTGCCGGGTCCAAGTGATCCTCTGTAAGTCTCCTGAGTAGCTGGGACCACAGGTGTGTGCCACCACACCACTCCTGGCTAATTTTTTTTTTTAAATATTTTTTTGTAGAGACCGGGTCTCCCTGTGTTACCCAGGCTGGAGATTATATATTTGAAATATTCATTACTGGTCTGTCTGTCCTCTCATCATGTTGCTAATTTCACTGAATGCCAGAGGGCATCTGATGGTCTATTTGGGTAGAGTTTTCCCAGCTAGGCCAAGTTATAGGTGCCTGGCCAGCCTGTGGGTTGGTGCCCCTGGGTCAGGTGCCCACTCCTCTTGTGTGCTAAGGATTCTGAGCATGACAAGCTGTGTAAGCAACAGTCTGGAGTCACTTTCCTTGGAGGTTCAGGGGAGAGGAGGAGAAGATAAGGGATGAGAATGGAATGGTTAGTTCTAGAAGGGATCAGTGAGCCCGCTGATGTTTTCCTATGAAACCATTGTTGTTCTCTCCATCACAAGTCTTTGCTGAGTGCTACCCTTTCCTTCACACCTCTTCCAAATTTTCTGTCTCCCCTGGGCCCACTCCCGTCTTTGTTTCCATCTCAGGAGGCCTTCGGCCTCTTCACCATCACTTACAGGTCTCCTTCCATCCAGCCACCCGTGCCGCTTGCCTGATTCCTTCCCCTCTATTTGGAGACTCCCGAAGTTAGCCCTTCTCTTTGAGAAGGCTTCCCTGTTTCTATTCTTCATTCTCCAGCCGCACATCTGGTGAAGTGTCTTTTGGGAATCTGGTACTGTATGAGGCTTACAAAGCTGCTTTACGTCAAGGAGCTTACAGTCAAGTCATACATAAATTTGTCTGTAATATAAATATCAGTTTTTTTATCTTGAATATTTTCCAAAATGGCAAAAACTTACTCTCTGATTACAAAAAAATTTGTGTCCCTTGTTTTAAAAAGTCAGACTGATGTAGAAAAATAGAGAAAAAAGTAAAAATACTGGTGTTCTCCTCAGCTAGAGAGGACTCCCATTAACAGTTAGGTCTACATTGTTTTGGACTTTGTTCCCATGCGCATACTTGTAAAAATGGGTTATTACACATACCACAGTTTGCTTCAGGGTATGATGCAGAGTGGTTTTTGAAATTACAGATTTACATTATTACTTTTTTTTTTTTTATATGGAGTCTTGCTCTGTTGCCAGGCTGGAGCGCAGTGGCCCGATCTTGGCTCACTGCAACCTCCACCTCCTGGGTTCAGGCGATTTTCCTGCCTCAGCCTCCTGAATAGCTGGGACTACAGGTTCGTGCCACCACGCCCAGCTAATTTTTGTATTTTTAGTAAAGACGGGGTTTCACCATGTTGGCCAGGATGGTCTCAGTCTCTTGACCTCGTGATCCGCCTACCTCGGCCTCCCAAAGTGCTGGGATTACAGGCGTGAGCCATCGTGCCTGGCTACATTATTACTTTTAAGAACTTTTTATGGAAGTGCAATATACGTATAGAGAAGTGCACGATTTTTTTTTTTTTTTTTTTTGAGACAGAGTCTTGCTCTGTCGCCCAGGTTGGATCTTGGCTCGCTGCAGCCTCTGCCTCCCAGGTTCCAGTGATTCTTCTGCCTCAGCCTCCTGGGTAGCTGGGATTACAGGTGCATGCCACCAAGCCTGGCTAATTTTTGTATTTTTTTTTTTTGGTAGAGACGGGGTTTCACCATGTTGGCCAGGCTGGTCCCAAACTCTTAACCTCAGGTGATCTGCCCGCCTTGGCATCCCAGAGTGCTGGGATTACAGGCGTGAGCCATCGTGCCCGGCCGAAGTGCACAAATTTTAAATACACAACTAAGATCTGAACATGATGCTTTGTTATGCTTTAGCCTCTCTCTGGTTGGCTCCATGTAGTAGACTCTCTCTTGCTTTTGTTTTGGCTGCCATTTTGAAAATTGCTTTGTTTCCTTCTTTACATTATTTTTGTTTCATGATTAAGTGGCAAAATTGAAGGCTTTATTCTCTACTTTGAATCTAAAACAAATAGTTAAGGCTGATTTAGAATTCGTCATATAGGTTTGAATTAAACAAATCTAATAAAGGAGTGTGCACCATTTTCTTTCTGAGAGCATTAAAAAATCCAGCAAATGGCTGGGCACAGTGGCTCACGCCTGTAATCCCAGCACTTTGGGAGGCCGAGGTGGGTGGATCACAAGGTCAGGAGATCGAGACCATCCTGGCTAACACAGTGAAACCCCATCTCTACTAAAAATACAAAAAAAAATTAGCCAGGCATGGTAGCGAGTGTCTGTAGTCCCAGCTACTTGGGAGGCTGAGGCAGGAGAATGGCGTGAACCTGGGAGGCAGAGCTTGCAGTGAACTGAGATTGCTCCACTGCACTCCAGCCTGGGTGACAGAGTGAGACTGTCTCAAAAAAAAAATCCAGCAAATGTTTGAGCTATAGAGGTTTGGGCACATGCCAAGGATGTTGGTGGTCTTCACATGCTCTTTTTTTTTTTTTTTTTAATTAACATGTAGTAAATTGACTTTTTTTGGTGTACAGTACTATGAGTTTTAGCATGCACATATATTCGTGTAGCCACTACCATAATGAGGATACTGAACAACAGTTTCATCAACCCACAAAACTTCCTCGTTCCCTTTCTTTGTAGTTACATCCAATTCTTGGCAACCTCATCTGTTTCTCATCAGTATAGTTTTGTCATTTCCAGAATGTCACAGAAATGGAATCATAAGTATGTACTTTTAAGACTGTCTTTCATTCAGTGTAATGCATTTGATATTCATTCATGTTGTATTTTATGAATAGTCATTCCTTTTCATTGCTGAGTAGTTTTCCATTGTAGGCATGTCCCACAGTTTCTTTATTCACCTGTTAAAGGGCATTTGAGTTATTTGCAACTTTTGGTGATTATGAATGGAGTTACTGTAAATATTCATACCATTTTTTTCTGTGAATGTAGGTTTTTATCTCACTGGGGTTAATACCCAGGAGTGAAATTGCTGGGTCATAGAGTACGTGTTTCACTGTACAGGAAACAGCTAAGCAGTTTTCCAGCGTAGCTATACCATTTTGTATTCTTCCCAGCAGTACATGGGAGTTCCAGTCGCTCTGCCTCTTGGCTAGCCCTTCATAGTCCTTTTTTTTAAAGCTGTTGTAATATTCTTTTTGTTGACGCAGATGAGAAATTAATTTTATTAGGAATAATATAAAGAAATAAATACCAGCAAGTTTCTCAACTCTTCAAAACTCATGGTGATTTTAAGGTAATAGTCAAAAGCTTATTTAGGGACAGTGAAGTGTTGTCATCTGTTTTCCTCAGAGATCCTAAAATATATGACATTCTAGATTTCCAAGTTCAACAATTCAAATCTTACTCATAATATTATGACACTTTAAAGTTATCCAGATTTTATTACATTCCAAATGCCAAAAATGAGGAGTTAAATCAAATTATGTATATTTACTTTAGGATCAACAAAAAATTTTAGTATATTCTAAGAATAGTAAAGAAAAAGCAAAAACATGGACAGATATTTCCAAAAACAATCCATAAGTTCTGTGGTCATAGCAACTCTACAAAACACCAGCAAGGCATCAGAATGGCCATAAGCAGAACTTAGTTTGTATAGAATCAAGCATACAAACCAACCAGAAAATGGGGCTGGGCATGGTGGTTCATGCCTGTAATCCCAGCACTCTGGGGGGCTGAGGTGGGAGGATCACTTGAGTCCAGGAATTTGAGACCAGCCTGGGCAACATAGCGAAACTCTGTCTTTACACAAAATTAAAAAAAAAAAAAAAATAGCTCTGTTGGTGGTGTGACCTGTAGTCCTAGCTACTCAGGAGGCTGAGGTGGGAGGACCCTTGAGCTGAGCAGTTGGAGGCTTCAGTGAGCAATAATTCTGCCACTGTACTCCAACCTGGGTGACAGTGAGACCCTGTCTCTCAAAAACCAAAAGCAAAACAAACAAACAAAAAACTCACAAAAAAAACAAAAAAACAGGGAAAAGTTTTGGTTCATATAAAGCAAAGAAAACAGAAGAAATATTATTTCCAAAGATGGTAACTACTTTTTTTTTTGAGACAGAGTCTCGCCCTATCAGCCAGGTTGGAGTGCAGTGGTGTGATCACGGCTCACTGCAACCTCTGCCTCCTGGTTCAAGCGATTCTCCTGCCTCAGCCTCCTAAATAGCTGGGATTACAGGCACACACCACAACACCTGGCTAATTTTTTGGATCTTTAGTAGAGACGGGGTTTCACCATGTTGACCAGGCTGGTCTTGAGCTTCTGACCTCGTGATCTGCCCACCTCGGCCTCCCAAAGTGCCGGGGTTACAGGCATGAGCCACCGCACTCGGCCCTTTTTTCTTTTTTAAACTTTGTAAAGTTCATATGTTAATATCAAAAGGTAATGTAAGGGAAGCTGATATGCATTTTGAACTGTGTGTAAATGCATCTTATGTATGTAGGTGTGATATTACATATGACGACACATTTCTACAAAGAAAATGGAGTCATTTAATATCACAACCTGAAATGTAGTACATAGCAGGTCCCTAGTTCATTGCTTTATAAAACCTTCACGTTTGTTATTTTATTTTACAACTTTTATTTTTTTATTTTTTATTTTATTTTATTTTTTTGAGAGGGAGTCTTGCTCTGGTGCCCAGGCTGGAGTGCTGTGGTGCCATCTCAGCTCACTGTAGCTTCTGCCTCCCAGGTTCCAGCGATTCTCCTTCCTTAGCCTCCCGGGTAGCTGGGATTACAGGCATGTGTCACCACACCCAGCAAATTTTTGTATTTTTAGCAGAGATGGGATTTTGCCATGTTGGCCAGGCTGGTCTCGACCTCCCGACCTCAGGTGATCCGCCTGCCTCGGCCTCCCAAAGTGTTAGGATTACAGGCGTAAGCCGCTGTGCCCGGCCCCAACTTTTATTTTAGATACAGGGGGTACATGTGCAGGTTTGTTACGTGGGTATATTGCACCCAGGTAGTGAACATAGTACCTGATAGGTAGTTTTTCCACCCATTCCTCACTCCCTCCCTCCCTCCAAGTAATCAGAGGTGTCTGTTGTTTCCGTGTTTATGTCCACAGGAGTTTAATGTTTAGGTCTCACTTATAAGTGAAAACGTGGTATTTGGTTTTCTGTTTCTGTGTTAATTTACTTAGGATTATGGCCTCCAGCTCCATCCATGTTGCTGCAAAGGGCATGATCTCATTCTTTTTTATGACTGCCATTGTAACATTCTAATAGGTGTGTAGTGGCATCTCATAATAGCTTTATTTTGCATTTCCCTAAAATGGCTAATGATATCAAGCATTTTGTGCTTATTTGCCATCTCTTAGGTGAAGAACCTGTTCAAGTAATTTTTATTGGGCAGTTTGTTTTCTTACTATTGAATTTTGAGAATTCTTTATATACTTTGGATACAAGACTTTTGTCAGATACGTGAGTTGCAAATATTTTAACTCTGTGGCTTGTCTTCTTCTTTTTTATTTTATTTTATTTTTTTTGAGACAGAGTCTTGCTCTGTCGCCCAGGCTGGAGTGCAGTGGCGTGATCTCGGCTCACTGCCAGCTCTGCCTCCTGGGTTCACGCCATTCTCCTGCCTCAGCCTCCTGAGTAGCTGGGACTACAGGCGCCCGCCATGACGCCTGGCTAATTTTTTTGTATTTTTAGTAGAGACGGGGTTTCACCGTGTTAGTCAGGATGGTCTCGATCTCCTGACCTTGTGATCCGCCTGCCTCGGCCTCCCAAAGTGCTGGGATTACAGGCGTGAGCCACCGCACCTGGCCTGTCTTATTTTCTTAACAATTTCCTTTGCAGAACAAGTTTCTTTCTTTCTTTCTCTTTCTTTCCTTTTCCTTTCCTTTCCTTTCTTTTCTGTTTTTTTTGAGACAGAGTCTCACTCTGTCGCCCAGGCTGGAGTGCAGTGGTGCAATCTCCGCTCACTGCAACCTCCGTTTCCTGGGTTCAAGCCATTCTCCTGCCTGAGCCTCCCAAGTAGCTGGGATTACAGGTGTGTGCCATGATGCCCTGCTAATTTTTTGTGTGTTTTTAGTAGAGACGGGTTTTTGCCATGTTGGCCAGGCTGGTCTCGAACTCCTAACCTCAAGTGATCCACCTGCTTCAGCCTCCCAAAGTGCTGGGATTACAGGCATGAGCCACCATGCCTGGCCTTTTTTTCTGAGACAGAGTCTCGCTCTGTCTCACCCAGGCTGGAGCGTGGTAGCATAATCTCTGCTTACTGCAGCCTCTGCCTCCTGGGTTCAAGTGATTCTCCTGTCTCAGCCTCCTGGGTTCAAGTGATTCTCCTGTCTCAGCCTCCCGAGTAGCTGGGACTACAGGCATGTACCACCACACCCAGCTAGTTTTGTATTTTTAGTAGAGATGGGGTTTCATTGTGTTGGCTAGGCTGGTCTTGAACTCCTGACTTCAGGTGATCTGCCTGCCTGGGCCTCCCAAAGTGTTGGGATTACAGGTGTGAGCCACCGTGCCCAGACCAAGTTTCTAATTTTGAAGAAATTTTATCCATTTTTTTTCTCATGGATTATGCTTCTGGTGTCATGTCTAAAAACTATTCTCAGCTTATAAAGATTTTATCCTATGTGTTCTTCTGAATTTTATTGTTTAACATTTTACATTTAGATCTATGATCCCTTTTGAATTAATTAAATTTTTTTTTTTTTTTTTTTTTTTTTTTAAGAAACAGGGTCTTGGCCAGGCATGGTGGCTCATGCCTGTAATCCTAGCACTTTGGGAGGCTGAGGTGGATGGATTGCTTGAGGTCAGGAGTTCGAGACCAGCCTGGACAACGTGGCAAAACCCTGTCTCTACAAAAAAATACCAAAACAATTAGCTGGGCATGGTGGCATGTAACTGTAATTCTAGCTGCTAGGGAGGCTGAGGTGGAAGGATCACTTGAGCCCGGTAGGTCAAGGCTGCACTGAGCTGTGATTGCACCACTGTACTCCAGGGCTACAGAGGGAGACTCTCTCTCGGAGAAACAGGGTTTTGCTCTGTCACCCAGGCTGGCCTTGAACTCCTGGCCTCAAGGCAATCCTCCTGCTTTGGCCTCCCAAAGTGCTGGGATTACAGGTGTGAGCCACCATGTCCTGCCTATATTTAATGTAATTATTAGTATGCTTAAATTTAAACCTACCATTTTGTTATTTATTTTCTGTTTGTTCCCTCTGTTTTGTTCCTGTTTTCCCTTTCCTCTTTTCTTTTGGAGTCTTTGAATATTTGTTAGTATTTCATTATAATTGATTTATTGAGTTTTGACTAGTATCTCTTTATATAGTTTTTTTTTTAAGTGTTTGGTCTACGAATTACATTATACATACACATAATTATAACATTAATATTGTACACTTTACTTATAATTAACATTTCATTACTTAGAATGAAATACAGAAACCTTGCAAGTACATAGGTCCCTTTACCCTCCTACTTTGTTTTCGTTGTCAAATACATTGAAATCCCAACATTGTTACAGATTTTGCTCTTAACCATCATGCATACTTGAAATAACTCGAGAAGAATTGTATATTATGTTTACCGAGGTTTTTACCATTTCTGTTGCTTTTCTTTCACTACTGATATTCCAAGTTTCCCTCTGGTATCATTTCCATTCTCCATGAAGAACCTCATAGCGTTTCATTTAGAGCAGATTTGTTGGCTATGAGTTCTCTTCATTTTCCTTTATCTGAAATTTTTTTTTTTTTTTTTTGAGACGGAGTCTCACTCTGTCACCCAGGCTGGAAGTGCAGTGGTGCGATCTTGGCTCACTGCAACCTCTGCCTCCCGGGTTCAAGCAATTCTCCTGCCTCAGCCTCCAGAGTAGCTGGGACTACAGGTGCCCACCACCATGCCCAGCTAATTTTTGTATTTTTAGTAGAGACAGAGTTTCACCATGTTGGCCAGGCTGGTCTCAAACTCCTGAGCTCAGGTGATCTGCCTGCCTCAGCCTCCCAAAGTGATAGGATTACAGGCATGTGCCACTGCACCTGGCCTGTTCTAAGCTTTATATAAAATAATCCAAGAAGTAGGGATGCGTACTCTTTAAACAAATAGAAAGACAGAAAGTCTCAGCTAAGAAATAGAAGATATAAAGAAGCAAATGGGCCGGGTGTGTTGGCTCACACCTGTGATCCCAGCACTTTGGGAGGCCGAGGTGGGTGGATCACGAGGTCAGGAGATTGAGACCATCCTGGTCAACATGGTGAATCCCTGTCTTTACTAAAAATACAAAAATTAGCTCGGTGTGGCGGCGCTTGCCTGTAATCCCAGCTACTTGGGAGGCTGAGGCAGGAGAATCGCTTGAATTCGGGAGGCGGAGGTTGCAGTGAGCCAAGATCGCACCACTGAACTCCAGCCTGACGACAGAGCTAGACTCTGTCTCAAAAAAAAAAAAAAAAAAAAAAAAAAAAAGCAAATGAAAATCTTAGAACCATAGAACGTAGTATCCAAAATAAAAATGGATGGGCTGGATAGCAGAAGGTAGCTCATCACTCACTGTAACCTTGAACTCCTGGGCTCCAGTAATCCTCCCGCTTCAGCCTCCTGATTAGCTGGGACTGCAGGGGTATACCACCATGCCTGGCTAATCTTGGGTTATTTTATTATAGCTGCTTTACAATCTGATAATTCCAACAACTGTGTCATCTTGGCATTGGCATCTGTTGATTGTCTTTTTCCATATGAATTGAGATTTTCCTGGTTCTTTGTATGCCAAGTAATTTAGAATTATATCGTGGACATTTGTTTATTATGTTATGGGACTCTGGTCTTGTTTAAATCCTATGAAGAATGTTGATTTTTGTTTTGTTTTCGAAAGCAATCAACCTGGCTGGGTTCAAGTGAGAAGTTCTGGTCAGTCTTCTGTGGGTTGAAGGTTCAATATCAATTCTGTTTCAAAGCCTTTGTGATGCTATTTGAATCTTTGCTCGGTATATGCCACCCAGTGGTCAGTCTGGGACCTAGGTGGTGAGCTATCCCATAGTTCATTCTCAACGTCTTTACTGCACTGTTTAGGGTCAGATACACATATATATACAACTTTGGGTGAGCTCAGGAGTTTATAAGCTTTATGGGCTTGGTGTTTTGATTTATAAACAGGAGTTTATAGAACTTTATGGGTTTGCTTCCTCTTTCTGCCAGTTCCTTGGTATTTTCCAGCCCTTAGAACTCCTCTTTCGGGTCTGTGTCCCAAAAGCTGGTTCTTTAGTTACCCTACTCTGTTGAACAGTTTCCACAGCTGTGTCCATGTCCTAGGCCACATGGTGGGAGGACAGGGGAAGGGGAAAGCAAGGGGGTTCGCTCATGCCCTAAGAACTCGGGTTCCTCTGAGTCGACTCCTCTGTTGTGGACATCTGTAGCCTCCTGCTGCTGCATTGCCTCTGACACTTCAGGGTTGTCTGGGGTCTGAAATCTAAGTGAGAATGAAGGAAAAAAAAAGTTAAAAGGAAAATAAAACCCAGGATTGTGTTCAATGTCTATGAGTGTTAGGAAAATCCCCCTGTCTACTTTTCTGGCCAGAACTAGAGGATTGTCCTGGACTCCCTATCTATACCAGGCTCTCTTTTCTGGGTTTTTCTGGGTTTGAGGCTCCTTAGAGTCTAAGCTGGGGAACACTGGAGGAAAAATAGGAGCCTGACTGTTGGTTCTGTGGTGCTTTGAACTCTGGGCATCTTCACCATCTGCCTACTTTGATTTGTTTTTCAGTGTCCTGAAATAGCTGCTCTGTGCATTGTTTCCAGTTTGATAGCAGCATTCAGTGGGACAGACAGGCTGGAGTGTACCTACTTCATTAACTGGAACTGGAATTCCAAATTTATGATACTTGGAAGCTTTCTAATTTGTTTTTGTTGTCTGTTTTTATTGTCTGATAGCCAAATAGGCTCCTGGCTTGCAGGCTGCTGGGGCCCTGGCTTGTGTAGAGATGAATCACGGTGGCATGGTGTTTTGGTTTTTTGTTTGTTTTGTTTTTGTAGTAAGGAAATGTTTTATTTTTATTTTATTTTATTTTTTTGAGACAGAGTCTTGCTCTGTTGCCCAGGCTGGAGTGCAGTGGTGCGATCTCAGCTCACTGCAGTGTCTGCCTCCCGAGTTCACGCAATTCTCCTGCCTCAGCCTCCTGAGTAGCTGGAATTACAGGCATGCACCACTATGCCCGGCTAATTTTTTTGTTGTTTTAGTAGAGATGGGGGTTTCACCGTGTTGGCCAGGCTGGTCTTGAACTTCTGACCTCAGGTGATCCACCCACCTTGGCCTCCCAAAGTGCTGGGATTACAGATGTGAGCCACCGTGCCCGGCCTATAGTAAGGAAATGTTTTAAGTATTACTCTGGGATATTCCTGGCATGTGCAAGGAATCATATAAAAGGATCCATTTTAATAAAATTTGGACTTAATGTTACTATCTTTTCATATTAGCGAACAGACTTTTCTGCCTGTGAATATGAAAACAGAGCATTATAGAAAAGATTTGGGACTGCTTAGCTCTACTTCCCACTAAAAATGACAGTCTTTTACTTCATCCTTAACTGACAAGCGTTTAGCCTCAGTGTGACTGATGTCAGCTAAAATCACCAGGTCTGTTTTCACTTGGCTGCTTTTATCAAGTCTGTTCTCCCTACTCTATATTCCTGTAGCTGAATCTTTGAACCTGAAATTTATACGGGTTACAGTCCATCCGCAGCACCAGTCTGGCTGATGTTGGGATAATTTTGAAGCTTATTACCTTACATATTAGCAATCTGAAGTCTCTTATTCACAGATGTGGCAAGTGATAAACCAGCTTTGTATGTTTTCTCCCAAATAATTTCTAGAAACTTAAGTGGCCCTTCACCTGAGCCCATGTTTTAGGCTGACATGGAACATTAATTATCAACCTTTGGATAGTGTCCAGTTGCCTGTGGACATGGTTTAATGACTGTTTCGTAGATGCCTGTTCATGCCCTGTTGGTCAGTCATTACTCAGCTATTTTCCTGAGTGTCTGTTCGGGAGGGATAGAGCAGGGAGCCAGCTAGACGCGATTCCGGAGACAGGCCCCACCGTGCGGTAAACTGCACTTCCTCACTTAGCACAGCGAGCAGGAGAGGGAAGAGCTGACTATGGGGACAGGGCAGCCAAGTGTTAGGAGATTTGAGGAGACAGCAGGAAGCCTGCAGAGGGAGAGGTTTATTGTGGAGGGATGAGGAAAGGCTTCCCAGAGCAGCTTGCAGTTATTTTTTTATTTGCTTGTTTTTAAATTACTTCTTAAAGAAATCACACAAGTAATACCAATTTAAGAAAAATTAGAAAATACCTCTAAGTTAAAAGAAAAAAACACATGTCCTAGTATCTTACTCATCAGAGATGAACACTAGTCACATTGTGTGTAACACTGTCTCCGTATTTGTTCACATATGTCTGTGTGCATATATTTACAAGTACAGATTGCTTTGTAACATGACTGTTCTATGCTGCTTCTCCTTATCAATAGACTTTACAACATTGAAAATTTTTCTTTTTAATTTACATGCAATAAATTTCACCTTTTATGGTGGAGTTTTGTTTTTTTTTTTTTTTTTTTGAGACAGGATCTCACCCTATTGTCCAGGCTGGAGTGCAGTGGCATAATCAGGGCTCACTGCAGCCTGTACCTCCCAGGCTCAAGCAATCCTCCTACCTCTGCCTTCCAAGAGGCTGAGACCACAGACATGTGCCACCACGCCTGGCTAATTTTTTCTTTTTTTGTAGAGATGGAGTCTCACTAGATTGCCCGGGCTGGTCTCCAACTCCTGGGCTCAAGTGATCCTCCTGCCTTAGCCTCCCAAAGTGCTGGGATTACAGGCATGAGCCACCGTGCTCTGCCTTGTAGTTTTAATTTGCATTTTCCTAATAGCTAGTGATGTTAAGGATCTTTTCATGTGCTTGTTTGCCATCTATATATCTTCTTTTGTGATGTGCTCATATCTTTTACCCACTTTTTAATTGGGTTGTTTCTTATTGTGGAGATTTGAGTTTTTTGTATGTTCTGGATATAAGTTCTTCAACATTTTTAAAAAATTTAAATTTTTATTATGGAAACTTTCAGACATACACTAGTAAAGATAATAGTACAAGTGCCCACATACTTTTTATCCAGCTTTTACAGTTATCACCATTTTGCATTTTTGTTTAATCAACGCTCCCCTCCTTTTTTGTTGTAATATTTTAAAACAAGTCTTCAATATCATAGCATTTCAACTATAAATATGAAGTATGCATCTCTATCAGTTACGAACTTTATTTTAAATGACACATCCACAATATCAATATTACTTCAAAATAACATAATTATTCCTTAATGTCATTGACTATCCTATGTTCACTTTTCCCCAGTGATCTCCAAAATGCCCTTTTGGTTTGTTTGAATTAGGATCTAAACAAGATCCATACGTGATTGCATTTGCTTGCTGTGTCTGAAGTCTCTCTTAATCTTACAACAGCCCTCATCTCCCTTTATGTCATTTGTTTGCTGATGAAATGGGGTAATTTGTTATATAGATTTCCCATTTTGGCCTTGACTGGTGGCTTTCTCTAGTGTGATTTTTTTTTTTTTTTGAGGCAGAGTCTCACTCTGTCGCCCAGGCTGGAGTGCAGTGGCACGATCTCGGCTCACTGCAACCTCCGCCTCTGAGGTTCAAGTGATTCTTGTGCCTCAGCCTCCCAAGTAGCTGGGACTACAGGTGCACACCACCATGCCCAGCTAATTTTTGTATTTTTAGTAGTGACAACGCAATATTGGCCAGGCTGGTCTCAAACTCCTGACCTCAAGTGATCCGCCTGCCTCAGCTTCCCAAAGTGCTGGGATTACAGGTGTGAGCCACCACGCCCAGCCTCTAGTGTGATTTTAACATGCTCCTTCAACTTCTCTGTTTCCTGTAACCTGGTTACTCTATATAGCTTGACTGTGGGATGGGGTTGGGGGTGGGATGAAAAGAAGCTGTCTCAGGTCTGCTGGCTTCATCCTACGGCATCCACACTAGCAGGTGGAGCAGCTGATTGTCTTGCTTTTAGTGAAGCCAAGATTGATTGGTGGGTGCTTGATCCATCTGTTTGAAATTCCGCATCGGTGGCTTTAATAGCTACTGATGCTCACGAGCTAGATCAGCCATTCTTCCTCCCTGTGGGAGGAGATTTTGCCCCCCAGGGATATTTGACAGTATCTGGAGACATTTTTGGCTTTCTCCACTTGGGGGTGGGAGGAGTACTGGCACCTAGTGGTGTGGAGGCCAGGGATGCTGCTAAACATCCTCAATGCACAGGACAGCCCCTCACAATGAAAAGTGATCCGGTCTGAGATGCCAATAGTGCTGAGTTTGAGAAATCTTGTCCTAGAGCCCAATGTGGGTATCAGGATTTTGAAAGGATCCCTGGATGAACCAAGTATATGAGCCACTGGCATAGATCAAGGGCCACAGGAAATCACAGAGCGATAAAACTGGTTTGGGCTGAAGAAAGAGCCACAGAAAGCTTTGGTGGAGGAAGTGCGACTCGAATGGGAGTTAGGAGCATGACTTTGATAAATGAACAGGCAGAAAAAGAATGTTTTTTTGGTTGAGTTCAGCAATTAATGCCCTCTAACTCCTGGTTTTCAGATGGATTGAGAATCCGGGTCCAGATCATTTCAAAATAATGGTTTCCTCCCCTCCCTCCCTCCCTGCCTGCCTCCCTCCTTCTCTCCTTCCCTCCCTCCTTCCCTCCTTCCCTCCCTCCCTACCTCCCTTCTTTCCCTTTCTTTGCTTTCTCTCAATCATAGCTCACTGCAGCCTAGACCTCCTGAGCTCAAGTGATCCTCCCACCTCAGCCCTCTGAGTAGCTGGGACTACAGGCATGTATCACAACGTCCAGCTAATTTTTAATTTTTTAATATTTTTTGTAGAGATGGAGTCTTAGTATGTTGCCTAGGCTGGTCTCGAACTCCAGGCCTCAAGTGGTCCTTCCACCTTGGCCTCCCAAAGTGCTGGGATTATAGGCATGGTTATGGAGCCTGGCCAATGATTTTCTAATTCAATCATTCCTTTTGCATTTATTAACTGGAATTTTGTAAAGATCTTTTCCTCACCATCTGTTTGATTTTCCTGAAATACAGTTTGTACAGGAAAGGCAAGGTAAATGCTGATTCTTTTGATTCTTTTCCTTCATTAATTTTCCTAATAACAAGCTAATGCTTTAGCAACCTCTAAAGGTGAACAATGAGTTTTTTCTCCAAACTCGTGGATTTTTACAGATTTGATACATGTCATTTAAAAAGCCTTTATTTTGAAATAATTACAGACTGAAAGATTGCAAGAGTAGTATAAAACAATATATGCTTTGACCTAGATTCTCCAAATGTTAATTTCACCATATTAGCTTTATCCTTCCTCTACTGTCTCTCTCTCTCTGTGTGTTTATATATCTGTATATGTATATTTATAGAATATTTTAAGTCTTTTGAGAGTACAGACTTGATGTCTCTTTTATCTCTAAAAACTTCAGTGTCCTAAAGACAAGATTACTTTCTTACATAACCACACTATAGTTACCAAAATCAGGAAATTAGGGCTGGCTGCGGTGGCTCACGCCTGTAATCCCAGTACTTTGGGAGACCAAGGCAGGCAGATCACCTGAGGTCCGGAGCCTGGCCAGGCCATGAGCCTGGCCAACATGGTGAAACCCTGGGTCTACTAAAAATACAAAAATTAGCCGGACGTGGTAGCGGGTGCCTATAGCCCAAGATACTCAGGAGGCTGAGGCAGGAGAACCGCATGAACCTGGGAGGCGGAGGTTGCAGTGAGCTGAGATCACACCATTGCACTCCAGCCTGGGTGACAGAGCGAGACTCCATCTGAAAAAAAAAAAAAAAAATCAGGAAATTAACACTGATTCAGTACTCTTAGCTAATCTGTAGACCTTATTCATGTTTCCCTCTTTGTCTCAAAAATCTGTTTAATAAATGAAAATCCTAGATCATGTTGTCATTTAGTTGTCATGTCTCTTTAATCTCCTTGAGTCTGGGATAGTTCTTTAGCCTTCATTTCATGTCATTGACAGTTGAAGAATACAGGCGAGTTATTTTGTAGATTGTCCCTCAATTTGGGTTTGTCTGATGCTGTCTCCTGTTTGGATTCTGGTTATTTTGTGGTAGTGTCGGGAACACCACAGAAGGGACGATGTGTCCTTTCAGTGCATCATATCAGAGGCAGATGATGTAGATTTGACTCATTACTGGAGATCTTAACCTGGTTAAGGGGATGTCTGCCCAGATTCTCCACTGTTGAGTTACTGTTTTTTTTTTTTTCTATGTAGTTAATAAGTATTTTTTTGTGTGTGGGAAGATACTTTCAGACAATGTAAATATCTTATAACTTCTTAACCTTTCACAGCCTGGGCAACATGGTGAAACTACAAAAAATTAAAAAATTAGCTGGGTTCTGTGGGGCATGCCTGTGGTCCCAGCTACTCGGGAGGCTGAGGTGGGAAGATGTTTTGAGACTGAGAGGCAGAGGTTGCAGTGAGCCAAGATCACGCCGCTGTACTCCAGGCTGGACAACAGAGTGAGACTCTGTCTCAAAAGAAACAACAATAACAACAACAAAAAACCCTTTCATTCATTAGTTTTAATGTCCATTGATGACTCTTGCCTGAATCAAGAATTACGATAGCTGCCAAATGGCAGTTTTTTAAATCCACCATTCCTGCTATATTTGTTGGTTGGATTTTCAACTGTAGGAAAGAGTTTTTCCTTCTCCCTTCTTAATTTGTATGAACTCATGAGTTTGGATTTTTTTCATTGATTTTAATACTTAATTATTATTTTTGTTTGTTTTTGGAGACAAATACTCTGTCTCCCAGATACTGTGCTCTGTTGCCCAGGCTAGAATGCATTGGCACAATCATAGCTCACTGCAGCCTTGACCTCCTGAGCTCAAGAGATCCTCCCAACTCAGCCTCCTGAGTAGCTGGGACCATAGGCGTGGGCTACCATTCCCGGCTAATTTATTTTTGTAGAGATGCTGTCTCACTATGTTGCTCAGGCTGGTCTCCAGTTTCTAGTATCTTCATGCCTTAGCCTCCCAAAGCACTGAGATTACAGGCATGAACCACTGCACCCGGCCAAACTATAATTATTTATTTTGATGCTCAAGTTGTCTCAGATTTGGCCAATGGGAACCCCTCTACACTGGTTCCAGTGTCCTTTAGACATGTTCCCTTCATTCTCTGAGCACAAGATGTTTCACACTCATCTTGGACTCTCCTACCCCAGCCCTGGATTTTCCAGGGAGCCCTGCTTCCTTTAAGTGAAAAATGGTAGTATTTAGAAACTAAGATTTGGATCTTATATCTCGTATATATGTATGTAATACATATATACACATATATAAACACACACACACACATAAATAAACACACACACACACACACACACACACACGTTTCTGTCCTAGACCTCAGGCATTTTACCAAGAAATCCCTGTTCCTTTAGTGGGAAATAATATTTATCCTGTGGATGTCCTGTCCCAGACCTGAATTAGCCATTTCTCTAAGAAACCCTTGTTACTTTTAGTAGGAAATATTATTTAGAGACCTCAATCTGGGTACTTGGGGTGCTTATTGTCACTGA
The DNA here is from genome assembly GCF_000001405.40 of Homo sapiens. Taxonomy (NCBI): domain Eukaryota; kingdom Metazoa; phylum Chordata; class Mammalia; order Primates; family Hominidae; genus Homo; species Homo sapiens. Next base: position 66,655,329 of record NC_000016.10, on the reverse strand, counting down.
GTTATTACTTCTAGGTCTTTTTGGCCGATAATAGCTATTTTTAAAAAAGAAATAAGTTCAGCTGGGCGCAGTACCTCACGCCTGTAATCTCAGCACTTTGGGAGGCCGAGGCAGGTGGATTGCTTGAGTCCCAGCCTTGGCAACATGGCGAAATCCTGTCTCTACAAAAATTAGAAAAATTAGCCGTGTATGGTGGTGTGTGCCTGTGGTACCAGCTGCTTGGGAGGCTGAGGTGGGAGGTTGGCTTGAGCCTGGGTGGCGGAGGTTGTAGTGAGCACAACACTCTAGCCTGGGTGACAGAGTGAGACTCTGTCTCAAAAAAGCCCCCCGAAACCCAAAAAACAAAAAGGAAATTCGGGTACATTCTACATGTTCACATTTCTTTACTGGACTGGAGCTTGGTGAAGACAGGAAATATATCTGAGGGCTCTGTTGGCCCTTTCACATAGTAAGGACAGTGGCTGCCATTTAGCTGAATACTCACTCTTGGGCATGGTGCAAAGTATTTTACATTTAATCCTCACAGCAATCCTTTAGCATCAGAATTGCCCCTTAATTCATTTTACAGTTGAATAAATAAAAGAAAACCCATTTTACAATTTATAAAGAGAGGCTCAGAGAAGAGAAGTAAATGTGCCCAGGGTCACAGTGGCAGAGCTGGGATCACGGGCCAGGGCCGTGAGCCTCCAGAGCCCCACTCCTTAACTACTGTGCGACGGGCTATGCTAACGGCAAGAGGATTTTTGCACTCACATTTGTGGGTGCCTGGTGATATTACGTAGAGGTGCCCAGTTTGTGGGGGAACAGTTATGGCCTGGGTCTGGGGCTTAGAAAGACATTCAGACTAGAAGGGTGAATTTGGGAGTGTGAGTCTGGAGGAGGGAGTCTGTTGGTAAGCATGTGTTTCATGAGAAGGCAGCAGAGGCGAGGCCCTGGAGAGCACCTGCCATGTGACAGGAGGCAGGATGGCAAGGGGGAGCAGTGGAAGTCCAGTGCAGGTGGAGGGTGATCACTAGTGCCTAGTGCTGTAGAGGGTTCTGGGGTCCAGATTTGAACCCCAACTCTGCTGTTAACAAGACTTATCTTGGCTGGTTTGCTTAACAACTTTGCTTCACTTTGCTTGTCAATAGGATGGGGATTAAAAACCATGTTCTTCCTGGGGTGATGAAAATGTTTTGTAATTGTGTAATAGTGATGGTTGCACAACTTTGAATATACTAAAAGTCACTGAATTGTGTATTTTAGAGAGTGAATTTTATGGTGTGTGAATTATATCTTAATTAAAAACTGGCTGGGTGCAGTGGCTCACACCTTTAATCCCAGCACTTTCAGAGGCCGAGGCAGGTGGATCACTTGAGGCCAGGAGTTTGAGACCGGCCTGGCCAACATAGCAAAACCCTGTCTCTACTAAAAAAAAACACATAAAAATTAGCCAGGCATGATGGCACACGCTTCTAATCCCAGCTACTCGGGTGGCTGAGGCAGGGAGAATTGCTTGAACCCGGTAGGCAGAGGTTGCAGTGAGCCGAGATTGCTCACTACACTGCAGCCTGGGCAACAGAGCAAGACTCTGTCTTAAAAACAAACAAACAAAACCCAACCAACCATGTTTCTATCAGGATGGAATGAATTTTAAATTAAAGGCTAGAATGCTTATAGAAGTGCCCAGCATTGTATTTGACTCATAGTAGAAGGGCTCAGCAAATATAGACTTTTTAAGGAAGGCCACAGTGTCACACATTCTAGGTTCCACTGTTCTCACTGTCTCTGGAGCTGGGGACACCATTATAACCACCATGCTGAACAGTAGTCCCTGACCTATGGGGTAAGGATGGCGGCCCTGGGGGTCATAGGTTTGGGCCTGTACTGCTAACCCTTAGCTCACTGCATCTCCCTCTCCCAGAGACTGGTTCCAAGACCTCTCTCTCTGGATGGTGTAGAGGTCCTGGGGGGTTGCCAGGGTAGTGGGTCTCACGACTGAGCTGGGTTTTCCCAATGGACTTCCATCTGGCCTCTTATGTATGATATGCAGTTCACTATTTTGGCTGAAATCAATCTTTAGCAAAAAGCTTCTCCCAGCCTGCTCGTTTCTCATTCAATGAGAAATGCTGTGTCCTTACTCTCAGTTAAGGTGGTTGGCCAGAGTTGTTAGGTTGGGGAAGTACCCAGGAAGTAAAGCAGGAAGAGGAAGGAAAGGGGGAGGTTTTGCTTTTGTATTCTGGGGATGCGACACTGCTTTCTGGGATTTCAGCTTCATCTATGAAGCTAGGACCATGAGAAAGTAAAGGGGAAAAGAAGATCCTAATGGCAGCAGTGTAGTTAAACAGCTTCAGATGTTTATGCTTTAAGGGCAGCTTGTTTCCTCTGTCCTCTACATGTGCTTTGTTTTTGCTCCATTACTAATTTAAACGGTCTGAAAATTTGACTTTTTGAGCAGGGTAGCATTCGCAATAAGATTCTGTGGGCAATCTCTTGGCAAGAAAGATGCTGACCGTCCTGTGGTTTTCTGAAATCATGTGCAGTTATATCATCAAACCACATAATAAGGATTTCTGGATTTTCTTTTAAAAATAAGAAAATGTTTCGCACTTTATTGGATAACCCTGTTTGTGTGCTCTAAGTAGTTAGATACCAAAAAATAAACCTATTTTAATTGGAGCCTGTGATACAGTATCCAGCCGTTGTTGATGGGTAACCTGTGGATTTAATGTATGCGTTAGAGCATGCTTCTAAGTATGAAAATTTACGTTGAAGGTGAGAATCTTGCCAAAAAATTGAATTGAATGCAATGTCCAAAGTTCAACTCTTATTTATGGCTTTAGAATTCCAAAATATCAAAATTGTTTACACAGAGAACCCGCTTGAAACATCTGTCAGGGACACTGATTGAATAGGCCTTAGTGACACAGGCCACACCCAGACCCAACCAAGCTTTCTGGGGCATCAACAACCCAATGCTTCTGTCCTCAGTGGAAAACGGTGCCTTCAGGGGTCTGCGGTAAGCACCACTTAGAGTGGAGTGTGGCCTCGGAGGCTGGCGGGCTTTCTTTGAGAGTGCACACCTTGCTGCCGTCTGCTGCACCCCAGCCTTGCCTGCGCTTTGTTTTCTTTCACCATCCTGAGTCCTTGGAAGCCTCTCCCTTTGACCCCATTTCTCCTTTTCTTGTCAACAATGAGGAACTTACTTGCCTCCACCTCTTGGCTCCTTTGCTCAACTAATCACTGTTGACTAATTAGTCCTGCTGGCCAGCCCAGGTGGCTTTAGCTCCTGAGGGCCATCTCTGCCCTTCCAGAGCAGGTAATTTTCTATTACTTCTTTGCTACCCTCAGGTCCTAGCTTGGGCACTGCTAGAGAAAAGCAATGAAACCAAAGATCACATGCAAACACCTTGGTTGCAGATTGAATAATTTACACTTGCAATTAGCTCCTTTGTTTCAGAACCAAACATTATTTGCTCATTGCTCGATTGTCTTAAGGGAGAGGAGGGTGATATTTTAAGTTTATCATCCTCATGGGATGGCCTCCCTTGGGAGGGGAAAAAACTCATGGATTATTTTTCTTAGAAAAATTAAGATATTACTACAGCTAGATCCCTTTGAGAATGAGCAGTCATGTTGTGGGCTTTGTCAGAGTCTCAGCACTGGCTACCCCAGGTCTTGTATTGCTTTCCTTGAAGAGAAATCATACATGGTGATTTTTCCCATGGTGAAAGGGGTGGGAAGACTCTGGATAAGTCATATGTTAGGCATCTTATCTAGGAGAATGAGGTAGGGGAGGAACTAGCTTTGGGACCTGGCCACACGATGGAGGTGCTGCCTGCTTCCTGAGTCGGGGTGTGAGGATCAGAGATGTTTGGACTGTGCCTGGTGCAGAGCCCTGTAGCTTCCTTACCTTATTGATGCTCCCTAAATGGAAGCCGTTGTTATTCGGAGGTGCCTGGCATTGCAGAACTATTTGCCCCCGTTTGCAGACCATATAAATGGCTTCTGGCCTGGGAACTTATGTTTTAAGGTGATCTGTTGTTTAGCGTGTGTATAAAGAGTGGCTTAAAACTCCCCATCTCAACACCGTGAAAGATGGTGCGGAGAGGCTTCGTGCCTCTTCTGTAGTTCCGGCTCCAGGAGCCCATCTTAACATCCCCTGTTGGTTGCTAAGAGAGGAGCTGGCTTCGGAAGCACAGTCCCTGCTTTGCTCTCTGCTGCCCCCTCTGGATTCTCTGTTCTGCACATTCTGAGGTCTTCCAGCAGCCGTTAACAACTAGCCTTTTTCGTCTGTGGTTAAATACAAGCCCTGTCTCGTCTTTCAGATATTTTTTCAGTATTGGCAGGAATAGAGACATTTGAATTTCGAATGTGCTGGAGTTGATTAGAGCTTCGTCTGATTCTGAAGACACTTTGAACCCTGCTGTGTGTGCGCGTGTGGTCACCACTCAGCTTCGTAGGTCTTCACTAGGTTAACAGGGTCCTTAATAGTTGCTCCCCTGCTGGGTAAATGAGCTTCCATGTTTTTACTCTGTAAATTGTGCATGACGTGACAAAGCTGAGTATTGACCAGCACATGCCTTTTGTGTTTCCCAAACTAGTTTACCTCCAGACATGGCTGTGCAAAGTGTTAAGAGGTGTGCGGGGGGAAGAAATCTGTGCTCTTGTAACATCCATGTATTAAGTAAAGGTAAACAGGTTTTACTGTGAGGCTTTTCAGGACTGTTAAGATGCTGGTGTGCCTGATACCCTAAGACCAGGGATATAGTTAAGGTGGGAACAGCATGGGGCTTAGTATGAGAAGACCCAAAGCTGTATGTCTGCGGGGCCCACCACTCTCCACACTTGTGTCCATTTGGAGCTGCTCCTCTGTAAGGGAAAGGGCCAGGCTGCATCTGTAGTCTCAGCCTTAAAAAGAATTTTTTAAAAGCACAACAGAAATACTTTCCCAATGTATAAACCCGAACGATGGTTTGCAAACTAGTCTTGGAACATTAGTTTAGGAGAAGGCTATTAACAGGTGTTCGGTTCTTTGGCCAGAAAACTTTAGGAACCACTGCTAATGGGAGTATAAACATAAAACAGAGGCACTTTGGTGAGGAACTAGGTTGTATCCCAACCTTCCACCCACCTCCAGCCAACCAAGGAACACATCTTGAAAGTTAGGCACCATCTCACACAAATGTTCTCTCCCGTTTTTCCTCTAAGACCACCTGAGTTTGGTGTTGACTGGGAAGCCTCCTAAAGCCTCTGCTGCTGCCTAAGCCCTCATTGACCCTCCCTCTTCCAAATCCCAGCAGCACTTTTTGTCTCGATACCTCCCTGGGCACCGAGCCACGCACCTGGTTAGTTCTTTTTGTGTATAATAGCGTGTGTTGGCTGGACTGGAACTGAGACCTTAAGCACAGAGAGTCTCCAAGTGCCACAAAACGATCAGGGTTGAGGGAGAAGTTGTCTGGCCTCACCCTGTTTGCCTGGGGCGTGGCCTTTCTTATACATGTCTGTGATCCTGACATGTACAGGGATTAGGGGCCCTGAAAGAAGCCATACTCAGGAGAGGAGGGCAGCAGACGAGTGCCAGTGAGAGCCCTGCCCCTGCCCCCCATGAGGAGGGAGTCGGGCTCTGGACCTGACTCATGTTCATAGGAGGGTGTGAACCCAGTGCAAGGCTGAGGTTGAGCCCAGGCTTAGGGAGTGGGGAGGCTGCTGAGGACGGACCATACCTGCTCCCACTGTGGAGTCTGCAGGACACCAGGTGATATAAGTCATGATTAAATTGGGATATACTCTTCAATAGATTTGAAATGACCTGTCATGGAAATAATGCATATATTAGGAAGAAAAAAAATCAGGGATAGATAGATAGATAGATAGATAGATAGATAGATGGATAGATAGAGAGAAGGAATCAAGACCAAAAGAAAAAAGCAGCATATTTGCTCCCTAAGGAGCTTGTTCACCAATGCATCCCTAGAGTTAGGATCGTGCCTGGCATGTAGTAGATCCTCAGTTAATTTTAGCTGAATAAAGGGATGGTACTTGCCTAAATACTACTTTAAAAAAAAAATGGACTTTTAAAACATAAAGGCAAATGTCCACACCCACCTCAGGAACTTTTTCTTTTTTTAAGAGACAGGGTCTCACGCTATTGCTGGGACTGTAGTGCAGTGGCTATTACACAGCCATGATCATAGCTCACGGTAGGCAGCCTCAAACTCCTGGGCACAGGCGATCCTCCTGCCTAGGCCTCCTGGGTAGCTAGGACTACAGGTGTGCACCACTGTGCCCAGCAACCTCAGTCACTGTTTAGAACATAGTGTCTGGGGGCTAAGATTTCTCTTTTCTTTTCTTTTCCTTTTCCTTTTCTTTTCTTTTTTTGACAGAGTCTCGCTCTGTCAGCCAGGCTGGAGTGCAGTGGAATGATCTTGGCTCACTGTAACCTCTGCCTTTTGGGTTCAAGCGATTCTCCTGCCTCAGCTTCCTGAGTAGCTGGGATTATAGGCCTGCGCTACCACACCCAGCTAGTTTTTGTATTTTTAGTAGAGATGGGGTTTCACCATGTTGGCCAGGCTGGTCTTGAACTCCTGACCTCAGGTGATCAGCCTGCTTCAGCCTCCCAAAGTGTTGAGATGACAGGCGTGAGCCACCGTGCTCGGCCTGGGGGCTGAGATTTATTTCTTTTTTTTTTTGAGACGGAGTTTCATTCTTGTTGCCCAGGCCGGAGTGCAATGGCGTGATCTCGGCTCACTGCAGCCTCCGCCTCCCGGGTTCAAGCGATTCTTCTGTCTCAGCCTCCTGAGTAGCTGAGATTATAGGCATGCGCCACCAGGCCCAGCTAATTTTATATTTTTAGCAGAGATGGGGTTTCACCATGTTGGTCAGGCTGGTCTTGAACTCCTGACCTCAGTTGATCCACCAGCCTCGGCCTCCCAAAGTGCTAAGATTTCTTAAGATATTAATGATGAGGAAAAACTCAGATCCAGGAAAAATATTTTCATTCCCAAACAGATGAAGGCACCATCCTCGTAGCAGTTGGGAAAAGCAAGAATACTAGGTAGTAACAACCAAGGTTCATTTTTCTGCTTACTCTTTCTAGCCCATGTGTCCTCACTGCTGGTAGAGCAGCTACATTTCAGAGCTTGCTGGGCACTGTGGTGAAGGGAGGTCTCTGGAACATCTCATACTGGCAACAAAGTCTTCCACCTGAAAGTGATGCACTTGGCAGCTCATTAGCCAGAAGTAGTCTTGTGGCCCCACACAAATTCAAAGGATGCGGGGAAGGTGCTGGATGGTGGAGAACCACAAATATTTGGCAGCCAGCATTAATGACTCCTACAACCCTAATGACAGCTGTCTTTTATAGGATGAGAGTTGCTTTGGATTCAAGTGAATACAGACAAAGTGCATTTAAAGCAGTGGGTCACCATCACTGTAAATAAAAATACCACTTTTATCAAATGATTTCACAACTTCTCTCACACAGATGTCTAATGAGTAATCAAAGAACAGCAAAGCTGGGTGTGGTGGCGTGCACCTGTAATCCCAGCTACTCGGGAGGCTGAGGTGGGAGGATCTCTTGAGCCAGGAGTTTGAGTCCAGCCTGGGCAACATAGTGAGACTCATTTTTTTTTAAAAAAAGAAAGAACAATAGTTTGAAGTTAGGTTCTCTGGTGTTTTGTGTGGGTGATTAAGGCTGGATCCTGAACTTCTCTGAGTAGCACTCAGAGAGATAGATGTTCACATTCCTCATTTGCTCTTTTGTCCAACTTCTTCCCCAGTCTCCTCACAGTTGGCCCTGCGCACACCTTCCTTACCCCCAATGGTGTATCAGAAGCAATGCTCACGTATTTCTAGGTGATGTCATAGATTGCTTTTTTAGATGGAAAAACAGGGTAAGTTTTTGACTTCTCAGATGACTGACAAGATTAAATCTGGACTAAAAAGAGAACTTTCTTTTGTGAAAACAGGCTATAATTGTGAAGCCTGTGTACTTTTTAAAAGGACTTTTTTTTTTTTTTTTTTTTGAGACAGAGTCTCGCACTGTTGCCCAAGCTGGAGTGCAGTGGCATGATCTCGGCTCACTGTAACCTCCGCCTCCCCATTTCAAGCGATTCTCCTGCCTCAGCCTCCTGAGTAGCTGGGACTACAGGCACCTGCCACCACACCCGACTACTTTTTTGTATTTTTTTTTTTTTTAGTAGAGGCGGGGTTTCACCGTATTAGCCAGGATAGTCTTGATCTCCTGACTTCATGATCCACCCACCTCGGCCTCCCAAAGTGTTGGGATTGCAGGTGTGAGCCACTGCACCTGGTCAAAAGGGCTTTTAAAAAGTCCTGACCAGGCTGGGCGTGGTGGGTCACGCCTGTAATCCCAGCACTTTGGGAGGCCGAAGTGGGTAGATCACCTGAGGTCAGGAGTTCGAGACCATCCTGGCCAACGTGGTGAAACCCTGTCTCTACTAAAAATACAAAAATTAGCCGGGTGTGGTGGTGCACACCTATAATCCCAGCTACTCAGGAGGCTGAGGCAGGAGAATCGTTTGAACCCAGGAGGTGGAGGTTGCAGTGAGCCAAGATCGCACCATTGCACTTCAGCCTGGGTAACACAGCGAGACTGTGTCCCAAAAAAAAAAAAAAAAATTCATGAATGGTTTCAAAACAAGTAAGGATTGGTTCTTAGAGGTCACTAAAATTTAACTCATAACCTGGATGTTTCAAAAAAGTGTCCATACATAGGGCATTTAATTTTTTTTTCTAATTAAAAACACATATACTCTTTGTAGAAATTTTGGAACATGAAAGCGGGCTCAATGAAAATAAACCTATCCACATTTCTACCATATAGATGGGTTTACTATCAATATTTTACTATAGATTCTTCCTGAATCTATAATATATACATGTGATATATTTACATACATGCAGTTATATACAATGTGTACATATATGTGTATATATTATATGCATGTATTATAAATACATATATGTATGAATATGTATATTTCTTACATATTCAAACACGACAGGAGTGTTAATTAAAAAAGGTAAAATCTCTGTGATTCCCCTGTTCCCCACCTAATCCTAATCCATAGAGAGGTATTGATTTTTTACTGTTTAGCTTAAATCCTTCAATGCACATAAATGTGTTTGTAAACACAAATATGCTTATTTTTTGTTCTTCACCAAAAATGGGGTCACTTTATGCCTTGTGTGCTGTACTCTGTTCTTTCTCTAAGTATCCCTTGGACCCTTTCCCCGCCAGTCCACAGAATCCCCCATCTCTCTGCCTTGTGTTTCTTACTGTATGTAGATGTGCTGTTGTTTATTCACCATGGCTCTCCTGCTTTGTTTGTTTGTTTGTTTGTTTTTGAGACAGAGTCTCGCTCTGTCGCCCAGGCTGGAGTACAGTGGCGCAATCTCAGCTCACTGTGACCTCCACTTCCTGGGTTCAAGTGATTCTCCTGCCTCAGCCTCCCGAGTAGCTGTGATTACAGGCGCCCACCACCACACTCGGCTAATTTTTGTATTTTTAGTAAAGACAGGGTTTCACGATATAGGTCAGGCTGGTCTCGAACTCCTGACCTCAGGTGATCCAGCTACCTAAGCCTCCCAAAGTGCTGGGATTACAGGCGTGAGCCACCACAGCCGGCCTGGTTACTTTTTAATACGACACACAGTGCAGCGTCATACATGTGCATTTATTCATAGGGTACATAGTCCTAGAATTTCTGGGTCTAAAGGTGTGCACAGTTACAGTTTTTTGTTTTTTGTTTTTGAGATGGAGTCTCTGTCGCCCAGGCTGGAATGCAGTGGCGCAATCTTGGCTCACTGCAACCTCTGCCTCCCGGGTTCAAGCAGTTCTCTGCCTCAGCCTCCCGAGTAGCTGGGATTATATGTGCCCGCCACCATGCCTGGCTAATTTTTGTATTTTTAGTAGAGACAGGGTTTCACCATCTTGACCAGGCTGGTCTTAAACTCCTGACCTCATGATCCACCCGCCTTGGCCTCCCAAAGTGCTGGGATTGCAGGCGTGAGCCACTGTGCCTGGCCATGTTTTTTCTTTGAGATGGAGTTTTGCTCTTGTTGCCCAGGCTGGAGTGCAGTGACGCAATCTCAGTTCACTGCAACCTCCGCCTCCCAGGTTCAAGTGATTCTCTTGCCTCAGCCTCCCAAGTAGTTGGGATTACAGGCGCCTGCCACCATGCCCAGATAATTTTTGTATTTTTAGTAGAGACTGGGTTTCACCATGTTGGCCAGGCTGGTCTCAAACTCCTGACCTCAGGTGATCCGCCTACCTTGGCCTCCCAAAGTGCTGGGATTACAGGCATGAGCCACCGTGCCCGGCCAATTTTGACAAGGATTGGGAGATCACTGTCTGCATGCCATGCTGGTCTGTACCCTCACCATCAGTGTGGAAAATGGCCTGATTTGACATTTTCTCACCAGTATGGGATATCACTTTATAATTTTTATGAATCGAGTAGATGAAAAGGGTACCTCAGTTTGCATTTCTCTTGTTGGAAGTGAAGTTGAGCATCTGTTGATGTGTTTATTGGTCATTCCCCTCCCCCGCCCTGGGTCTGGAACATTGCAGGCTGCTGTGGCAGGGAAGGAGCATGGTGGAACTGTCTGTAGTTCCAAAAGGCTGCTGCCAAGGGTCACGACAGGGGTCTACCCCACTCACACCTCATTGTCCAAACCTAGCAGTAGGTACAGGTTTTGAGGAGCTTAAGACTCATGATTTTGGAAAAAGAAAGACAAAAACACAAGACAGGTACAATAGTGAATATTGTTTTAAAATAAGAAACACACTAAATGACAAAGGGGGGGCCTTCTTTTGACATCCAACAGGAAACAATAAATTACAAATTTAAAAAGCATTTTCTTTCTGTTTTTGTTTTGGCCTCCACTGCAATAGATCCTTCGTAGATTTGAACTTCAGTATGATCAGTAATTCTGAAAAAGTATACAAAGTCTACCTGACATTTCGGTGTACACAAGTGCAGTTCAGATTTTAGGTTGCCACTACATTGTTTCGAGCAACGTCATGTCATTATACGGTCAATATGTTCTGAGGCCCCATTCACTGGTTTATTGATGAACATGTGTAGGAGTTTGTCACTGAACACTTGTTTCTTCATGCTGTTTCAGTGAGTTGGAAGCAATTTTGTGTGCCATTTTATTTGGGATTGTCAGACTTTGTCAATTTAAAATTCATCAGCTGTATCAAGATGCGATCTGGTACATTGGGAGACATAAAACTCCAAACTCCTGCACAGAAGTACTTGGCTGTTGGCCGGGGGCGGTGGCTCACACCTGTAATCCTAGCACTTTGGGAGGCCAAGGTGGGTGGATCACCTGGGGTCAGGAGTTTGAGACCAGCCTGGCCAACATGATGAAACCCCGTCTCTACTAAAAATACAAAAACTAGCTGGGTGTGGTGGTGGGCACCTGTAATCCCAGCTACTTGGGAGGCTGAGACAGGAGAATCGCTTGAACCCGGAAGGCAGAGGTTGCGGTGAGCCGAGATCATGCCATTGCACTCCAGCCTGGGCTGCAAGAGCGAAACTCCATATCAAAATAATAATAATAATAAAAATAAGAAGTACTTGCTGTTTATAGTACTGCCACAGTTTTGTGCCCTACACACCCTGGAATTCTGATAAATTCTATTTCATGTGGCTCCCATCAAAAAAGGGAGAAAACGTTTAGTGCATTTATAGTTGCATACACTACATTACTGAGTATTTTCCTGATAAGACACAACTCTCATTTAGGCACTGATGACAATAGAATTCTGTACTTACAATTTTATGCATTTGATGATCTGAAGAATTTCCCACAGACAAGCTTCTGGCTCCGTATGTTTCAAACCCTATTTCTCCTCTACTACCCACATATTTCTAGTTGGTCATCATAGGACAGTTTATCTCATGAAGTTTGGGGTCTGTTCCATTGTCATAATGTCAGATGAGCCTGTGCAGTGGTGTCAGAGCATATGTGAAAGCCATTCCTCCACTGGGAGTGCTACGGTAGCTTAACCACACGTGGAACCGGCAGCTAAACCCAAATTTAATGTATCCCTCACTCAACTTCCAGTTAGCTGAATGCCAAAAATGCCCACTGTGGCTGGGTGCAGTGGCTCATGCCTGTAATCCCAGTACTTTGCAGGGCTGAGGTGGGTGGATCACTTGAGGTCAGGAGTTTGAGACCAGCCTGACCAACATGACGAAACCCTGTCTCTACTAAAAGTACAAAAATTAGCCGGCCTTGGTGGCAGGTGCCTGTAATCCCAGCTACTCAGGAGGCTGAAGCAGGACAATCACTTGAACCCGGGAAGCAGAGGTTGCACTTGCCAAGATCTCACCACTGCATTCCAGCCTGGGCGACAGAGACTCTGGCAACAAACGAAACAAAACCAAAAATTGCTATTTCATTATTGCCTGGCACAAGAAGCTGTGACAGAAAGTTAGAGTGGAAGGATGACTATTATGGTAACTTCATCAGCCAGTCCTCTCTCTTTCCTTCTCTTCCTGCTTTTAGATGCTGCCAATCATAATTTGCCACAGTTGTGGAAATCTGACAACCTGTTAATATCAATTCTGGTTTTGTTTGTTCGTTTGTTTGTTTTGGTGATGAAGTCTCCCTTCGTCACCCAGGCTGGAGTGCAGTGGCGCGATCTCGGCTCATTGCAAACTCTACCTCCAGGGTTCAAGTGATTTTCATGCCTCAGCCTCCTGCCTAGCTGGGATTACAGGCATGTGCCACCACACCCAGCTAATTTTTTGTATTTTTAGTAGAGACAGGGGTTTCACTGTGTTGGTCAGGCTGGTCTGGAATTCCTGGCCTCAAGTGATCCAACTCCCTTGGCCTCCCAAAGTGCTGGGATTACAGGTGTGAGCCACTGTACCTGGCCCAGTTTACTTATCAAATATTAAAATATTTACTCTGGTCAGTTTGTAGTTGCCACCTGGAAAGGACTCTCTCCAAGGGCATCCATAATCGCATGATTAGTAAACAAAAAAGTTTTTTCTTATATACATCTTTTTGGACATCTCTGTATAATTTGTTCACGTGACATTTGCTCACTTCAAGGTTGTTATAAGTTGAACTATTTTTGACTCTTTGGTTCCCTTGAAGTTGTTGGCTTCTAGTATCACTTTATCTGAGCCCTTCTTGGTCAATAGGTAGTTTTTATTTCAGCAGTGATTAGATTTCACTGTGCTAGAGAAAATGTTGACATTTTGCTGTGTCCAATGTCAGACAAAAAAATGTTTTGCTTGTAACAGCAGAGTATTAGAAACCATCTAAATGCCTATCAATAGGGGATCAATTAAATTGTGGTTGTGTATAGAGGTGTATATGTGTGTATTTATGTATCTGTCTATGTAATTACATATGAATACATGTAATTATTAAAAGTAACATCTATATGTGGACATACCTGTGGAAACACTATTTAGCAGAAAAAGTGGGCTGGAAAATAAGATATATAATAGGTATTTTATGGTTTAAATAGGTGTAGGTTATAACATGTTATTTTCTTATTTTGTATATAGCATTTTGTCATTTGTAGAGCCCTTTTACATATATTTTTGTTTGGATTTTGAACACAGTGACCATTTGAGATTTGGAAAGGAGGCAGGTATAATTTTATGGGTGAGAAGCTAATAGGGAAATAACATAGTGGGGCAGTAAGAACTGGAGAGACTGAGAATCAAATCTTGGCTATTACATCCTGGCACCGCTTCTTGCTATCTATATGTCACAGAACCTTAATTTCCTTATCTGTAAAATGGGGCTAATATCTACCTCATAAGGTTGTACTGGGGAACTAAATGATAAAAAACAAGAAGTGCCTATAAGGTGTTTGATTTGTATGTACCTGTAATCAATGAGTAATGAGTAGAATATTAATGTTTTATAACAACAAGAGTTTTCCCTCCCTGATATATTATTTATTGCTGCATAACTAATTACCTTAAAACTTTGTGACTTAAAACAAGACATCTTAGGCGGGCCACAGTGGCTGAGACCAGTAATCCCAGTGCTTTGGGAGGCTGAGGCGGGAGGATCTCTTGAGGCCAGGAGTTTGAGACCAGCCTGTGTGAGACCCTGTCTCTACAAAATAAAGAATTATCTGGGCATGGTGGTGTGCCCCTGTAGTTCCAGCTACTCGAAAGTTTGAGGTAGGAGGGTCACTTGAGTCTAGGAGTTCAAGGTTGCAGTGAGCTATGATTGCATCACTGCACCCCCTGGGTGACAGAGGAAGACCCTGTCTTAAAAAAGCAAACAAACAAGAATCAGATCTTTCTTTTCTTTTCATTTCTGTGTGTCAGGAATTTGGGGGGTGGCTTTGCTCTGGTTCTCTCAGGAGGTTGCAGTCAAGCTTTTGGCTAGGGCTATGTCATCTGAAGGCTTGCCTGGGGCTGGAGGACCTATGTCTAAGACGGCTTGTTCAACATGGCTGTTGGCAGGAGGCTTTAGTTCTTGGCACCTATACCTCTCCATAGGGCTGCTTGAGTACCCTCAAGACATGGCAGCTGGTTTTTCCCCATCATGAGTGGTCTAAGAGAGAGCAAGGCAGGAACCATGCTAACTTTTCTGACTGAGCCTGTGCAGTCACACACCTGTGAAGTCATTTCTGCAAGGTAATAGGTCAGCCCTATTCATTGTTGCAAGGGTCTTGTCACTCTCCTCCTGGCTTCTGCCCTTGTCCTCACTGTAGTCTGTTCTCCGCAAAGTAGCTGGTGGCCCTTTTAAGACCCAAAGGAGATCCTGCCACTCTCTGGTGCTTCCATCACACTCAGAGTGAGAGCCGCATACCTCACTGCACCCAAGCGCTCTTTGGGTCTGACCTCCCTCCTGTGATTCTCCCTAGGGGCCACCTGACCCCCTTCCCAGGGATCTCACCTTGCTCCCCACTCTGCCTCCAGTGCTCTTTCTCCAGACAGCTGTCCCTTATATGTTCGGCAACTCTGTCTCAAATAGCACCCTCCAGGGACACTCTGTCTAAACTTTATTTATTTTTATTATTTTTTTTGAGACAGAGTCTCACTCTATCACCCAGGCTGGAGTGCAGTGTAGTGGCGCGATCTCAGCTCACTGCAACCTCCGCCCCCAGGCTCAAGCAGTTCTCTTGTTTCAGCCTCCGGAGTAGCTGGGATTACAGGCGTGCGCCACCATGCCCAGTTAGTGGTTTCACCATGTTGGCCAGGCTGATCTCGAACTCCTGACCTCATGTGATCCACCCGCCTCGGCCTCCCATAGTGCTGGGATTACAGCTGTGAGCCACTGCGCCTGCCCTAAACTTTATTTTATGTTAAAATTTTTTTAGAGTCTCACTCTGTCACCCAAGCAGGAGTGCAGTGGCACAGTCTCCACTCACTGCAACTTCCGCCTCCCAGGTTCAAGGGATTCTCATGCATTAGCCTCCCTGGTAGCTGGGATTACAGGTGTGCAGCACCACATCTGGCTAATTTTTGTATTTTTAGTAGAGACAAAGTTTTGTCATGTTGGCCATGCTGGTCTGGAATTCCTGGCCTCAAGCGATCCACCCACCTCAGCCTTTTGATGTGCTGGGATTACAGGCATGTGCTACCATGCCCAGCTACTTTTTGTATTTTTAGTAGAGACAGGATTTCGCCATGTTGGCCAGGCTGGTATGGAACTCCTGGCCTCAAGCAATCCACCCGCCTCAACCTCCTGAAGTGCTGTACTCCCAAAGGGATTACAGGCATGAGCCACTCTTCCTGGTCTCTGTGTCTAAACTTTCGAACACCTTTGCCCCAGCTATGCTTTGTTCACCTTCCCTGCTTCCATTTTTCTCCTTCGTTCTTATCACTAACTCACTCTTTTTAAATGTAATTTAAAAAAAAACAACTCCTTTATTAGACTGTGAGCTAAGAGCAGGAGTTTTTGTCTGTTTTGTTCACTGCCACAACAAATGGTCTATTAGATTTGCATATCCGTGAAGCCATTTTTATGTTAATATTTAAGAATGTAGGTGTTACCTTCCCACACAAATATGGTTGAAGTTAGCATACCAGAAACATTTGTAACTCATCAGTACAGTGTGTTATTTCTTGCCCAAGATTACTAGATCTGATTACTGGGGTGAAAAAAAGGGGAAAGTTTAGGAGTTTCCCTTATGTGAACTATTTCTTTTGTGAATTGATTGCAAGTTAGGCATGTAATTCAGATGGAGAATTAAAGTCTATGGTGCAGTAGAGAATTATAAGAAGAGCTATTAGGAGAAGCACAGTGTGTATATTTAAAGACCCATATCTTTTGTGTTATTGACAAGTAAAAATCTCTATATTTACTGTGTACAGCATGATGTTTCTAAATGTGTATACAATGTGGAATGGCTCAATCCAGTGAGGTAACGTGCATTATCTCACATACTTACCTTTGTTTTTTTTTTTTGTGGTGAGAACATTTAAAATCTACTCTGTTTGTTTGTTTGCTTTTGTTTTTGTTTTTTTTGAGATGGAGTCTCACTCTGTCGCCCAGGCTAGAGTGCAGTGGCACGATCTCAGCTCACTGCAACCTCCGCCTCCCGGGTTTCAAGTGATTCTCCTGCCTCAGCCTCCCAAGTAGCTAGGATTACAGGCGCCCACCACCATGTCCATCTAATTTTTGTATTTTTAGTAGAGACGGGGTTTCACCGTGTTAATCAGGCTGGTCTCGAACTCCTGACCTCAGGTGATCCACCTGCCTCAGCCTCCCAAAGTGCTGGGATTACAGGCATGAGCCACCACACCCAGCCTAAAATCTCCTCTCAACAATACAATGCAATACATTGTTGTTGACTAAGTCACCATGTTGTACAATAGATCTCTTGAACTTATTCTTCCTGTCTAACTGAAATTTTGTATCCTTTGACCAAGAAGACCCATGTCTTTAATGTGTTGACTTAGAAAAGACCACATATTGTTAGGAAAGAGGTTCTGTGTAGAAGTATTGACAATGGGAAAGGCAGAACCACTCTTCCATTCGCCTGAAGACACTGACCAGGCAACCAGGAATTGTAGATGTGGGTTTTCTAATGGCTCATTCAGCCCCCATCTGCCAGCTATGTGAAAGTTACTGTGCTTGGTGCCTTGGGGGTAGATGGGGATGGACTACCCTGCCCCCTAAAAGCTCCGGAGGCAGAGGCTGCAAGATGGTAAGGATAGAATGCAATCACAGATGAACCAGCTTTCCTGGGAGAGGGTGGGATAAGCTGATGTCTGGCAGGGAGAAGCAGTCAGGGAAGACATGGGGAGGAGGTGGCGGCATCATCAAGTGGAGCATTGGAAAGCATGAGTAGGACTTTCAGCAGGTGGAGAAAGGCCCCAGAACAGCCCGTGCCTTGGATGCTGCTGGCATTTTAATCATCTGAAGATCTCATCAGAAAGCAGATTCTGATTCTGTAGTTCAAGGGGAGGAAGCAGAGATTCTGCATTTCCCACAAGCTCTAAAGGACAAGTCTCTAGAGGACCACAGAGCTGCCTGCCTCTGCTTCCTTGACTTTTGAGGTGGAGGCCAGCCTGGAAGCAGCGGCATAGGCTTCAGATGCCACTGAACTGGGCGGAGCGGGAGCCTGAGACTGATCTGGCTTTAGGTGCTCGAAACCTTTCTTTGATCACAGGGCCATTAACTCCGCCTTTGGGCCTCCTCCTTCTCCTGAAATCCCCCTTTAAAAGTTCACTTGGTAATTTCTATCAATATCTATTTGATTTTATGATCTATGAACTCTTAGGACATATTGCCAGAATGGTACTTTGGTCCTTCAGAAAAAAATTTATTCTTTTTTTTTGAGATGGAATTTCGTTCTTGTTGCCCAGGCTAGAGTGCAATGGCGCGATCTCAGCTTACTGCAACCTCTACCTCCCAGGTTCATGCGATTCTCCTGCCTCAGCCTCCTGAGTAGCTGGGATTACAAGCATGCGCCACCACACCCGGCTGATTTTGTATTTTTAGTAGAGAGGGGGTTTCTCCATGTTGGTCAGGCTGGTCTTGAACTCCAGACCTCCGGTGATCTGCCAACCTTGGCCTCCCAAAGTACTGGGATTACAGGCATGAGCCCCCGTGCCCAGCCTAGAAATTTATTCTATTATTGGTAGATTTCTTAATGTTTTTTAATAAGCTGCCATCTTGTTGTGATCAAGTTCAAAAAATATATTTTTTAAAACCATATGAATTAATTAGGTGCGCCTCTTGTTCCCACCTAATTGGGGGAAAAGGAGATTATACCAATCATTGTTTTAAAGCCGTCAGGAGTCCCAGTTAACCTGTGTGACTTTAGCAGGAGCCACCAAGGTAACTGCAGATGGCACAAGTCAGACACCATCAGAATTCTGCTCTCCCAGTGTTTGGGATAATTGTGGTAGAGACCATGAATTAGAAACACACATAGGCAACACCCACTTACTTATTGGTGGCAGGAGAAGACCTAGAAACATTGTAGAGATGTTTCTGCTTCCTCCCAAGGGCCAGCAGTTTACACCCGGGGGCCACATCACACCAGATTGATTTCAGTGTATGTGGTGGGGCCTTCACTGTTTACATTAGTAATTTGATCCTTCCATTAAGACCCCTGCACCTATTCTTTAGGTAAGAATTGAAGCAGGTCTGATTTCCGACAGTTACACTGCTGTCCCAGAGGAAAACTCAGTGGCAGTATGTTGTTGTTCAGTGTTATATAAGCATGGCAGGTACGTATGTCCGCAGATGTATACTAAACATATACGTACATATATGTTTCCAATTTTCTTCCTAGATCTTGGCCCTGATTGCATTCATCTGCATAGAGACCATCATGGCATGCTCCCCGTGTGAAGGCCTCTACTTTTTTGAGTTTGTGAGCTGCAGTGCGTTTGTGGTGACTGGCGTCTTGCTGATTATGTTCAGTCTCAACCTGCACATGAGGATCCCCCAGATCAACTGGAATCTGACAGTGAGTACAAGCGGCCACTCTGGCCATGAAAGGATCACGTGCCTGTTGGCTCCAAGGAAAAGCTGGAATCTCTCCAGGTCATGTTTGGTTCTAGTTCATTTTGATCCTTAAATATTCTATTATAATTCAACTGTGAAATTTTAAATTTCTTTACTGGGTTAAGTAAAACTACAAAATAAACTGAATCTTAACTAATGGGAGAAACATCATAACAATTATTTTGGCCACCTTAAAGATGTCATTTCAATTTTGCAATCATCTGAGAAGACTGGTCATGTTGATATTTGGAGAATATGGGAAATAAAATACAGTGTAGACATTTACATACTTTTCAGACTGGACCTAAAAGCCATTTATAAAAATATTGATTCTGGAAGAATTGAAAATATGAATGAAAATGCCAGTAACTTACAGAGCCTAGGAATATTATTAAATTCAAAGCAACTAGGAGGACCTGGGGGGGTTTGGTGGTTTGATCAGAAAGTCTTGAGTGGAAACCTGCCCCTTCTCCCCATGGTTTGGGTTCTTAGCTCTGTTTGGCCACCCTTGTTAATCAGATGGGAAGCACAGGGCTGGTCAGTCCTAGACCCCCTTTCCTAGACTGTGTCCTTACTGTGCTGAATGAGAAGAGGATTTTAATATCATTTGGTTTTCTTGATATTTATTTACAAATTAGCATGTGCAAGAGCTCAAAGGGAGTCAGTCAGGGAGATCCACGTAAGCACAGTCGGCTGCCTCACACTGCTGTGCCTGTGGGATGAGAACGCCGTGGGCACCTCAGCTGCTGAGGGGGAAGCAGGAGGAGAGCGCCTCAGACCAGCTACCCTTGCCTGAGATTGGGAGCCACACAGAAGCCACACGTGGCTCTGTCTGTGTTTGGCTGCTGCTGGGCCCATGAGAAAGTGTGGGCCCCAAGGAGGAGGCTGGAGCTGCCACCTCCCTGTCAGGGCTGCTCTCCTGGTGTGCCCTGGGTGGGGAAGGTCCTCCTTACAGGTGCTCTCTGGGTTGTCCTAACCAGCACAGACTCCTAAAGGAGGAAAAAAGGAGAGTTGCTGATCTAGAAAAGTAGATATCAGTTGAAAACTTAGCTGTTTTTTGTCTTAGCACTGGAAGCTGAGAAAAATGTGGTGGTATTTTAAATTTAAGCTCTAAAACCTCAAGATAACTAGAAGCATTTTGTCTGAGTTTTTGTGACAGGTTGTAATGTCTCAACTATTTTTAAAATGAGGTTTATGTTATCCATAAGAAAATGCTTACAGAGCATGTAGTAGACTGTTTAAGAGAACTTTGCAAACCTCCCCCAGTTAAAATGCTCATACTATGGATGCAGGGTCAAGGTCAAGGTCAGCATCTTGTTCATTGCTATCCTACTTGCCTAGTGTTCCTGAGGCCTGTCAATAAATACTTGTTGAGTAAGGGGCTGGGCTGTGAAACCCTGCGGGAGGACCTGTTTGACAAAGAAGCAGCTGCTGGAAAGGTTAAGACTATAGGCATTGAGTCAGACAGACCGAGCTGGGTTCAAGTCCAAGGTAGCTGCTGAAACAGGCTGTGCATGACCCTGGGCTAGTCACTGAGAGCCCTACATTGGTGAAGTGTCAGCACTGGTAAAGTGGAGATAATAATTTTTTTTTTTGCAGGGTTTTTTTTTAAGTATAAAATGAGGTAATGGGTGTAAAGGCATCTGGTAAGGCCTCAAACCAGTGGGCGCTGTGGCCAGTGCAGCAATGTTCATCTCACCTGAGTAAGAGGTGTCCTGGCACGCTGCTGTTATGTTACCCACACTGTTCCCCTGTTTACTTCCACCAGGTTTGACTTGACCCCCTTAATTCTGTTTTGTCCATTTATCTGACAGCCATTAACCTGTTAAAAGACTTCATGCTTCAGATTTCTTACTAATTTATACCAGCGTTTATCCCCAGAAATACCTACTTTTTGTTGTTTTTGGGTTTTTTTTTTTGTTTTTTTGAGACAGAGTCTTGCTCTGTTGCCCAGGCTGGAGTGCAGTGGCGTGATCTCGGCTCAATGAAACCTCCGCCTCCCGGGTTCAAGCGATTCTCCTGCCTCACCCTCCCTAGTAGCTGAGATTATGGGCATGTACCACCATGCCCAGCTAATTTTTGTATTTTTAGTAGAGATGGGGTTTCACCATCTTGGCCAGGCTGGTTTCAAACACCTGACCTCAGGTGATCCACCCACCTCAGCCTCCCAAAGTGCTGGGATTACAGGTGTGAGCCACCACACCCAGCCCAGAAATACCTATTTAGTGAGCTTTCTGGAATTCTGCTTTTTCTATTTTAATCATGAAAGATTTTCCACTTGTTGAC
The DNA here is from genome assembly GCF_000001405.40 of Homo sapiens. NCBI lineage: Eukaryota > Metazoa > Chordata > Mammalia > Primates > Hominidae > Homo > Homo sapiens. The sequence continues at coordinate 66,634,080 of NC_000016.10, read as the reverse complement.
TACCACACTACCATGTCACCGGTCATGTTGAGGTGCATCTCTCCCCAGGGAAGTTGATACTCGTTCTTTTCCTCTGGGTGGTGGTGGCCTGGGCCTGTGGTTGGGTGTTGGTGATGTGGTCACTTGAGAACACGATCCTGTTCTTTGGGATCCGTTCTAGACTTTCCACTCTTTTGGAGCAGATAAAGGCTGTGTGTTTGCCCAACAAAAGGGCATATACCTTACATGAACTTGAGGAGATGGTACCTTTTTTTTTTTTTTTTGAGATGGGGTCTTGCTCTGTCGCCCAGGCTGGAGTGCAGTGGTGCGATCTCGGCTCACTGCAACCTTTGCCTCCCGGGTTCAAGTGATTTTCCTGTCTCAGCCTCCTGAGTAGCTGGGATTACAGGCATGTGCCACCGTGCCCAGCTAATTTTTGTATTTTTAATAGAGACGAGGTTTCGCCACGTTGGCCAGACTGTTCTCCAACTCCTGATCTTAGGTGATCTGCCCACCTCAGCCTCCCAAAGTGCTGAGGTTACAGGCGTGAGCCACTGCACCCTGCCAAGATGGTATCTATTAAAGGCAGCTCATGTCCAGTGTTCTCTGAGAGGGGTGAAAAAGTGAGCTCCTCACGGCCGATCTCAGCTCATCAACTCGCTACAGAAGGGTTGGCCTTGGCTGTGTTGTGTTTCTGTAACAAGGTGGTGGGAGTATTGGGAGTATTTTTGTCTCCAGCAGAGCCAGCCTGATGGTTAAAATAGGGTGTGATTGGTATAGATTTAAAAACACAGGTCATTCCAGGAGCCCAGGTTGACATAAATATGGATGAGAAATGATAAATAAGGAGGACAGTGCATAATTTTCTACAAGCATAATTTGATGGAATTTGAATGATTCTGTTAATGTCAAGTTTTTGGTTTGGGTTTATTTTTGGATGGATTGTGGGACTTTGATATATATATATATTTATATATATATATTTATATATATATATATTTATATATATATATTTTGAAACGGAGTTTCGCTCTTGTTGCCCAGGCTGGAATGCAGTGGCACAATCTTGGCTCAACGCAACCTCCACCTCCCAGGTTCAAACGATTCTCCTGCCTCAGCCTCCCGAGTAGCTGGGATTACAGGCATGTGCCACCACACCCGGCTAATTTTTTTGTATTTTTAGTAGAGAGGGGGTTTCTCCATGTTGGTCAGACTGGTCTTGGACTCCCAACCTCAGGTGACCTGCCCGCCTCAGCCTCCCAAAGTGCTGGGATTACAGGCGTGACCCACCGTGCCTGGCGATATTTGTTTTTCTCTGTGTCCTAGGAGCTCATACACTCACATGTTCCACCCCTGTTTACTTTGATTAGTGCCACGGGGCTCCTCCTTTCCTCCCCTTCCCTTCTGGGATGTGGCGCTATCTAAAAGGCGTGTCTGATCCTCCCCCATCCCAAAAGCCTGCCAGTGGCTCCCACTCAACTGGCCCCAGAGCCCAGGGCCAGCTCAGCCCCACTTCCCAGAAGAGGAGGTCTGCACTTGCCTTCTCTACTTCCCCCTCTCCTAATCTCACTTTTCTAATCTCTTATTGTCAAATTCTGAAAAAATTATGAAAGTAAATATGGAGTTTAATATACAGCCACCACCTGGGTCAATAAATAGGAGATTGTCAACACCCCAAAAGCTTCCCATGTGTATTTTCCAGCTAAACACACCCCCTGCCCCTTCCCCCAGTCCACCATCCTGACTATGTGGTGGTCTTCCGCAATTCATCTTCAGCCCACTCCAGTCTGGCAGCATTGAAAGTCCCCTGGTCAGGAGCCTGGGACGGGGCCTCCGTGTTCCTAGATCCTCTGGTTGCTCTTGGGTTCTCACCCCACTCAACATCCTGGTGGTGTCTGCTATGGGGCACTCTGTCCTTCCTGCCATACTCTCTCACCTTGCATCCTGGGCCCCCACACTGTCCTGTTTTTCTTCTTCCGCTTTGGTCACCCTTTCTTAGTGGGCTCTGTGGCCCTGGAGGCCTCTTAGGCCTCTATCTCAGAACCCAGGCTGGGTGCTGTGGTGGGTTGAGAACAGTTGGCAGTTACCCACAGGGGCCACTGGCTGAGCCCTGAGCCCTAGGGCGTGACTCGTCTTGTGTTTTTTTATTTTATTTTATTTTATTTTATTTTTTTATTGATCATTCTTGGGTGTTTCTCGCAGAGGGGGATTTGGCAGGGTCATAGGACAATAGTGGAGGGAAGGTCAGCAGATACACAAGTGAACAAAGGTCTCTGGTTTTCCTACGCAGAGGACCCTGTGGCCTTCCGCAGTGTTTGTGTCCCTGGGTACTTGAGATTAGGGAGTGGTGATGACTCTTAAGGAGCATGTTGCCTTCAAGCATCTGTTTAACAAAGCACATCTTGCACCGCCCTTAATCCATTTAACCCTGAGTGGACACAGCACATGTTTCAGAGAGCACAGGGTTGGGGGTAAGGTCATAGATCAACAGGATCCCAAGGCAGAAGAATTTTTCTTAGTACAGAACAAAATGAAAAGTCTCCCAAGTCTACTTCTTTCTACACAGACACAGCAACCATCCGATTTCTCAGTCTTTTCCCCACCTTTCCCCCTTTTCTATTCCACAACACTGCCATTGTCATCATGGCCCGTTCTCAATGAGCTGTTGGGTACACCTCCCTGACGGGGTGGTGGCCGGGCAGAGGGGCTCCTCACTTCCCAGTAGGGGCGGCCGGGCAGAGGCGCCCCTCACCTCCCGGACGGGGCGGCTGGCCGGGCGGGGGCTGACCCCCCACCTCCCTCCCGGACCGGGCGGCTGGCCGGGCGGGGGGCTGACCCCCCACCTCCCTCCTGGACGGGGCGGCTGGCCGGGCGGGGGGCTGACCCCCCACCTCCCTCCCGGACAGGGCGGCTGGCCGGGCGGGGGCTGACCCCCACCTCCCTCCCGGACGGGGTGGCTGCCGGGCAGAGACGCTCCTCACTTCCCAGATGGGGTGGCTGCTGGGTGGAGGGGCTCCTCACTTCTCAGATGGGGTGGCCGCCGGGCGGAGGGGCTCCTCACTTCTCAGATGGGGCGGCCGCCGGGCGGAGGGTCTCCTCACTTCTCAGACGGGGCAGCTGGGCAGAGACGCTCCTCACCTCCCAGATGGGGTCGCGGCCAGGCAGAGGCGCTCCTCACATCCCAGACGGGGCGGCGGGGCAGAGGCGCTCCCCACATCTCAGACGATGGGCGGCCGGGCAGAGACGCTCCTCACTTCCTAGATGGGATGGCGGCCGGGCAGAGATGCTCCTCACTTTCCAGACTGGGCAGCCAGGCAGAGGGGCTCCTCACATCCCAGACGATGGGCGGCCGGGCAGAGGCTGCAATCTCAGCACTTTGGGAGGCCAAGGCTGGCGGCTGGGAGGTGGAGGTTGTAGCGAGCCGAGATCACGCCACTGCACTCCAGCCTGGGCACCATTGAGCACTGAGTGAACGAGACTCCGTCTGCAATCCCGGCACCTCGGGAGGCCGAGGCTGGCGGATCACTCGCGGTTAGGAGCTGGAGACCAGCCCGGCCAACACAGCAAAACCCCGTCTCCACCAAAAAATACGAAAACCAGTCAGGCGTGGCGGCGCGCGCCTGCAATCCCAGGCACTCGGCAGGCTGAGGCAGGAGAATCAGGCAGGGAGGTTGCATTGAGCCCAGATGGCAGCAGTACAGTCCAGCTTCGGCTCGGCATCAGAGGGAGACCGTGGAAAGAGAGGGAGAGGGAGACTGTGGGGAGAGGGAGAGGGAGGGGGGAGGGGGAGGGTGAGGGGGAGGGGGAGAGGGAGAGGGAAAGTCTTGTGTTTTTTTTTTTCTGACACCAAATACATTTTCCACACCAAGCTGTTCTGTAATCCTTTGACACTGACTGGGTGTTTAACAATTCCGTTCAATTCTGACACTAACTCTCGGAGTTAGCACAGATCCCACAGACGAGGGCCCAGTCCCACAAGATGGCCCCACTTTAGACACCAGCTGCAAAAGGGGTGCCCAGGCACTTCTGTCTGGCTGAGTACAGATTCGATGGTTTCCACCACCCCTCAGGTTCAGTCATTTTCTGCAGTGACTCACAGGACTCAGGAAGGGGCTTTACTTAAACAATTACTGATATGTTTTAAACGATACAACTCAGGAACAGCCACATGGGAGAGATGCATAGGGTGAGGTCTGGAGGGCCTCAGATGCAGGAGCCTCTGTCCTTATGGAGTCAGAATGAGCTCCACTCAGAAGCTCCCCAGACCCCATCGTTCAGGTATTTTTTCTGGAGATTTCACTAGGTAGGCATGACTGATTGGCCATTTGGTGATTGAACTCAATGTCCAGCTCCTCTAACTTCCCTGGAGGTCCAGGGGATGGGGCTGAAAATTCCAACTCTCTAATCACCTGGCTGGTTTTTCTGGTGACCTGCCCCTATCCTGAAACTGTCTACCACCCTCTTCCCACAAAAGTCACTTCGTTAGCATAAACTCGGGTATGATTGAAAGGGACTCATTATGAATAACAAAAGATGCTCATATCACTCAAGAGATTCAAGGATTTGATTAAATATTTTTCATTATAGCACACTCATTCTTTCTGGGACCCAGTTTCCTCATCCATGAAAGTAGAGCAAAATAACAAGTCCTGTCTTGTGGGCATTTTGGATCATAATTAGGTTAGAATTCACTGGGAGCGATATGATTGGCACAGTGACTCCATAGATGGTAGCTGCTACTGTCATCAACATTATAATTGTCCCTTTGATCCTGGGGCCATTCAAGCACAAGTGAGTGCAAAGGATGGGTCGAGTGCTTGCAAACGTTCTTGTCTCCTGGATGGATAGGACAGAGGCTAGAGCCAGCCACCTAGCACATTGGTTTGGGGGCCAACCAGGATTGCAGTGACAGCCCCCAGCTGATTCTGTGTACAAATATTTCATTTGTGATCAGTTCAGCCTTGATTTGTTTCATGGCCCAGGAACTCAAGTGCTTGATGCTGACTTAAGATTTGCAGTATTCCAGTATTAAGCCTTTCAAGTTGTGTGAGTAATAAGTGCTTATTGTAAAACAAAACAAAACAAAACAACAAAAAAACCCCAAAAACTAGAAGATAATAGATAATTTAAAAAAAATCATCTGATGACCCAAGAGAAATGAAAACTTGTTCACACAAAAGCTTGTAGGTTCATAGCTACATTATCTATAATAACCAAAAAGTAGAAATAAATGTCCATCAACTGATGAAGGATAAATAACGTGGTGTATCTATACAATGGAATATTATTCAGTAATAAAAAGGAATGAGTACTGATACATGCTACAACATGAATAAACCTTAGAACCATTATACTAAGTGGAAGATGTAGGGGAAAAAAAGAGAGATCAGACTGTTACTGTGTCTATGTAGAAAGGGAAGACATAAGAAATTCCATTTTTACCTGTACCTTGAACAATTGCTTTGCTGAGATGCTGTTAATTTGTAACTTTGCCCCAGCCACTTTGCCCCAACCTTGAGCTCACAAAAACATGTGTTGTATGGAATCAAGGTTTAAGGCATCTAGGGCTGTGCAGGACGTGCCTTGTTAACAAAATGTTTACAAGCAGTATGCTTGGTAAAAGTCATCGCCATTCTCTAGTCTCAATAAACCAGGGGCACAACGCACTGCTAAAAGCCACAGGGACCTCTGCCTTGGAAAGCCGGGTATTGTCCAAGGTTTCTCCCCGTGAGATAGTCTGAAATACAGCCTCATGGGATGAAAAAGACCTGACCGTCCCCCAGCCCGACACCCGTAAAGGGTCTGTGCTGAGGAGGATTAGTAAAAGAGGAAGGCCTCTTGCAGTTGAGATAGAGAAAGGCCACTGTCTCCTGCCTGCCCCTGGGAACGGAATGTCTCGGTATAAAACCTGATTGTACATTTGTTCAATTCTGAGATAGGAGAAAAACCGCCCTATGGCGGGAGGCGAGACATGTTGGCAGCAATGTTGCCTTGTTATTCTTTACTCCACTGAGATGTTTGGGCAGAGAGAAACATAAATCTGGCCTACGTGCACATCCAGACATAGTACCTCCCCTTGAACTTAATTATGACATAGATTCCTTTGCTCACATGTTTTTTTTGCTGACCTTCTCCCTATTATCATCCTGTTCTCCTACCGCATTCCTCTTGCTGAGATAATGAAAATAATAATCAATAAAAACAGAGAACTCAGAGACCGGTGCCGGGGCAGGTCCTTGGTATGCTGAGTGCCGGTCTCCTGGGCCCACTGTTGTTTCTCTATGCTTTGTCTCTGTGTCTTACTTCTTTTCTCAGTCTCTCGTCCCACCTGACGAGATATCCCACTGGTGTGGAGGGGCAGGCCACGCCTTCAGAAGAGGCCAGGCACAAAGCACATGTTATGTCATTCTATTTGTATGAAATGTCCAGAATATTTGTGGCAGATTTCACACACAGGAAAAAAAAAATGTCCAGAATAGGCAAATCCATAGAGACAGAAAGCAGATTGGTGGTTGCTTAGGGTTGGGGGAGGAATGAGAAATAACTGCTAATGCGTATGAGGCTTTTTTTGGAGTGCTAAAAATGTTCTAAAATTACATTGTGATTGAATTATATACTTTAATTGGGTATATGTTATGGTATGTGAATTATATCTCAATAAAGCTGTTTAAAAATACGTGATATGACCCAATGAAGGGTAACCACTTAAAATACTTGAGTATAAATCCTTCTAAACTGTTCTCTCTAGACAGTCTTTTGCGTATGCATGTGTGTTGTGATATGTGAGTGCAGAAAAATGGAACCATTAAAATCATGCTTTTTCATTTAAATTATTGTACCTTACATGTTAAATATATAACTACGTGATTATTTTTAATGACTGCATAGTGTTCCATTATGGAAATACCATTTTATTGAACAACTCCCCTATTGAGCACTTTGTTTGCTTCCTTATACTTAGACCTTTTTGCCTTATATCATTTATTTATTTATTTTTTTGAGACAGAGTCTCACGCTGTCCCCCAGGCTGCAGTGCAGAGGCGCAGTCTCCGCTCACTGCAGCCTCGACCTCCTGGGCTCAAACAATCTTCCTACCTCAGCCTTCCAAGTAGCTGGGACTACAGGAACGCACTACCATGCCTGGCTAATTTTTTTGAATTTTTTTGTAGAGACAGGGTTTTGCTGTGTTGCCCAGGCTGGTCTCGAACTCCTGAGCTCAAACAATCCACCCACCTCAGCCTCCCAAGTGTTGGGATTACAGGCAGGAGCCACCATGCCTGGCCCCCAATATGATTTTCTTTTTTTTCCTTTTTTTTCTTTTTTTTTTTCTTTGAGACGGAGTCTCATTCTGTCTCTCAGGCTGGAGTGCAGTGGCGCAATCTGGGCTCACAGCAACCTCTGCCTCCTGGATTCACGCAGTTCTTCTGCCTCAGCCTCCCGAGTAGCTGGGACTACAGGCATGTGCTACTATGCCCAGCTAACTTTGTTTTTTTTTTGAGAGGGAGTCTCACTCTGTCGCCCAGGCTGGAGTGCAGTGGCGAGATCTTGGCTCATTGCAATCTCCGCCCCCTGGCCTCTAGCGATTCTCTTGCCTCAGCCTGCCGAGTAACTGGGACTACATGGTGCATGCCACCGTGCCTGGCTAATTTTTTGTGTTTTAGTAGAGATGGGGTTTCGCCATATTGCCTAGGGGTGGTCTTGAGCTCCTGAGCTCAGGCTGTCCACTCACCTTGGCCTCCCAAAGTGCTGGGATTACAGATGTGAGCCACCACGCCTGGCCACAGCTAATTTTTTAGTAGAGACGGGGTCCAGCTAATTTTTGTATTTTTAGTAGAGACGGGGTTTCACCATATTTGCCAGGCTGGTCTCCATCTCCTGACCTCAGGTGATCCGCCCACCTCGGCCTCCCAAAGTGCTGGGATTATAGGCATGAGCTGCTGTGCCTGGCCTCCCTTTTTCTTTTTATTCTGTTGACTTGTTAGAAAAACTGGGTCATTTATCCTGTAGAGGGTCTTGCAGTTGAGTTGGCTGCATGCACCCTCATGGTAGTGTTTCATATGTCCTTCTTTCCCCATTTTCTCTGTGACCTAGTCATTGATCTCAGGGCAGTGTGGTGCTATAGCAGCTGCTCTGACAATTGAAATGTTTTCTGATCTGCTGTGCCCTTGAGGCAGCCACTTGTCACATGTGGCCACTGAGCACTCGAATTGTGGCTAGTGTGATTGAAGAGTGAAATTTTTTATCTTATATGAATTAGTTTAACTTCAGTCACATATGGCTAGTGTTTGCCCTATTGGACAGCACAGTCCTAGAAGCTCAATTATATTTAGATTCATCTTTTAAGCAAGTGCTTCAGTATTTAAATATGATTCAGTGGGATTTGAGGAGGCAGATATGTTATGCTCTTGTTAGCAGTTGCTGGCGTTTTTTTCCCCTGGTTTAATCTGGTTTCTTAGCCTCAGATCATGTTGAAAGATTATTTTTTATCTTTTTAAAATAGGCTTTTTGACATATTTTTTCCCTGTATTTGCTGTTCCCATTCATCATCTCATTCTTCACTCACTACTGTTAATGATCATTACTAAAGCAAATTTAAAACTACTGATACTCCTACAACTTTAAAATTTTTGACTGTTTTCTTTTTTCTTTTTCTTTTTTTTTTTTTTTGAGACAGAGTTTCGCTCTTGTTGCCTAGGCTGGAGTGCAGCGGCGCAGTCTTGGCTCACTGCAACCTCCGCCTCCCGGGTTCCAGCGATTCTCCTGCCTCAGCCTCCCGAGTAGCTGGGATTACAGGCATGTGCCACCACACCCGGCTAATTTTGTATTTTTAGTAGAGACGGGGTTTTTCCATGTTGGTCAGGCTGGTCTCGAACTCCCAACCTCAGGTGATCCGCCCGCCTCGGCCTCCCAAAGTGCTGGGATTACAGGCATGAGCCACCGTGCCCGGCCTGTTTGTTTTCTAGCCCTTTGCTGCATCTCTGTTTTTATGTAGTCACTGTTAATGTTGATACTGTTTTATTTGATGTTTGACCTCACAGTGTATTGTATTTTCCCCTCGTTTCTGAATAGTCTTTGCTTTGGGAAGTATATTTTATATTCTTTTTTTACCCCTACAGCATCTTACCCAGAGCTGAGTGTAACTAAACGCTTCCTGGTTTGAATTTGTGAAAAATTTGCCCTGGCTTACGCAGGTCATAGCTGAAACCCATCCTGCTGGCAGATGCGTCTGAGCAGAGCTTTCCATGAGCCAGGAGCAGGTTGGGTGTCTGCTGCAAGACTCAGCACTGTTATGATGCCAGCATTGTCTCTTTACATCTTATTTTATTATTTTATTGAGACAAGAGTCTCGCTCTGTCACCCAGGCTAGAGTGCAGTGGCACGATCTTAGCTCACTGCAACCTCTGCCTCCCGGGTTCAAGTGATTCTCGTACTTCAGCTGCCCAAGTAGCTGGGATTACAGGCATGCGCCACCATGCCCAGCTAATTTTTGTATTTTTAGTAGAGATGGGGTTTCACCATGTTGACCAGGCTGTTCTCGAACACCTGACCTCAAGTGATCCATCCGCCTCAGCCTCCCAAAGTGCTGGGATTACAGGCATGAGCCACCGCACCAGCCATCTTTACATCTTCAAAAAGAGGAAATCGACCTTGGAGCTAGGCCAGACCAGAGGATCCATCAGGTGTGGATAGTGTAATCAGCCTGGCACTCAGGCAGTTTGGGCTTTTTCCTGAATTTTTTTCCTATAGAGGTTTTAGAGGTACTCTGGTATGACCCAGGCTACTGGGTGCCTCATGCCAAAGTAGTAATAACAGAAGTGACAGTAAATATGTAGGCCACTGTAGCTGTGGGCCAGGCACCATGCTGGGCTCTTCACCTGTATGGTTCCATTTAATTCCTTCAACAACTCTGGGAGGAAGGGGGTACATTCTCACGTAAAGCACAGAAACAAAGTAGCTTGTCCAAAGTCATATGGGTGGTTTGGACCCTGGTCAAGCTGTGACCTTTCATTACCCTGCTATGTTCCCTTCTACAAATAAGACGAGCTAAATCTGTGAAACGGTGGATGCATGCTGTGCAAGAAGCTTAGGAGAAAATTCTCCAGGCTTTAGTGACATAGAGGCTTGAAAGACTGCTTGAGAAAGAGCGTGAAGTCTGGCTAAGTGTGCTCTCTGTGTGAAAGTTTGTTTTGAATGTCACATGTGAGTGCAGGGAATGCTGGAGGGATTTCACCAGTTTTAGTACATTTGGATCCTTGGGGAGCTTTGTCCATAGCAAGATGATTTGAGTGTGGTTTTTAAAAGATGGCACCAGACCTCTAAATGGTAATTAGTGTTAGCAATTTTGGTTACTATTTCTTCAGAAAGGGTAGTGGGGTTGGTGAAAATGTAGATTTTGTGGTGGTGATTTATCAAGTAGTGTCATAAACTGTTAACTTTGCCTTCTTTTGTGTGACCAGTAACCCTGTGACATTGAGACTGAAATATGGAGCCACCAGGGAGGTTGGGTATCGTGGGTCTTATTTTGAAAGTTCTCCAGTTGCTTTTAGAGCAAAGATGGAATGGTTCTTTTCACTTGGTTTATTTTGTCTCTCCCTTTAGGATTTGGTCAACACTGGACTCAGCGCTTTCCTTTTCTTTATTGCTTCAATCGTACTGGCTGCTTTAAACCATAGAGCCGGAGCAGAAATTGCTGCCGTGGTAAGCAAACTCAAATGGTTAAAGCAAGCTGATCTGGGGACCTCCTGTGACCTGCTCGCCTGTCCCTGGCATGTGTCCTGCTCCCCCTCCTGTGGCTTTTCTTTGCTAAAGATGATGTTACTGGGCCAGTGGGGGTCCCAGTCCCTTCAGTGCTGTGGTTCTCAAAGTATGGGCCCCAGAACAGCAGCCTTGGCATCTGTTAGACATCCTTAGGCTCCGCTCCAGAGCTACTGAGTCAGAAATGTATTTGAAGTAACCCTCTGGATGATACAGATGTGCTCTCAAGTTCAAGAACCCCTGCTTTGGTTCGTTTCCAACACAGTCCTTGATGTCTAAGAGCCTTATCTGCCTGGGGAAGGGAGGGTTCTTGAATGCAGTCATGACACCATTTAGCAGTCACATGACATTTCAAGGTGGAAATGCCACGGCAGGTGGGGACCAGATAATGTAGGACTTCCCCTCTCCATGCCCTGCATTTCTGTATTGTTCTCAGTTTATGAGGAACAGTTATCCTTTTTGTAATGGGGGGATTAAAAGGTTTATAAATGATTAAACGAACTGCTCTCCCAGGTGCCACTCAGGCGATTTGTAAGTCTTAATAATTAAAACTCTGTGCTTCTTACTCTGGAGCTGCTTACTTGGAGCTGCCCCATGAGAGGCAGGTGTGGGATGGGGGCTGTGATGTGGAACATTGGCCCTGTGGCTTGATTTGGGACCCACATGCGAAACCCTGATTTTCTGTCTATGTTACATTTTGTCTGCACTGTATTTTCTCATCTGGGACCAGAGGCCCTGAAGTTGCAGTAAAAGAGGTACTTTTGTGATTTATTTTTTTATACGTCCAAAATACTTCAAAAGAAACCTTAGGCTGTCTTTAGGTCAGGCAAGATTTTCTGTGTGTCACATGACTAGAGACTCAGCTGTGGTGTGACAGCCACACATCCAGCAGGGCTGGGCACAGGCTTCCCTTTGACTCTGAGCCACCCCGTCATATGTATTTGAAACAAGACTTTAGATCAAATGGGGCTGCTGAGAGGGGGAAGAGATCAAGGAATGAAGGCACAGGGTTGTAATGATCAGCTGGCAGAGCAGGAAGGGGCTGCATGTGGCTTGGGTCACCACAGAAGCCTTGAGGGGCCAGGCCACGTGCCCGAGGACTAACTGTGCTGGTGTGTTTTTAGATATTTGGCTTCTTGGCGACTGCGGCATATGCAGTGAACACATTCCTGGCAGTGCAGAAATGGAGAGTCAGCGTCCGCCAGCAGAGCACCAATGACTACATCCGAGCCCGCACGGAGTCCAGGGATGTGGACAGTCGCCCTGAGATCCAGCGCCTGGACACGTGAGGACCTGCCTGGATCCTCCTCCCTCCCGTCCTCGTGCCTGTCTCTCAGTCAAGTTTTCTTTCCCTTGTCCTGTCAGATTTCCATGTGATTCAGTTGAATTTTGTCCTCTTTGGTAAAAGTTCATTTTGGGAAAGGGTTTCCCGAGTGGCCCAGTGGGCGGGTCCGCGGTGGAGTTGGGAGGCCCACGTTCCTCAGCGTTTGGGGCTGTGGAGCAGCCGGCGTCACTGCCCAGGTCCACTTGAGGTCTTACCTGCCCTGAAGCACAGGCTTCCTTTGACTCTGAGCCACCTTGTCGTGTGTATTTGTAACAAGACTTTGGATTAAATGGGGCTGCTAAGAGGGGGGAAATATGAAGGAATGAAGGGACAGCATTGGAACGGTCAGTCGGCAGTGGTTCTCAGGCAGCCTTAGGCACCACCTGCTCCAAGTCAGTGTTGAGTCTGCGTGCTGGGATCCAGCCCACTCCTCATCTTCCATGCCAGGGCCCCCAGGCAGCCAGCACCAGCCCAAAGGCCACAGGGCTGGGGAAAGCTGATGTCCTGTTAGGATGGCTCCCAGGGACCTCTGACTCAAGGAAGGGTGACCTTTTGTTTCCTACTCTGCTGAGAAATCACTTGATTCTTCCTCAAATGAATCACCTTCCTGAACCCCAGATTCTTCTCCAGGAATATGGGGGCCATCTTGTTATGGGGACTATCTTGTTTTCCAGTTTCCTGCCTACCCTAAATACTTTGAGGCTGAATTGCAGATTTTCAGTCATTTTACCTTCTCAGGTAAAAGCCATGAAAGAAACAAGCCTACTCCACCAGCCAAAGCACTTGCCCATTTGCTGGCTTCATGAACCGCAGGTGGGAGGTGTTTGTGTTAAAAAACAGCATGCACACGCGTGCGCGCACACATGCACACACACACCCCTCTATTTTAGGGATGTGTGCTAATTTTCTAAATGCCTGCAAAGAGTTCTAAAATGATTCTGAGCAGATTCGTCTAGGATTTGAAAATACTTGAATTTGCACCAGAACACACCCTTCCACCCATGTTTCAGAAGGCACTAATTGTCGCTTTGGGCGCCTCAGTGTCATAACTGTAGACATCATTCTTGGGAGTTGTTGGGGGGAAAAATCCTAGCTACTTAAGGTTTCTGATTGATTCTTGATAAAGTGAAGATTATTGTGTGTGGTGAATGAGTTCAGTGAGTCCCCATGATGCAGTAGTTTTTTTAAAAAATTAGAGAGTAATTATATCTTTTATGGAAAAAAGTTGTTTTAGTTTGTCAGGTTTTCCCTCTTTGAACTGTTTTTAATGTTTACAAACCTCACTTTAGCTCTAACATTTTGTGTTTAGCCCTCACCAAAAAGCACTTACTGTGGCAGGAAGATTTTGCAGTAACATGGAGAAATCCCCAAGATCAAGTGCTGACAAATGTTGACAGCTTTAGCAGCGTACTGTGTAATAAATAACTCCGAGGGGGCGGCGGGGGGTCTGTGCAAGAAAGCGTCACCTTATGGACATGTGGCGTCTCATTCCCCAGAAAAGGACAGCATCTGAGCTCACAGTGTTGATCAGGCAACACTGCTGGGCTGGGGGTCGGAGTTGGGGTTAGCTTCCTGCACCAACACCTTCAGTACGATCTGAGTTGGGAGCAGTGTCCCAGGCTATGTGGCTGAGCACCACGTCTGCCTCAGGGGCTGACCCTGCTAGCCTGTTAACAACTCGTCTCCCCTCTGCTCCCACAGAGAGGGCAGCCAGGCCAGCTCACAGCTGGGTGTGCTGCCTGTCAGGTCTGTTGAGTGTGTTTGCAAAGTCAAAATTGGGCTTATCTCTCTTTGAGAGTTCCTTTTAAAATAGGGCCACAAAGGCTCAGCCTTGCATTAAATGGGGCCCACTTGGAAGGACCATCCTGAGCTTTATCAGAAATCTCCTGCTGGGAATCATGTTACTTGGCCCCCAAAAAAGGCCATCTTTGAAGTGAGATTGAAAACAAGAACACCATTCAGGTGGGCTTGTTGCCCAAGTTTTCCCAGCTCACTTCAGTAAAACCACTTGATCATCTGGTGAAAGAGGGGGGCAGGTGGTTGGCCTCCTGAGGATATGTTGTCAGCTGCAAGAAATAGTTCTGAAGTCACTGAAACTAAATGCAGATGAATGACCAAAAAGGATGACACGCCAGAGAGTGACTTAGGAGTTAATTTGCATCTTCGTGATAGACTCTTCAGAATTATTTATGTCCCTGTAACTATTTAATATCCTTTGTGCCGTGAGGCTCCTCGGTGGTTTTGTAAATGTTCTCCTTGTATTTAATTAACTCCCACTAGAACCGGAAGTGGTGCTATGGACGCTTTCTAGTTGATGTAATGTGTGGTTGCACATGTCATCATGTATAGACCACGTGGTGACGAAAGTTCTGGAGGGAATAGGGTTATCCAAGGTGAATATGAAGACGCCTATATTTTTCTTATATTGCCTCTATATGCAAACAGAAGACAATCGATATCTGGGGGCCTTAAAATGACCTCTTGGCAAATTGAAGGAAGCGTTTTTGCGTTTAATAGTTTCAATAGGGACCAATATCAGTTTGGTTTGGGGCATTTGAAGGCTGAGCGACCTTAGTTTTTCTCAGTGTTCTGGTGGGACGATATTGGTTTTCACATTTAAAGCAAAACTTGAAGAAACTGCAGTTGCTGTGTGCATTTGGGTTTTTTCCTGGACACTGTACAGCTGAAACCCTCAAGCATTTGGTGGAACCTCTGGTGGTTTTAGATGGATGCAAACACTGATGTCCTCAGAGAAAGTTTATTTTGGCACTGATTGGGTGGATTTGGTATTTTTTCCCTCTGATTCTCTTTGATATCCTTCTTTCACACTGCTGAAGGCATGGGAGGGAAATATGTTTTCCCTGCCTTAAAGAGGGATTACAGTCATGAAAGGCTGGAGATACTTGTTGGCCCCACATAAAGCTGGGAAGAACAGATGCAGTTTCAGATTAAAATCTCGTCAGAGAAGTTTGATTTGAAGTAAACAGCCATCCGAGGGAGGTGACTTTTGTCTACAGAAAAAGCAAGAATGTGGCAGCCTGCACAGCCCCAATACACATCTTCCTTGGCAATGTGAGCTGAAGCCAGCATGGGCAAGTCCGGCCCAGCTCTGAGCGCTTGGCCCTGGGAAGCCAGCGGCACCCCCAGCCCTTCGGGCCCTGTTACTGTCCCCTGGCAGGAAGGCTCACGCCTGTGGGCAGCCAGGGAATGTGTCTGACCTCCACCCTATGTCGGGTGCTTCTGGGACAGCTTCGTGACTCAGTTGAAAACATTCTGACTCTCTTCAAGTTTGCAGTTACATCTGTGGTTCTTGGAAGCTGTCCTAGTGAGTCAGCCTTGGGTTAAGCCTGAGGAGACCAAGCTCCAACACCTTTGTGCACTCATGTACGTGAATTCTTGCTTGCAGTGAATGAGACCTGAACAACCCTAGTGGGTGCCATGTCCTGCGTGTGGCCCAGGCGTACCTTTTCTTGTAGATTCACATGAGAAACCCGTCACCTATCCATGTGCTCTGAGAGGTGGACTGAGGTCTAATCCCTTTCTGTGCCAGATTTTCTGTGGGTTGGTCTTAGCACCTAGGAGATGAATAGAGCATGGAGACACCTGAACAATTTAGTGATTCTGCAAGGCAGTGATGATTTAAGGGTTCCTATTGTCTCATCTGTGTTCAAAACAAAACAGTCATGAAGTCTTTGTGCCACTGCCTGACTGTCATCTTCTCCAGATCTTGTTTACAGAGTAATAATGACGTTAAACAGGTATCAGAAAGGGGAAAAAGTTTCTAGGCCAAGAGCTGCTGGTGGATTCTCTTGAGCAGAATAACAAGTTGCTTCCTGCTCCAGGGACTGCCATTAGCTTGTGAAGTCTCTAGGTGCCTTGTTATTTCCTAGTGAAGTTGCAGAATCCAGGGTTTTTTCCAGGTTTGTCTTATTTTATCAGCACCCACGTCCAGGCCCAACAGCTTGGTAGGCTGGTGAGGTCCACACACGGCCAGGTCTGGGAGATAAGGGAGGAAGCAGTGGCCTGGAACACCCCACCTGTCTGCTATCAGCACTAGACAGCTCAGGCTGTCTTGGAAACGTGTACTTTGTTAACTGCCTTCCTGTCCTCTTGTCTTTGAAAGCTGTCTCGCGTTCCACAGTCAGCTTGAGGGCAAGAGTGGGATGCTGGGGACAGGTCTTTCCCGTCCTGTGGGTGAGCTCCTGGCATCTGGCTCAGGAACATGTGGGTCCAGCAGGTGACTCTGAAGCTGGCTTGGCTGCCATCTCAGACAGGACGCAGGCCTGACACCCTCAGCTTTTAGCTTTGTAAACTTCCCTGGCGCTTTGTAGAATCTTGTGTTTCTTCTCTTCTCAGCAGATATCATTCAAGTCACAAGAACTGTCTGGTTGAGAAAGTAATTTAAAATATTTGACCTTTTATGTTTCTTTTATTTAGAAACTGTGAGAGAAAATACCGTCAATATCTGTTAGGTCTAGAAAAATTTTCTTCCGAAAGTGAATGTTCTGTTTAATTCTTCTTCATGCAAGTGAGTGGCATTTTGTACACTCTTTAGCTTGAAGCGGAGTGGGTCCTATTGTATTTTCCCTTCTTTTGTCTGGAATATATTCTTTTTCCATTTGGATACAGTTTTTCAACCTTTGGGATTTTTTTTTCCTTTCTAGTTTTTCCTACTCCACAAACGTAACAGTAAGGAAAAAATCACCCACAAACCTGCTGAGTTTGAATCACTGGCAACTTGCCTAGAAAAGTTCAGATGATGGGTCCTTGAACTGTGTATCTATTTCATAGGGTAAGTTTGTTGTCTATGTTTGTTTTTTTATGCTGAGGCTTTAATTCAGGTGACTTGCTATCTAGACACCTGGGGTGGCGTGTTTTCTTTGGGATGCATAATACACAAAGGCCAGGGAGCCTTTGGCTTGGACCCCCAGGGAGCTATTGAAACTTTTAAAGTTTGAGTTTAGGAGTAAGAACATATCTCAGACCACCTTAGTCAGCTTTGCTGATGGGATTTAGGGCCAGGTCAGAGTTTCTTTTCATAACTGCCTGAAAAGAGAGATGGTGTGAAACAAGATTCTGATAATGGTTTGTGTGAGATTTGATCATAGTCTAAAACTATCACGTCTGAGTTGCCTTAGGATGACAGTGCTGACACCCAGTAGGAAGTATCCCATTTTTATCAGGAAAGTCAGTCACGCGTAGGGATGGTGAGGAGACGCGTAGGGATGGTGAGGAGGGGAGAGGAGGGAGACCTGCTGGTGCCCTTGCACCAGGGTGAGGCCTGACTCACGCTGCTTCCCCCCACAGGCCCTGCTTTGCTTGCCTGCTTTTTCCAGAATCGATTTTGCAAGCTTCAAGATTCTGTTCCCCTCTTCGCAGAAGTGAGGAAGGCAAATACTCAGGGTTTGAAGGGAGACCTGGCCGGCCTGAGGGCTGGCAGATGTGAGGGCAGGACACCTGGGATGGACTCGTAGGCTGACCCAGGCCCAAAGGGGGCTGCCTGTTCCCAACTCTTTCACTCTGTAACCCATTTTAAAATGAGTTTTTGAATCTTGCCTCAAATTGACCTACTTGGATAAAATCAGTGCTTTTCCTAACTTGATTTTGTTTGACGTGGTTCCCTCTAAGAGAATGGTAGGAATTGAAACTATTTGTATATGTTGAAATTTGTAGGGGTTCAGGAACCCATGGCAGAAACACTAAACTATTTATTTACAAGTATGACTATTTTTTTTTCAAAGTAGGCAATTCTTTGTATATTTTAAGGCAAATAATCACTTCACCTCTGGTGCCTTCCATGCGTCGCATAAGCACTCTTGTCAATCATGGAATTGGAAAAAAAGATGTACATTTAGTTAAACAAGATAACACTATTTTTGTAGCATGATTTTAGATTGTGTCCTTTTAATATTGTTTTCAACAATGGTAGTTTTGAGGTTTTGGCCATTTTCTCTTTACACTTCGTATGTATTTTAAAGAAGAAAAAAAACAAAAAAAATTCCCTGGCTATTCCTCTTTCCTCTCTGCTGCTGCTTCTCCTGCATCTTGTTCCTGCTTATTTAAATAGTCTGAGAGTAAGAGTATATTTCTGTGAAATAATTATAAGTCAGTATAATTGCATTTGGCATTTTTTAACCACTTGCTCAGTTTGGAGCCACTGCTCACCTCAAACAGTACAAAGAAAGTGGTTCCATATTTTACAAACAGAAGAGTAGCATCAGAGCCCTGACCTCCTGTCTTTGGGTGTAAAATGGTGAGAGGCCGGTGTCCGGCTCCTTCCCCTGTGGTTTGGGCTGGTGAACTGAGCCCAAGTGTATTCTCTGGCCTGGGCCCCTTCCAGAATCAGTGCGAGCGTCCTGCAGAGGCATGGCCTTCCTGCCACTGCAGAGTGGGAAGCTTCCTGGGGGACCTCAGCCAGCTCCGGGGCTCTCATCTTCCACTCGGATCTCAGATTGGTTCGTTGTGGATGCTCTGGCTAGGCTCGGCGGCCTTTTCCAGGCTTCAGGCCTGAACAAAACAGGCTGTTTGCTGTGAGGAGCTAGATGACACCAAGACACAGACACGTACTCTTCACCGGCTCCTTTTGCTTCTCCTTCCTGCAGGACGTGAGTTATGTCTGGTCCCAAAACCCTTGAGTAAACTAGCTGAGCCATTGCAAATGAAGGTACAGATGGATTGAAACATAAAATTGTAGCTTTTGGTGTCCTTCTGAAGGGTCAGAATATGTAATTATTTGATAACCAAGGAAGTCAAGTCAGATGGCTAAGTAGTAACTTTCCAATATGATTTCTCCGTGGTACTTCACCTGGTGGCACTTTTGGGGGGCAATGTTAACAACTATCACATTTTACTCATCAAGTCTCTTTCATTTCGGCAGTTTAAAGACACAACTGTGGGCTTTCTGAGGCGATGCCCGTTGGGCAAACTTAGGTTTATGTGTTTGGTTTTTCAGCTGACGTGGAAGCCCTGGGTGGGCGTCCCCTGGCTGGCCTGGCTTTTGGGTTCAAGTCTGTATGTATGGAGTGGGTTGGGGCCCCAAAGCTTTGCTGCTATTGATTTGTCCCCGACAGCAGGCAAAGCCTCACATTGCCCTCAATTTTCCCCCTTTCATTTGAAGGACCAGTTTTTCATGGTACTTGTCTTGATCTTTTTCATAGTGTTCAAATCTGTATTTTTGTATGTAGAGGGAAATAATTTTCTCAACACTAATCGTTAATAACTATTGTATTAAATTGTCATGAAGGAACTTGTTTAATAAATGGACGTGTAAGGATGTCGTTGTCTCTCCTCACTCTGAGTGGCCTCCTCTGCCCCTTAAACGTTACGGATCCAGTTCCTGAAATAGGGCTGCTGTGTGGAGGTTGAACAGAGCCACGATCCTCAGGGTGGAACAAGGCCTCTGTGACACCAGCTTTGCCGCTTTGCCAGGGCTTACAAGGTGGAATGTAAATTCCACCAGGGGCCTCTCCACTCCTGCACACCCAGCTTTCTTACCCATTTTCAGCACATGTGGTGTGTGACAGTTTGGGTGGAATGTCTTGTCTTTTCCCATCAGCCTGGATAAGAATGCGGACCCGGGTCCTCCAGGGCTGTAGTCCTCTGGGCTGTTATGCAACCAGCTTCCAAACCAGGAGAGCCCCAGGGTTCCGGCTGCCTGAGGCTGCCGTGAGACACTATCCTGATGTGTAAGTGAGAGGGCCCTGGGCCAGTTACCCGACCTCTGTCTCAGTTTCTTTGTTTATAAAACAGGGTAGTGTGAGAACTAGAGCAGGGGTCCCCAACCCCTGGGCAGTGGACTGGTACCATGGGACCTGTTAGGAGCCAGGCTGCACAGCAGGAGGTGGGTGGCAAGCAACGGCATTACCGCCTGAGCTCTGCCTCCTGTCAGATTGGCAGTGGGATTAGGTTCTCATAGGAATGCGAATCCTATTGTAAACTGTGCATGCTACGGATCTAGGTTGTGTGCTCCTTATGAGAATCTAATGCCTGATGATCTGAGATAGAACAGTCTCATCCTGAAACCATCCCCTCCCACCCTCACCCCAACCCACCCGCCAACCCCCAGTCCATGGAAAAACTGTCTTCCACGAAACTGGTCCCTGGTGCCAAAAAGGTTAGGGAAATAAAGGATTAAATGGTAGTCAGATTTCACGTGTATTTTTGCTAAAACTGAAAGCTGTCAGGATCCACATTGGTGTTACCAGTTTGTACTGAAGCCTGATACAATACCCAACAGTATTGCTCTGGTTTTTTCAAGCACACACTCCAAGCAAGTGGTCAGTCTGGCTTAATTCATTATGGCTTTTTTTCAGGGTAAGAGATTCACACGCAAGAGAATAAGGCTACAAATGCTCCAAACATGGGTCCAGAACTCTGGCTCTTTTGTGAGGCCTAGAGTCACAGAAAATGCCATCTGTTAAGAAGCTGCTTTTGCATAAAAAAATATAAAAAGTTACAAAATTCCATCAAAGACAGATACACAGTATAAATCGTTAGGTGAACACAGAAGGCTGGTCTCATCTCCTGCAGTGGCCCATAGACCTGCCCTGAGGTCTGGAAGTTCACTGTCCTGAGGGTCCAGGAACTCCTGCCTGCTGGCTGGGCTCTAGGAAGAAGGAGGGTTTGGCTGGGCCCGCCCAGCTCCCCATGACACTGTCACTGTGATGCCACTGTTGTACCCTCTGTCTTCTGGACCAGTCAGTCTATGAGCTCTTCTTTGAAACAGTCTTAGACCCAGAATGGTCATCTCACCCCCAGAAGACATGGTTTCCAAGGGTGGGAGGTGTTAGTTATGGGTGCCGAGCCCCACTTCCTGGGCGACAAGGCAAAGGTCAATTTCTCCCTGCTTCAAGAATGAAGAGGGAACTGGTGCTCCTTGAACCAAAGATTCTTGGAAGGGTCATTGTCACCAAAGTGGCTGGTGTGGGCAGGAGCACCAAGTGCAGACAAACCCACCGGGGCCTGGCGGGGCAGCCCTGTCATGGTTTCTGTCTTTGTTCCTGTTAGTGAAACAGAAGACCCCCGACCCCCGCCACCTAGCAGCATGGAACACCTGCTGCCCAGATACAGACAAGGCTCTGCTTTGTCTCCTTGTGCTGGTTTTTGGCAGAGACGTTAAAGGGCTGAAGGCCTGTGGGACAGAAATGGGGAGAAGGAGTGGGATACCCAAGATGCCCTCATACGCAGCGTGGTCAACAGTGCTGAGCTGAGGGGCAAGCCTGGTAGGCTGGGCTCAGGCAGAACCTGAGGCTGTAGGGGGCCTGCTGTGTCCGCAGCCCCCTCTGCAACTCAGAAGTCCAGGCCTCCGCTCCAACGCCAGCGACCCCTGTGAGGCGCAGGGGTGGAGGCCTGTGTGGCTCAGGTTGCCAAGGCACCCGCCAGGCCTTCAGTCAGAGTCCGAGTCGGAATTCTCTTCTGAAAGGAAAGCAGAGAGGATGCTTGGCAGGAGGCTCAGGGCAGCGGTGCCTGGGAACGGTCTCTGGGGAAGCACAGCTGGGTTGCTGGCAGGAGCCTGGGTGCAGGCCTCCTGCAGCTGACTCTACCGTTCCCAGTGATCGCTGGCATCAGGGCAGGCCGCGGGCCTGAGGCCCTCCACAGGCAGCAGCCACTTTCTCTCTCTCTTTTTTTTTTGTTGTTGTTTTTTGTCTTTGAGACAGAGTCTTGCTCATCACCCAGGCTGGAGTGCAATGGCGGGATCTCGACTCACTGCAACTTCCTCCCTCCCGAGTAGCTGGGATTATAAGCGTGTGCCACCACACCTGGCTAATTTTTGTACTTTTAGTAGAGATGGGCTTTCACCAGGCTGGTCTTGAACTCCTGACCTCAGGTGATCTACCCACCTCAGCCTCCCAAAGTGCTGGGGTAACAGGCGTGAGCCACCGTGCCCGGCCGCAGAAGCCACTTGCACCTCCAGGGTGTGGGTGCGGGTGCAGGTGGGGGTGTTTCCACCCCAAGACTGAAGCCCAGGTGCCCCTTCCTCAGGCCCAGCCCCTCCGGAGTCTCCCTGGGCTTTTCTCAGCTGGGTGGGTCAGGGCTGTACCTCTGCATTCCAGCTCTACCCCCACCCCCAGGTTCAGCAGGACAAGGTGAGGACAGCTATTTTCTTGTCCCCCAAACTAAAATATACTGGAAAATCAGCAAGCCTCTTTTTAGCCATTTTATATCTTCAATCCCCCTCCCCCAATCCTTGTTTAATATTGTAAT
Organism: Homo sapiens; assembly: GCF_000001405.40. Lineage (NCBI taxonomy): Eukaryota > Metazoa > Chordata > Mammalia > Primates > Hominidae > Homo > Homo sapiens. The sequence goes on along the minus strand of NC_000016.10, from coordinate 66,611,819 downwards.
CAGAAACAATTTTATAATGGTAAGGGCCTGCCTATGAGGTGTACCTCGAGGGTTCCTGAAATCCCAGTTCTGTCTCGGAGCTCTGTAGAGCCTTCTGGAACCTCCACCCCAGAAGGAAAAGCACCAGAGTCACTAACCCCCAACCCCACCCCAGTGCTGGTTGCTACTTCCTGATGCTCATCCCCTCCCTGGCCAGCCTCTGTCTCTCAGAACCCCAGTCAGTCCCCATGAGCTGTCGCTGGCTCATGGCTGGGCTCAGGGCTGGGGTGTGGGCAGCCTAGTCCCTAAACCCCAGCTCTGTCCCTCACTCCGGTTCCTGGGCTGCACTCGTCAGATTTTGTGGGTTTTGCTATATTCAATTTTTTCCCCCCGAGATGGAGTCTCACTCTGTCGCCCAGGCTGGAGTGCGATGTCTTGATCTCAGGTCACTGCAACCTCTGCCTCCCATAGGTGATTCTCCTGCCTCAGCCTCCCAAGTAGCTGGGATTACAGGCGGGCACCACCATGCCTGGCTGATTTTTGTATTTTTAGTAGAGATGGGGTTTCACCGTGTTGGCCAGGCTGGTCTCAAACTCCTGACCTCAAGTGATCCACCCGTCTCGGCCTCCCAAAGTGTTGAGATTACAGGCGTGAGCCACTGTGCCTGGCTGCTATATTCAATTCTAACATATAAGTCAAGAATAATTTTACAGCAAAATAATTGTTACATATGTGAAACTCTCCAAATAGTAAAACAAAAAAAACAAAATAAAACCACCCAAGTTTCCACTGACGTTTACTAATTGGTCCCTGGGCTGGTTGTCTGGGATCACTTGCTGCGGGCAACTGGGAGCAGGTTGCAGAGCCTGAGGAAACCGCCTGGGAGCTCTAACCTAATATTTGCCAAGGGACGGGATGGGATGAGTGGCATTCATTTTCAGCAGAAGGACGGTTTCTGGGATTCACAAATCCCCATGGCCCCAGCACCTGGCTGTTAGGAAACCAGTGGCTCTTAAGCCTAACCTACTGGTCCTGCCTAGGGAAGATCCCAACCACAGGGTGGGGCCTGCAGGCCCTTCCAGAGCTGCCCTTGTCTACCTGTCCAGCCACAGGCACTGCCAGCACAGGGGCACATCCGCCTGGTCCAGAGAAGCATCTCCCCAGGCAGAAGCGCCTGCTGTCTCTGCTCTCAGCCTTCTTCCCTACACCGGCCTGGTCTCTTCTGCCTGCACACTCCTCTACTGCCATCTGTCAGTACCCAGCTCTAGTGTCCCCTCCAGAGCCTCGGGCCAGCTGACACCCAGCGTGGGCCTGCTTTCAGCTACTGTATCCCTCCCTCTATCGGCTCCTGTTTTACTGTCGTCATTGCTGCCCCATCTGGCCCCTCCCCTGGTACGGGACACATCATCTGTCCCTTGCCACGGTTTCTGGGTCTGACTCCTTTCTGGGCTCTGAGCTTCCCAGGACAGGCCTGGATGGGTAAGACAGCAGAGGGGCTGGGTTTGGGGGATGGCCACTCTGGATCCCAGGTGGACAGGTGCCCGAGAGTGACTGGCTGCCCAGGGGGGTCGTCCAGGGAGACTTGCCGGCCTGGCCTGAGGCTCAGCCATGCCCACTGCTTGCCCCTCCTAGAAAGGCTGGGGTGAGGGTGCACGAGGCGAATGGGACTGGCTTTGGATCAGTGCTGCATGAGGGTAGGTGAGAATGGGCTGTGAAAACACTTCCTGCCATGGGGAGAGAGGAAATGATCCCACCCCAGCCTCAAACTAGCTGGCATCCCCGAGGGAGGGCAGGCCCCTGTTGCAGCACTGCTGGGGTGATCAGGGCAGCCGCTTACCTTCTGTCTTGTGGGCTGTGGTCTCATCTGCAGAGTCCCCTTGTTTGAGGAATTTGGCCACGTCGTTAAAGATCAGGTAGAAATCAGTTGCAAACACGATGGTAGCAAAGAAGCCAAACACCTGTGGACAGGGTGGATGGGATGCATCACAGGGCTGACTCCCTGCTCCGGGAGGCTGCTGCCCCAGCCTCACGGCCCATTTCAGATCTGCTTGGACAAACAGCCCGAGTGTCAGGCACAGACCCCTGTGAGTAACGGAAGTGGGAAAATGAGCTGTGAACTTGGTTTGACAAACAGCCTTTCAAAACCCCGGGTAGAGTCAGTCTTTAATGAGAGGACTTTGGAATCATCATCGGGACCCACATGAGACCCCAGGGGGGCCCCAGCAGGGAAAGGCTCTGCCCCAGGTCCCACCCTAAATGAGGGGCTAGAGGGGCATCTGCAGTTTCCAGAGGGGTGGGGCGGCTGCTCACCCCAGCGGCTTTGGAAGCCCCATCCGAGTACTTGGCGATGGCCGTGATGGAGATAGCAAAGTAGATGAGGGCCGCGGTGACACAGCGCAGGAAGTCCTGGGGAGAGAGGGGCATGCTGCCCTGAGCCCCTGGAGCTGAGCACAGCATGGGGAGGAGGCCTGGCAGCCTGGTCGTGTTCCCAGCCCCAGGCCTAGCACCTGAGGGCTCCTATCCCATCCTGGCCCCACCCACATGCCTAGGCCCTTGTCCCACCCCCGAGGTGCCTCTGCTGCCTTGCCAGCAGCTGACACTGCCCTATCCCGGGTCCAGCGGGGCTGCTGTCCTAAGCTCTGGGCAAAAAACTGTGTGGATCAGGGTGCAGCCTGCCCTGCGATGCGGTGGAAGCAGAAGTTGGAAACACCCCCACCTGCTCCCTTCCCGCTCTCCATTGGGGAGATCTGGCTCTGGGCCTCGGCTTTGTCACACTCTTGTGGCCGATCCATTCATGGACCACAGTTTCTGCTTATCCGTCCCTAAGATGGGGACACAGAGGGTGCAGCCCTCCTGAGGCAGCAGATGCTGGATATGAAGTCAAGAGACAAGGGTTCAAGTTGAGCCTTTGCTGCCCTTTCTCTAGGACACATTTCATTCAGCGAGGTCCACTGGGGTCTGGGCCCTCACAGGTGATAAAACGAGGTCAGGGTTGCCGATGGCTGAAGTCTGGGTAAGCCCTGCAAGTCCTCAGTTAACCTGTCCTGCCCACGTGGAAATGGCTTGAATTCCTGTGGCGGCAGCTCATTCCTGTAGGCCCGGTGGGGAGCACCGGCGCCACCTGGTGGCCAGAGACCCCTCTCCGGGTTCCCTGCCTCACAGACCTGCTCTAGAGGCACCACAGCCCACTTGAGGTCACAGGGCTGCTGAGTAGTGGAGCTGGGATGATCTGAAGCTGGGTCTCTCCATCCAGTTCTAACCAACTGCAAACTCCAGCACACTAGAGAAAGGATAAGGGCCCAAGTGCACGACTCTGGACTCCTCATCTGGCCACTTTGTGCAGGGCACCCCTCCCTCCTGGGGCCCCTGTCCTCACCATCATGGGCCAGCACAAGCCCTGCCACTTGTCATTCAGCTGCATGGCATCAGCAAAGAGGAAGTACAAGGCCAGCAGGAACTCCAGCAGAGGCGCTGTGAGGAAGGCAGATGCTGAGGACGCCACATAGCAGATAAAAGTGATGAATGAGAGACCCTGCGGGGAAGGAGTTTGAGGTGAAGTCAGAGCCTTTTCATGTTCCTTGTCCAGTGCTCCTCTGAGCCAGGCCCTGTGGTCAGGATAGAGGAGGTTCCAGCAGGGGAAGCCAACTGCTCACAGTCCCGCAGCTGGGAAGTGGCAGAGCCAGATTAGAATCCCAGGCCAAGCACAGTGGCTCACACCTGTAATCCTAGCACTTTGAGAGGCCCAGGCAGGTGGATTGCTTGAGCCCAGAAATTTGACCCCAGCTTGGGCAACATGGCAAAACCTCATCTCGGCAAAATATACAAAAATTAGCCGGGCATGGTGGTGTGTGCCTGAAATCCCAGCTACTTGGGAGGCTGAGGTGGGAGGATCACCTGAGCCCGGGGAGGTCGAGGCTGCAGTGAGCTGTGATCAGGCCACTGCACTCCATCCTGGGTGAGAGAGAGAGAGACCCTGTCCGCACCCGCCCCTACAAAAAAAAAAAACCCAGCATGGCCCAGGCTCACACCTATGCTGCCTCCCAGTCCTGGGCATGGCCCTGAGTCCTCACCTTACCCCACCCCAGCTCCCTGACAGGACCTAGTCAGAAAGCCCCAGCCTTCCAAGCACATGCACTCCACTCAGTGCCCTGCGGAGGGAAATCAAAGCGAGGCAGGAACCAGTTTCCAAAAAGTAACACCCAACACCAAAGACGTGTGCTCGTCACTGAATGTAGATTTCACCTTGAAAAGAAAAAACCTTGAACCTTAATGATATGCGTCCTGAAGTGTTCAGAGTTGAAATGTCCTGATGTCTGCAATTTATTTTGTGTTAAAAGATAAAATGCCTTGATGGACAGATAGATAAAGCAAAAAAATCTTTTGGAGTTTTAATGTATTTGCAAATTTTCATAATGATAAGAAAGGAACATCTAACAGAGGGTGCGTTGGCACTGACACCTCAGGCCCTGCTGCCTTATTCATACAGGGCCAGCTGTGAAAGGTGGGGCCAGCTGTACTTGAACTACAAGAATCAAAATGTTCACTGTGGTCTTGCCCACAACTCTGTAGGTGGGAAGAGCTGATGCAGGAGGATGTTGAGCCCTGGGCAGTCCTGCAGCCCAGGTACGCTGCAGAGCAGGCCAAGGTGACCTGTTGGCCAGCCTGGGGCTCCACAGTGCCTGGTACCCTGAGGCTCACGGGCATCTCCTCTGACCCTCACATCCACCCATGAGCACAGCCCCACTTGACAGATGAGAAGACTCTGTCACATGGCTAATCAGAGGCTACTAGAATTTGAACCCAGGGCTGGCTGACCCCCCAGATAGAGTTATCTTACCTCCGCCCCAGAGATGGAGTCTTGCTCCGTCTCCCAGGCTGGAGTGCAGTGGCACGATCTCAGTTCACTGCAACCTCCACCTCCGGGGTTCAAGTGATTCTCCTGCCTCAGCCTTCCCGAGTAGCTGGGATTACAGGCGCCCGCCACCAAACCCAGCTAATTTTTTTATTTTTAGTAGAGACAGGGTTTCACCATGCTGGCCAGGCTGGTCTCGAATTCCTGACCTCAGGTGATCCACCCACCTCGGCCTCCTAAAGTGTTGGGATTACAGGCATGAGCCACCACGCCCGGCCCAGGTAGAGTTCTTAAGCAACTTGGCCCTGTGGGTGTTGGGGAGGCCATCTGTCCCTGGTTTCTGTCACTGTGGCTGCGTTTGAACATGTCTATGGCTGAGTAGTTTCTAGTGGGTGCAGGAGTCCCCATGGGGACACCCAGATGCCCCACAGGAAGCACTGTGGCTGCTTCAGACAAATGAACTGCAGGGATCCCAGGGGGTCCCCAGAGCACCCCCATTTGCTCTGCACATGGCCTTGGGTGCAGCTGAGCCCCCTTTGGAAAGATAGACTAAGGCATAGAGACGGGCTGGGAGGCTGCTGGGGCCTCCCAGGAAGGCCTTCCATGGGACTGACCCAGCTCTGGCCCTCCCCTTCCTGTCTCCTATGCCTGCACCCCAAAGCCTAATTCTGGGGATTCCCCTCTCAATTCCTGTTTTTTCATCCCGCGATTTCTGGGGCCACTTCCTCTCTCTGTTTCTGTCCATCTCAGCCTCTGCACTTGCTTGGCCTGGGGGTGGGAGTGAGGGGACTAGGGAGGCAGGAGTGCCCTCAGCGGCTCCTGTGAACCCTGAGTGCTGACCGTTCACCCTTCCTTATCCTCCCTGACCTGGATTCCTGACATCTGCTGGGCCCAGGGTGGCCTCTATGCTCCTGCTGGACATATGCCTCCCTCTTATGAGGTGGTCTTGGGTGGGGATGGGGGGGTTCAAGCCACTCTGGGGACGGTGGATTCGAGGCTTCTCCCCTCAAGTGGCTCCCAGTGGTCTCCAGGGTGGGGCTGGGAGTGTGGGCTCGGAGTGTGGCATTGGTGTCTCACTTGGGCGTTGGGCAGGTGGCCTCTGGGCTGACCGTGGGAGAGGCTGCAGGACCACCTTCTGCCCTCTGCCCTGAGTGACCAGGGAGAGGTCCCGGAGCAGAATCCCCCTTCCTCCTGCCCCCACCCTCCTGGCCGCTCTCACTGGGCCCCTCAGTTGAGCCACCTGTCAAATCAGGCGCCTGAGCGCTCTCATCTGTAAAGTGGGGACAAGGGCAGGAAGCGCCAAGTTCCTGGGATCTAAGCAACAAGTGGCCGCCGCCGTGCGCCGCTCTCTCCTCCCGCCTCCCCCGGTCTCCGGCCCGGCCTCTCCCTCCCCATCCCCAACGGCCCAGCGCCACCCCTACCCCACAGCGGACAGTGCGGGCGCCTCCGGTGTCCAGAGGACAAAGAAGCCCCACCGGCCGGGGTGGGGGCGAGGGCGGAGTAGGAAGGAGCCCGGCCGCGGAGGGGAGGAGGGCGATGAAGTCACCGCGGGGCCGCCTCACCCAGTCCCGGGGGTGGGGGATCCCTCCCGCTCCGCACGGCCCCCCGCCGGCTCGGCCCCGCAGGTCGAGGCCCCGGCCCGCACTACCCGCTCGCAGGAAAGCGGACCCCGCTGCGGCCCGGGAGTCCCGGAGGTCCGAGTTGCCCGAGTCCCCGGGGCCCAGAGAGGGCGGGGGCGCCTGGCTCACACAGCAGGACCCACATCCCCGGGCCCCACCCACTTCCCACGGCCCCCAGCTCTGGACTCGCGGGGACAGCGCCGCGGATGGCCTGGGCTCGGGCCCCGCCCCGCCGTCCAAAGTTTGGGGACCTCGACCCAACTTCGCCAGGCGCCCGAGAGAAGTCGGCCGAGGCGGCGCGGAGAGGGGGTATCGGAGCACGGCGGCCGCCCCCGGACCCCACCCGCGCCCCGACGTCCTCCTCCGAAAGGAGCCGCGCAGTCCTAGCGGGGCGGCCGAGGGTCCCGCCGCACTCACCGACTCGGCCAGCAGGAGGCGGCCTTTGAGAGAGCAGAGGAAAGCCCGCGCCGGCAGCAGGGCGCGGAGCCCGGGGACCGCGGGGCCGGGACGGGAGCCGCCGGCAGGCTCGGGGTCCGGGTCGGGGTCGGGGTCTGGGGGCCACATGGCGGCGGCGGCGGTAGGGCCGGGGCTCGGCCTGGCTCCCCTCTTCTCGCGCCCGGAGGGAAGCGGAAACCCGGGCTGTGCGGAAGGAGGGCAGGCGACACTGGCTCGCGCAGGGGCGCATCCCCCGCCGCCACGCCCCGCCCCGCCCCCACCCGCTCCTCCAGCCCGCCCCTCCCCCTCGGACCCCGGCTGCGGGGGATGCTGGGCCCGACCCGCCCCCTCCCCGGCCTGGGGCCTCCGCAGACTCCACCTTCTTCTTCACCCTGGTTCGGGCCGCTGGAGACCTCCCGATCACCGCCCCGGCACCCCTTCGGAGCTCCCACCCGTCTGCCCCTATCCAGAAGGGCTGTCTATACTCGCTGTCTCCGGTCTAACTTCCTGCCCGTGCGCGTGTCTGGGATCCGGGAACCCAGGCGTCTAAACAGCAAAGACCCCGGCCGTGATGTCGGCTCCGCAACCCATGCCCTCTCTTTTTCTTGGGGGCCGGAGTTTTCTTGCGACTTTCTTGGCCACCCCTCCTGTCCCCGGCCAGCCCCACCCTCCTCCAGGGCCTCTTTGTTGGCTGTTCCAGGCCTCGGTCCTGCACCCGCCTCCCCCAACCCATTCTCAGAGGACTCTCAGACCTGCAAGCGCAGCTCCAGGCACACACACAGACACACACACACGCGCGCGCGCGCGCAAACACACACAGGCACGCACATCTGCAGGACTTCCTGACCTGCAGTCCCCCCACCCCAACACATCTCTCTCTCTCACACACACACACACACACACTCCACACGCACATGCGTGCACATCTAGAGAGCGTCTGGAGTTCAGCGTGATCAAGACCCAGCTTCCTGTGCCTCTGCGAAGGGCACTGCCCCCTCCTTTCCTTCCACCTGACTAGCGGAGACCTGCGGGTTGTCCTTGTCCCTCTTCACCGGCAGTCTGTAACCAAGGTCCTCCCACTTTCACCTCCTATAACTTTCTCTGATCTCTGTCTACTTCTCACCACCACTAGATCCGAAACCATTCCTGCCTGCTCCCCGCTGAACTGCTGTGATGGTGTCTTTAAGAGGCCCTTAGGTTTTCTCTCTGGGCAGCCGGGGGAGAGCTTATGGCACAGTACTGCGCACCCTTGACATAACTAACTCCATCTTAGAAAAAGACTTCATTTTATATTTCATAGGGTGCTTTGCCAACAAGGGCAAGATGTTTTGTTTAATAAAAAATAGAAGGTCAGGCGCTGTGGCTCATGCCTGTAATCCCAGCACGTTGGGAGGCTGAGGTGGGTGGATCACGAGGTCAGGAGTTCGAGACCAGCCTGGCCAATATAGTGAAACCCCGTGTCTACTAAAAATACAAAAATTAGCTGGGCGTGGTGGCACCGTGCCTATAATCTCAGCTACTCAGGAGGCTGAGGCACAAGAATCGCTTGAACCCGGGAGGCATAGGTTGCAGTGAGCCAAAATCACACCACTGCACCCCAGCCTGGGCGACAGAGCAAGACTCTGTCTCAAAAAATAAAAAAAAAAATAAATAAAGACTGCGTCCAACCACATAAGGACACAAAGAAGCACACTGTTCCTCTACCATTTCTCACCAGAGCACTCTGTGACTACAAAACAGCAGCCCAGCAGCCTTAACTGACAACCATCCCACTGCCGTTCATAAGAACTCTGCATCTGCCTCCCAAGGCTCTGCCCCTCAAAGACTCTGCAAGACCCTCAAGCCCAGACCAGGATTCCTTTTGTCTTCTTCCTTACCCTGGAACTGGTTCCTTAACCCTTTCTCCTATCTCTTTTTCTCTTGATGTTAAATGCTACTTTGTTTGTTGTGGAATGTTTATAACATTTACATGTGGATTAAGTATACTATTATATATGGTTTGCAATATTGACTGACTTGTGGAGTGGCTTGAGCCCATGTGCTCACTACTGAGTGAACGGGAAGTACTAAGGAAAATTGGCTCCTTGGGTCTGGGTGCAGTGGCCCATGCCTATAATTCCAGCATTTTGGGAGGCTGAGGCAGGCAGATCACCTGAGGTCAGGAGTTCGAGACCAGCTTGGCCAACATGGCGAAAACCCATCTCCACTAAAAATACAAAAATTAGCTGGGCGTGGTGGCACAGGCCTGTAACCCCAGCTACTTGGGAGGGTGAGGCATGAGAATCACTTGAACCCAGAAGGCAGAGGTTGCAGTGAGCTGAGATCGCACCACTGCACTCCAGCTGCACTCCAGCCTGGGCGGCAGAGTGAGACTCTGTATGAAAGAAAAAAGAAGAAGAAGAAGAAGAAGCAAATTGGCTCCTTGGGATAGCTTGTGGCTTTTGTTTTTTTTTACCCTTGGGTATAGGGTGAATAAAAATCTGACACTGTGGAAAGACACAAACACGTGTGGACCTAGTTATCTCTTTTTTCTTTCTTGAGACAGAGGCTTGCTCTGTCACCCAGGCTGGAGTGCAGTGGCATGATCTTGGCTCACTGCAACCTCCACCTCCCAGATTCAAGGGATTCTCATGCCTCAGTCTCCCAAGTAGCTGGGATTACAGGCCTGTGCCACCACACCCAGCTAATTTTTGTATTTTTAGTAGAGACAGGGTTTTGCCATGTTGGCCAGGCTGGTCTTGAACTCCTGGCCTCCAACAATCTTCCCGCCTCGGCCTCCCAAAGGTTTGGGATTACAGGCGTGAGCCACCGCACCTGGCCAGACCTGATTATCTCTTGACCTTGTACCACTCATGACAATCACCAGTCATTGATCACTTTTGATGGCAGCCGTGGCTCCAGACAACCTGCTGCTATCATCACCCAGCTGCAGCAGGGAGGCATGGCCTGGGCTGCACACTCCATGGAGCAGGCAGGAGTCCTGCTCTCCCAGGTGCAGCTGCAGCTACCCAAACTGCAGCTGCAGAATGGGGCCTCCTCCATGGGGCAGACAGGAGCCCTGGGACCCCCTTTCCCACAGCTACAGCTGCCCAAACCACAGCTGCAGGCTCAGGCATCCCTGTACTCTTAGGGGCCCAGGAAGGCCCCCACCTGCCCTCCCAGGCTCGGAAGTGCCTTCTCCTGCTGCCTGGCTTCTTCCTGCTGTGGACACGTGCTCTGATCTGGGAGCAAAGTTGGGGCAAGCCTGGGCTTCATGAATGGCAGCAGGAGGCGGACAGATTCCTGGGTGGAAGGGGGCAAGTCCCATTGAGGCCCCACCTTTGGGCCAGGGAGGGCCTGAAGGCTGGGGGCCAGGCTGCCAGTCCGACCGACCAGAGTGGGAACTTGTACCTCCTTTTCTGACCCACCCATGGCTGCCCATAGATCAACTGGGCTCACACTTCCTCCACTCTGAGGCCCATAAAAGCCCCAGTCTCAGCCAGAGCTGAGCAGAGGTTGGGAGGACCAGGTACAGAGAGGAGCCACACTCTCCAGGGCCTCCTCTCTGCTGAGAGCTGAACACTCAACGGGATGACCTCCCTACAGAGAAGAGCTACCCACTGTCAGTCTCCTCTGAGCTTTCTAACACTCAGTAAACCTCCTTGTTGACTTGTTCTCCCTCCACTTGTCTGTGTACCTCATTCTTCCTGGATGCAAGACAAGAACTCTGGCAAAGGTGCCACTGGCCACAGAGGTTTCCAACCAGAAAATTAACACCCCAAAGATCCTGTAACACTTCCATCTCCTCCCCACAAAGATAAACACACACACACACACACACACACACAGACACACACACACACACACACACAAACCATGGGAGCTTCCCAACCTGCACAGGGTCTTAGTATAGAAGGAAAATATAACTCTTTGCTGTGCTTCCCTCCCCTGCCTCTCCCATGGACCTCTTACAGTTCCTGGAACAAACTATGGTCCCTCCTGCCACAGAGCCATTGTCCATGCTGACCCCTCTACCCAGAATGCTTCTCCACCTTCTTCTCTAATTAACTCCTCCTTATTCTTCAGTGACTATAGTGCAGTATTGCTTCCTCAGAGAAGCCTTTCTTGACATTCATTTATTCATCCAACAGCAGTGCCTAGGGTACAGCAAGGCCCCAGCTTTTTCTGCTGCTGCTGGTGATGGTGGTGGAATAAACACTAAACATATCCAGAGAATCCTGAATAAGGTGTTCCTGGTAATAGATAACAGATGTCTGGCTGGTTGGGAGGACAGCCAGGAAGGGAGTGTCAAAGAAAGGACTGAGCCAAGGTGTTTGGGGGGAAGGGTGGGGGAAGATGGGGGGAGCTGGTCAGAAAAGGGGCAGGGCTAGACTGGGAGGACCAGAACCTGGAGTTTGGATTTTACGGACAATTCCCTAGGAGGAGGCCAGGTGAGGGTTCTAACAGAGAGAAATCTGGTTCCCATTGGTGTTATTAAAAACGTGGCCCTGGGCTGGGCGCAGTGGCTCATGCCTGTAATCCCAGCACTTTGGGAGGCTGAGGTGGGCTAATCACCTGAGGTCAGGAGTTGGAGACCAGCCTGGCCAACATGGTGAAACCCTGTCTCTACTAAAAACACAAAAAATTAGCCGGGTGTGGTGGTGTGCCCCCTGTAGTTCTAGCTACTCAGGAGGCTAAGGCAGGAGAATTGCTTGAACCTGGGAGGCTGAGGTTGCAGTGAGCTGAGATCGTGCCACTGCACTCCAGCCTGGGTGACAGAGGGAGACTCCATCTCAAAAAAAAAAAAAACAAAAAAAAACACACACACACACACACACACACAAAAGGATGGCTGTGAACTGCAACTCATTCATAAGAAGAAAACAACCCAATTTTTTTTAATGGGCCAAAGATTTGAACAGACAATTCACTAAAAGACATATATGAACGTCCAATAAGCGTGTAAAAAGATGCTCAACATCATGAGACATCTAGGAATGCAAATTAAAACCACAATGAGATACTACTGCATGTCTACTGAAATGGCTTCAAAAGGGGGCACTACCAGCTGCTGGTGAGGATGTGGGGAGCTGGGGCACTTGTGCCTGTGGAGTCCTGGTTCGGCTCTTTCTGGCTTCTTTTCGTTTCCTAATCTTAAAAAAATCTGTAAAAGACACTTAGTTTTCTCCAGTTAATACTGGAAAAAAGACCACACTGATAGACATGGTTAAATTCCCTCATTTCTTTAGGGATGAACTAAATGGCTAGTATCCTCATTTTAAAAAGTATCTTGAGGGCCACGTGTGGTGGTTCATGCCTAATAGCACAGCACTTTGGGAGGTAGAAATGGGAGGATCACTTGAGCCCAAGAGTTCCAGGTTACAGTGATCTGTGATCTCCTCACTGCACTCTAGTCTGGGCAATAAAGTGAGCGAGTGAGACCTTGTCTCAACAAACAAACAAACAAACAACAAGCAAACAAAACCACAATGAGATCATGTCTCCATGAAAAAAAAAAGAAGAAAGAAAAAGTGTCTTGACCTTGGTGGAGCTTATGTTGAGAAACAAAATTCATTTTTAAAAATTTTTATATTTTAATTCAATTTCCATGAACTTTTGGAGGTCCCCTTATATTTTTTCTTTCTGTTTTTTGTTTTGTTTTGTTTTTTGGACAGTCTCATTCTGTTGCTGAGGCTGGAGTGCAGTGGCAAGATCTCAGCTCAATGCAACCTCTGCCTCCTGTGTTCAAGTGATTCTCATGCCTCAGCCTCCCAAGTAGTTGAGATTACAGGTGTGCATCACCAGAGCTGGCTAAATTTTTTTTTTTTTGGTAATTTTAGTAGAGGCAGGGTTTCATCATGTTGCCCAGGCTGGTCTTGAACTCCTGGGCTCAAATGATCTACCTGCCTTAGCCTCCCAAAGTGCTGGGATTACAGACGTGAGCCACTGTGTCCAGCCTCTTATTTCTTTTCTTAATTTTTAATTTAGAGATGGGGTCTCAATATGTTGCCCTGGCTGGTCTTGAACTGTTGGGTTTAAAGGATCCTTCAGCCTCCCAAAGTGCTGGGATTATAGGTCTGAATCACCCTGCCTGACCCCCTCGTAATTTTTATAGCCTGAACTGGAAACCAAATGGCCATCAACAGGTGAAGGGATAAAGAAACTTCCATCCATACAATGGAATACTACTCAGCAAGAAAAAGGAACGAACCATTGATAAACAAAGCAATGTGGATGCATTCTGCAGACAGCATGCTGAGGGAAGGAAGCCAGACTCAAAAGGTACATACTCCATGATTTCATTTTTATGAAATTCTAGAACAAGCAAAAGTAAGCTACAGTAACAGAAATCAGATCGGTGGTTGCCTGCGGTGGGGGCAGGAGAAAGCTTCCTGGAGTGCTAAGAAGTGTTCTTTATTTTGATTGGGGTGGTGGTTACACAGGGACCTACATTTGTCAAAACACATCAAACTATATACTTACAATGGGTGCATTTTATTTCATGTAATTTATATCTCAATTTGCAAAAAGGGTACCGAGAAAAAGCAAAATATGGCACTGAACTAGAGAAGCTGAAAGAGGAGAAGTGGGTGGGTGCCTGTATATAAGTTAACTGCACACTCATGATGTCACCATCCATCCTGCCAGCAGACTGTGATCTCCTGAGGGGGACTGTCATAGCCCAGCCCCAGCCCAGAGCCTGTCACATAGGATGACATCAGGAAATGTCTGCTATGGAATGAAGGCAGGGTGGCTCTATTTCCTCTACATGCCTCCGGTAAGGAAGAATTTTTTCTTCCTCATTTATTTATTTAATTCATTTGTTATAATTAAAAACCATCGTACTGGCCGGGCACAGTGGCTCATGCCTGTAATCCTAGTATTTTGAGAGGCCGAGGCAGGTGGATCACAAAGTCAGGAGTTTGAGACCAGCCTGGCCAACATGGTGAAACCCTGTCTCTACTAAAAAATACAAAAAAATTAGCTGGGCGTGGTGGCGTGCACCTATAATCTCAGCTACTCGGGAGGCTGAGGCAGGAGAATCGCTTGAACCCGGGAGGCGGAGGTTGCAGTGAGCCAAGATTGTGCCATTGCACTCCAGCCTGGGTGACAGAGCGAGACTCTGTCTCAAAAACAAACAAACAAACAAACAAACAAACAAACAAAACCCATCATACTTAATTTTGTTAGCTAAGTTGTTTCAATTTGGCCCCTAGGCCCCCTTCGTTAGGGACTTCATTCAGTATGTAAGTGAGCTCCTGTGTACTTAACATGCCTCCCATCTCGCCCCGCCCCACTTCCTTATTTTATGACACTGTAAGATGCTCAAGGTTCATTTTGTATTCTCTGCATCCCAGCTCTAGAATCACCCATTCCTCCAAAAAGTTCTGTTCTTTTCATTGGAGAATGATATTTAGAAGCCAAGGTCTCTCTGGGCAGTTTGCATTAGAGAATTTGCATTTCTCTGGTTATGAGTAGATTAAGCATTTTTCACATGTGTAAGAGCCGTTTGCATCTCCTTTTCTGAGAAGTGACTGTTCACATCCTTTTTGGCTTTTCTTTTGAATTGTTGTTCTTTAAAAATTGATACATTAAAACACATAAGGCTGGGTGCAGTGGCTCATGCCTGTAATCCCTGCACTTTGAGATGCTGAGACAGGAGGATTGCTTGGGCCTGGAAGTTCAAGACCAGTCTGGGCAACATATGGAGACCCTGCCTCTACAAAACATTTTTGACAACTAGCTGGGCATGGTGGTGCACCCCTGTGGTCCCAGCTACTCAGGAGGCTGAAGTGGGAGGATTGCTTGAGTTCAGGAGTTCTAGGCTGCAGTGAGCTATGATAGCACCACTGTACTCCAGCCTGGGCTGAGAGTGTGAGTCCCTGTCTCACTAAAAAACAAAAACAAAAACAGGAGACTGAATATTCTCTCTTAGTGGGTACAAAGTTTATCTGTATATCTATGACATACTTTGCTAATTGTGTAATTTAAACCCTCTGCATACTTTTTGTTTTTACTTGATGTATTAACTTATTAAAACAGGTATGTTAAAACTGCTAACTAAAATTTTAGATTTATCACTCTGTCCTTACATTTCTTTCTTTTTTGGGGGTGGAAACAGGGTTGCACTCTGTTGCCCAAGCTGGAGTGCAGTGGTGCAATCATGGTTCACTGCAGCCTTGACCTCCCAGGCTCAGGTGATCCTCCCACCTCAGCCTCCAGAGTTGCTGGACCACAGGCACACACCACCATGTCCAGCTAATTTTTTTTTTTTTTTTTTTTGAGATGGAGTTTCACTTTTTGCCTAGGCTGGAGTGCAGTGGCGCGACCTCGGCTCAGTGCAACCTCTGCCGCCTAAGTTCAAGTAATTCTCCTGCCTCAGCCTCCTGAGTAGCTGGGATTACAGGTGCCCACTACTGTGCCTGGCTAATTGTATTTTTAGTAGAGACGGGGTTTCACCATGTTGGTCAGGCTGGTCTCAAAATCCTGACCTCAGGCGATCCACCCGCCTCAGCCTCCCAAAGTGCTGGGATTACAGGTGTAAGCCACTGTGCCCAGCCTAATTTTTTGTATTTTTTGCAACAATGGGGTCTTACTAGGTTGCCCAGACTGGCTTCAAAGTCCTGGGCTCAAGCAGTCCACCTGCCTCGACCTCCCAGGGTGCTGGGATTATGGGATGAGCCACTGTGCCCAGGCTGTCCTTGCATTTCTAATAGGTTGCTGTTGTATATTTTTGTAGCTATTTTCCTTCCATTATTGATGTCTAGCTTTATTCTGTTGTAACTAGACAAGATACTTTGTATAATGTTGATTTTTTTTTTTTTTTTTTTGAGATGGAGTTTCACTCTTGTCGCCCAGGCTGGAGTGCAATGGCATGATCTTGGCTCACTGCAACCTCTGCCTACCGGGTTCAAGAGATTCTCATGCCTCAGCCTCCCGAGTAGCTGGGATTACAGGCGCATGCCACCATGCCTGGCTAATTTTTGTATTTTTAGTAGAGACGGGGTTTCGCCATGTTGGCCAGGCTGGTCTCAAACTCCTGACTTCAGGTGATCCACCCGCCTTGGCCTCCCAAAGTGCTGGGATTACAGGTGTGAGCCATTGTGCCTAGCCCATAATGTTGATATTTTAAAACTTATTGAACTGGTTTTGTGTCCTAACATATGGTCTGTCCTAGAGAATGTTCCATGTGCACTTAAGAAGAATTTGGGACTGGGCGCGGTGGCTCATGCCTGTAATCCCAGCACTTTGGGAGGCTGAGGTGGGTGGATCATGAGGTCAGGAGGTCGAGACCATCCTCGCTAACACGGTGAAACCCGTCTCTACTAAAAACACAAAAAATTAGCTGGGCGTGGTGGCACATGCCTGTAGTCCCAGCTATTCGGGAGGTTGAGGCAGGAGAATCGCTTGAACTTGGGAGGCGGAGGTTGCAGTGAGCCAAGATCACGCCACTGCACTCCAGCCTGGGTGACAGAGCAAGACTCCATCTCAGTAAATAAATAAATAAATAAACAAACAAACAAATAAGTAAGATAAAAAAGAAGAATGTGTATTTTGCTGTTGGATGGAGTATTCAATGCACACCTGTTGGGTCTAGATGGCTTCTAGTGTTGTTCAGGTCCTCTGTATTCTTCTTCTGCTAGATAGCCTATCCCTTCTCTGCAGTACTATTTGGATTTGTCGTCTGTGTGCCTGAGCGGCCGGTCTAGGATGTGAGTCCTAGTATACCCTGTGGTTTGGTTCTATAGGACTTTGCTATGCTGTCTAGGGTCAAATCCATGCATACACAGTTTGAGGGTGATCCCGGGGTTCATGGACAACTTGACGGGATCTCTTCTTTAAGCTCTGTGCTGTCCATGGCCTCCCTGCCACTTTCAAGTTCCTAGGGGTCCCCTGTTTAGAAAGCGTGGGCTTTAATTTCTGCACTCTGTTTCACACTTCCTGACATTGCTTATGTTTTCAGCGGAGAGCAGTAAGAGGATAGAGAAAAACGCCAAGGGGATTTCCCCCCACACTCTTGGGATCACAGTTCTGCTCAGAGAGAAAGCTTCCCCTGCCTTGGACTTTCAAGTTCCTACTTTTTTTTTTTTTGAGACGAAGTCTTGCTCTGTTGCCCAGGCTGGAGTGTAGTGGTGCTATCTCGGCTCACTGCAATCTCCACCTCCCTACTTCAAGCAATTCTCTTGCCTCAGCCTCCCGAGTAGCTGGGACTACAGGTGCATGTCATCACACTTGGCTAATTTTTTTGTATTTTTAGTAGAGATGGGGTTTCACCGTGTTGGCCAGACTGGTCTCGAACTCCTGACCTCAGGCAATCTGCCTGCCTCAGCCTCCCAAAGTGCTGGGATACAGGTGTGAGCCACTGCGCCCCACCAAGTTCCTGCTTGTTAAACTGCTGCCATCATTGCCATTGATATTGTGATATTGTCTGGGGGCTGGGGCTGGAGAGAATGATAAAAACAGACTATTTCCACACCCCCTCCCCACTCCCTGATCCATAAGGGCTCTGTTTCATGCTCCTTGGACTAGTGTATTCGTTAGCTCAGGCTTCTGTATCAAAATACCACAAACTGTATCACTTAAATTATAGAAAGTAATTGTTTCACAGTTCTGGAGGCTGGATATCCATGATCAAGATGCCAGCAAATTCGGTTTCTGTGAGGATCCTCTTCTCAGCTTGTAGATGGCCTGTACCACTGTCTCTTCACATGGTCTTTCCTCTGTGCCATGTTAGGGCTGGGGAGAACACACCCTGGTGTCTTTCCTTATGAGGACACTAATTTTATCAGATCAGGGCCCCATCCTTATTCCCTCACTTAACCTTAACTACTTCCTTAGAGACTCTTATCTCCATACTAAAATGAGGGCTTCAGCATATGATTTTTTGGGAGGGGGACACATTCAGTCCATAAAAACTAGGAATAGAAGGTTTCTCTTGGAACTCTTTCTGTCCGTACCCCATGTGTAGTTTTGGATTTGGATTACCTGTGAGTCCGGGGCAGGAGACACCAAAGGGGAAAAAAAACCCAGGAAATTTACTGCTGGTTCAGTGGTACTTTATATTCTGGTCTCTTCCCCCAAACTGCTTACTACTATTTGCTTTTCAGAAGCACTAGAGAGCTGCTCCATGCACTCTGTCCAAGGCTTTTTGTTGCATTCATTGCTTTCAGCAGGAAAGATAGAATGTGATATACCTCCTCCATCTTCCTCAGAGCTGGCTTTTAAAAATAGTTGCATTTATAACTTTTTTGAGTCATTTTGTTATAGATGTATCTCTTATACAAATTATGAAGTTAGATTTAGAAAACCTCAACAATCTGATAGTTTCTGTCTTTTTTGTTGTTGTTGTTTGTTTGACATGGAGTCTCGCTCTGTTGCCAGGCCGAAGTGCAGTGGCGCGATCTCAGCTCACTGCAACCTCCGCCTCCTGGGTTTGAGCGATTCTCCTGCCTCAGACTCCTGAGTAGCTGGGATTACAGGCACGTGCCACCATGCCTGGCTAATTTTTGTGTTTTTAGTAGAGATGGGGTTTCACCACGTTGGCCAGGATGGTCTCGATCTCCGGATCTCGTGATCTGCCTGCCTCGGCCTCCCAAAGTGCTGGGATTACAGGTGTGAGCC
The DNA here is from genome assembly GCF_000001405.40 of Homo sapiens. NCBI lineage: Eukaryota > Metazoa > Chordata > Mammalia > Primates > Hominidae > Homo > Homo sapiens. The sequence continues at coordinate 66,593,333 of NC_000016.10, read as the reverse complement.
ACCACACCTGGCCTAAATCAATTTTTCTATTAAAAGACAGAAACTAGGCCACCTAACACTCCACCTGATGACAGAATACACATTCTTCTTAAGTGCACATGGAACATTCTCTAGGACAGGCCATATGTTAGGACAAAAAACAATTTCAATAAGTTTTCAAATATCAACATTATGGGCTGGGCACAGTGGCTCACACCTGTAATCCCAGCACTTGGGGAGGCTGAGGTGGGTGGATCACTTGAGGTCAGGAAACCCCCTGGCAACAAAGTGAAACCCTGTCTCTTAAAAAGAAAAAGTGATACAGCCATAAAATGGAATATTATTCAGCCATAAAAAAGGAATGAAGTTATAGAAATGTTTTGGAACTAGATAGAAGTGGTGGTTGCACAACATTGTGAATGTACTAAAAACCACTTACATTTTCACTTTAAATTTTTTTTTTTTTTTTTGAGATGGAGTTTCACTCTTGTCGCCCAGGCCTGAGTGCAGTGGCACGATCTTGGCTCACTGCAACCTCCGCCTCCTAGATTCAACCAATTCTCCTGCCTCAGTCTCCCGAGTAGCTGGGATTACACACACACGCCACCACGCTAGGCTAATTTTTGTATTTTGTAGTAGAGACAGGGTTTTACCATATTGACCAGGCTGGTCTCGAACTCCTGACCTCGTGATCCACCTGCCTTGGCCTCCCAAAGTGCTGGGATTACAGGCGTGAGCCACCGTGCCCAGCCCAGCTCCATTGTTTTCTAATATCTGGAGTGGACTCTGATGTTTGGTTTTTCTCTTGTCAGTGTCATCTTTGTGTTCTCTCTCTGTGTCTCTCAGCTTTTAGGATTTTCTCTTAATCTTTAGAATTCTGATACTTCACCGAGAAATGTGTAGGCAGGTGAGGATGCTTTCCCAGTAAACCTGCTCAACACTTGGTGGGCCCTCTCCCTCCCCTCCCCTCCCCTCCCCTCCCTTTACCTTCCCTTCCCTTTTCTCCCTTCCTTCCTCCCTCCCTCCCTCCTTCCTTCCCTTCCCTTCCCTTCCCCTCCCCTTCCTTCCTTCCTTCCTTCCTTCTCCCTCTCTTTCTTTTTTTCTTTCTCTCTCTCCCTTTCTTCTTCTTTTTTTTTTTTTTGAAACAGGGTCTTGCTTTGTCACCCAGGCTAGGGTGCAGTGGTGCAATCTTGGTTCACTGCAGCCTCGACCTCTCAGCCTCAAGTGATTGATTTTCCCACTTCAACCTCTGGAATAGCTGGGACTACAGGCACACACCAGTATGCCCGGCTAATTTTTTTGTTTTTTGTAGAGACAGGGTTTTGCCATGTTGGCCAGGCTGATCTCTAACTCCTGAGCTCAAGGGATCCACCTGCCTCGGCTTCCCAAAGTGCTGGGATTATAGGCGTGAGCCACCACACCTGGCCTTGGTGGGTCCTTTCTATAAGATTTTAGTTTTAACTGAAAATTTTTTTCTGTTTAAGATTTTCTCACCTTCTGTGACTCCTTTGAGATGGTTGTTGGATAAATCCTCCTAGATTTGTCCTCTGTGTCTTTTTTCCAAAAAAGAAAGTCTGCCTTTTTGTTTGATTTTCTAGATTTCCTTTATTTTTCAAATCATGAATTGCCATCTTAAATTATGTCTATTCTATTATTCAACCCCTCTGTTAAATTTTAAAATCTTGGCTGGATGCAGTGGCTCACGCTGTAATCCCAGCATTCTGGGAGGTTGAGGCGAGTGGATCGCTTGAGGTCAGGAGTTCGAAAGCAGCCTGGACAACATGGTGAAACCCCGTTTCTACTAAAAATACTAAAAAAATTAGACAGGCATGGTGGCAGGCACCTGTAATCCCAGGTACTTGGGAGGCTGAGGCAGGACAGTCGCTTGAACCGGGGAGGTGGAGGTTGCAGCAAGCCGAGATCGCGCCACTGCACTCCAGCCTGGGCGACAGAATGAGACTCTGTCTCAACAACAACAACAGCAACAACAAAAATTCAAAATCTTTGTTGTAGTTTCCCACACTCCTACCCCAAGAACTCTTGTTTGCTGGTTGCCCTTTTTGAGTCTCTTTTGTTTGAGGGACACAGCATCCATTTTTATTCTGTGTGTATTAATTAATTAGGCTTTTTGCTGAATCTGCATTTCAACCAGATGTGTAAGTGACATGCCCCACACCCAGGCCATTCCCCGCTCCAGACAAGTACTTACCTGATGTAGTTCTGTTCTGAAGGGGCATCTTCCTACAGCCCATGTCGCTGTCCTGGGGTCCTCTTCTTAGCATGACACCTGAAGTCTCGCTCAGCCCCAGCCCAGCCCCCACTTCAGGCTCATTATATCCTGGGATTCGCAGAAACCCTGCCTGCTCACAAGTATTACCCCAGGAGTTGAGAGGAGTGACCAAATTCGTTTAGGAAAGTTCACACTTTTCCACAGGATTCTGAGCATAAGTCATATTTAGCTTCCTTTGTTAGGTAAAACTTATATACAATGAAATGCACAGATCTTAAGTATACTATTGAATGTTTTGACAAATGTGTACACCTGTGTGACCAGCTCCTCCAATGAATAGATGAAAGTTCTGGTACCCACAAAAGCTCACTTATGTCTCTTTGGAAATGTGAAAGGAAAATAAAATACTCAGGACCCCGATTCACTGTGCCAAAAGAAAAAAATTAAGCTGAGAGCTGAGTCATGCAAGAAGCCGCCTTTCCTTTTGTCCCTAAGCGGAGAGCTACAGACGAAAAGTGAAATATCCCCACAGGTAGCTGCTCTATGTTCATCTTATGTCAAATGCCAATTTACTGAGCGCCAGAAGAAGGCATCACTCGCTGTTCCCCTACCTGCTCCTTTTCTCTTGCAACTTGTGGTTTCAGTAACGTGACTACACACTTTCTCTTTCCCTTTCAGCCCGCTTTTCCCTTTAAATGTTGAAGCCCTCAAAATCACATTTGGATGATTTGGAGAAAGGCACAGACCTGTTTCTGAGGCATTGTCCTTAACTGTGGCACTTTTTTTTTTTTTTTTTTTTTTGAGACAGAGTCTTGCTCTGTCGCCCAGGCTGGAGTGCAAGTGGCGCGATCTCAGCTCACTGCAACCTCCACCTCCAGGGTTCAAGCGATTCTTCTGCCTCAGCCCCCAGAGTAGCTGGGACTACAGGTGCGTGCCACCACGCCCGGTGAATTTTTGTATTTTTAGTAGAGACGGGGTTTCGCCATGTTGTACAGGCTGGTCTCAAACTCCTGGGCCCAAGCGATCTGCCCACCTCGGCCTCCCAAAGTGCTGAGATTACAGGCATGAGCCACTGGACCTGGCCAAAATAAACTTCTAAATCAATTGTGGCCTGTGTCTGATACTTTTTGGGTTACATAATCAATCCCCAAGCAACCACTGTTTTCTTTCACTGTATTTTTGCCTATTCTTGAACTGCTTAGAAATGGAATCATATGGTATGTTTCTATTATGTGAAATCCTTCCTTGTTGTTGTATTCATAGTTTTTTTTTTTTTTTTTTTTTTTTTTTTTTTTTACTGCTGAGTAGTGCATTCCGTTTTCTGAATGTAGCACATTTACCTCCTTTTGAACATGTGGCTCTTTCTAGTTTTTGGCTGTTATGAACATTCTAGTATACCATTAATCTTGGCTAAATATACAGGAGAAGAATTCTGGGTCATGTGGCAGGTTAGCGTGCATTTTTGAGTTTTTCTCTACAAAGCTAGAGGTAGGTGTGCCTCACACTGCCTGGCCTGCAGGGGATGCTGTGAGGCTACAGAGGGGACAGTGGACTTGAAGTGTAGAGGAGCCTGGGGCCACCCCAAGTTCCAAGGCTTCACCCCTAGAGGCCACCAGCTGCCCGTCTCCCCACCTGAAGGACCTGCAGGGGCCTCCTTCCTCCGGCACACCTTTGCGGCAGCAGCTAAGCACATGGCCTTCTCACAGCCTTCAGTGATCGCCTTGGCCCAAGTCATGATCATGTCCCCAAGGCTCAGTGAACCCTCCCAGCTTGTCTCCCAGGCTGGGCTCGGGGCTCCATGCTTCCTCCTACAGACCCCCTTCCAAGCTCCTCATGGGTCAGTTTGGGGCCTGGCTTTCCTCTCATGGAGACAACCCTTCCCCTGCCAGGATGGCTGGACTGTCCAGTGAGAGCAGAGCCTTCTCTGGTGGAAAGATCTGCAAGGCCTACATGTGGGGACTCCAGGCCTTATGCTCAGGTTGTCAGTGGAGGGAGACACTCCAGGTCCCAGAGGGAAACAGCCCCTAGACTCCTCCTGTGCCCACCCTGCTCAGCCCATATGCCAGCCTGACTCAGGCCCTTGGAGGCCCTGAGCCCTGAGAAGTTGACACCCCCTGCCCTCCTCACTTCGACCGGAGTGAACCTCAGTGAGGATCAATACTAAATTGCAGGCCAGGCATGGTGGCTCACGCCTGTAATCCTGGCACCCTGGGAGGCTGAGGCGGGTGGATCACCTGAGGTCAGGAGTTCGAGACCAGCCTGGCCAACATGGTAAAACCCTATCTGTATGAGAGATACAGAAAATTAGCCAGGTGTGGTGGCAGATGCCTGTAATACCAGCTACTCAAGGAGGCTGAGGCAGGAGAATTGCTTGAACCTGGGAGGTAGAGGTTGCAGTGAGCCGAGATCACACCGTTGCACTCCAGCCTGGGTAACAAGAGTGAAACTCTGTCTCACCAAAAAACAAAAACAAAACAAAACAAAACAAAACAAAACCAACCTAAAAACTAAACTGCAAGGAAGGCCAACAAACTTATTTTTCTCATAACAATTGCTTGGATGCTTTTTTAAAAAAGTAAAATTAAAATAATCAGTGTGAACAAAATGATCCTTTTGTTTTCTGGTTTCTTGTCTTCCTCTGCCCCCCATGCCCTGGCCCCCTGCCCCCTGCCAGTTGGTTGGGGCCACTAGCCGGCAACACCTACACTTCTGGTCCCCCAGGCCCTTGGTGCCCAGTAGCCTGGGAGCACTTCAGGAGCCTTGGCTCCCAGGCCCTGCCCTGGCCTCGCCCTCTGCACCCTGACAGTCAGTAACTTTTGCTGAATGAACAAAATAATGCTTACATCAACTTTAGGCTTTTAGAATCCATTAATCCATTCTTTTCCAAGCAAAGGTGGTAATGAAAATGGAAAAGAAAACCATTCCAGAAAGAAGACAAGGAAGAGAGTGGAAACATATTGCTGTAAAATACACTGCCGTTTCAGACACCAGGAGCCTCCTCCAAGTCATTTCTTTCCCTTTGCTGGCCCTGGTGGCTTGCCAGGTTCTGGTGGCTTGGCGGGTTCTGGTCCCTTGCCCTGCTGGGGTCCTTTTTCCTTTCCTGGAGGAGGAACCAGCATATGCTTTTTGGCCTTCTTGCCTCTGAAGTGGTTTCTTTGAAGACACACATCGATAAAAGCAAAAACTCCAGCCGCACCAATAAGGATCTGGAAAACAAAACGGTCCTCATGACTTTTGCTTTTCATTCCAAAGGTGGTGAGTTTCCCTCCTGGTTTCTCATTCATCAGGGGGTGCTGTTTCACACATCCCCCATGTCCCCTCAAATGTCAACCATCTCTGAGAGGCTAGGAGCGTGCCTACTCCCTCAGCCTTTGCCTTCTCCACTCCCCCGTCCTGCCATCTCATCTCTGTTTCTTTTCTCTCTTGAAACCCAGCCAGAGTGGGACTGTTTGCTCTGGGGTCGGCAGCTACAGGAAGGAACTTGGGCTGGCTCCCCGGACATCATCTTTATTTAAATGGTGGTTCCGTTGGAAACATCTGTCTACTTTACTTTTTTTTTTTTTCCTTTGAGACGAAGTCTCGCTCCGTCGTCCGGGGTGGAGTGCAGTGCTGCAATCTCTGCTCGCTGCAACCTCTGCCTCCTGGATTTAAGCGATTCTCCTGCCTCAGCCTCCCAAGTTGCTGGGATTACAGGCATGTGCCACCATGCCTGGCTAATTTTTGTATTTTTAGTAGAAAATACATTTTCTACTAAATTTTGTAAATTTTGTGTTTTTGTATTTCACCATGTTGGCCAGGCTGGTCTCAAACTCCTGACCTCAGGTGATCCGCCCGCCTCGGCCTCCCAAAGTGCTGGGATTATAGGCATGAACCACTGCACCCGGCCTACTTAACTTTTAAACTTTGCTTTGATCCCAAGACTTTTGTGGAAAATAAAGAAGCCCTTTCCTTAAACAGAGGACAACACCCATCCTCCAAAAGAAGTGAATTCAGAGCAAATGCAAGGCCCAGCATGGAAAGACTCACCACAGCAAGTAAGTAGTGGAGATTCATGGATCGCCGACTTCTCACAGCAAAGACCACGGCTCCCACAAGGAACGCACAAGCAATCAGGTCGTTGAAGAGGTCCTGAAGGTGGAGAGGTTAGTCAGCCTCAGCCAAAGCCAGGGTCCCCATCAACAAACACTGCACCCTGGCTAGCTTCCTCCAAAGGAATGATTTGCAAATTTCCACCTGATTTTAAAATGTATGCATAAAGATAAACACACACCGGGCTAGGTGGACATATCTGTGGCCCTCCAGCTGGGCTTTTTAAATTGAAACCTAAAAAGTCCAGGATGCTAAAATGCCCTCGTGCTGAAGCCTGTGAAGTCACCAGCCCCCTCTTCTACCATCTCTCTGTGAAATCACACATTTGGTTTCTGCCTATGTCTCCTCCCACTAATACTCATTTATTATTTTTATTTTCTACTTTTTGAGACAGGGTCTTACTCCGATTATGCAGGCTGGAGTGCAGTGGCACAATTTCTGCTCACTGCAGCCTCGACCTCCTCAGGCTCAGGTGATTCTCCCACCTCTGCCTCCTGAGCAGCTGCGACTACAGGTGTGTGCCACCAAGCCTGCCTAATTTTTTTTTTGTGTGTATTTTTAGTAGAGACGGGGTTTCACCATGTTATCCAGGCTGGTCTCGAACTCCTGGACTCAAGCGATCTGCCTTCCTCGGCCTCCCAAAGTGCTACGATTACAGGTGTGGGCCACAGCGCCCAGCCAATACACATTTAAATAAATACACAACTATAAAACGTCATGATGTCCCTCTTAAGGACCCCACCACCGCCTTTCAGCTCCCAGGACCAGCTCCCCTCTCTGGAGTCTGGGTGGGCTGCACTGGCTCTGATGGACTCTAGCATCTCACTGGGAGCCTGGCAGCTTCTTCTGCAACCCCCTGCCCTCGGCCTGACTTCCTAGACCCCTTCCCCTCTTTGCAAGGCAGCACCACCTCTTCCTTCCTCAACCCTCCTGCCCATCCCCTGTGACTTCAGTCTCGCCCTCCCCATACCATATACGCATTTCCCTCCTGCTAGTGACAAGGCATTGCCAAACTTCTCAGAGCTGGCCAAACCATGGCCATAGCAGGCTGGCTTCCTCCCGCATTTCTCCTGGGCCTAGAGGATGGGGTGAGAAGCAGCTGATCCTGCAGCGCTGGAAGACACCTGCCATCCCCCTTGGTTTCTATAGTGCCATTTCCTGCTGTTGTCCTTTCCTGGCCACTTTGTTTCAGGCCTTTTCCTTTTTAATGTTTTGAATTTTGATACATTTCAAATGCCCAGAAAATAATAGAACATCCTATCCCCGACTCCCACCTCCACCAGGCCAGGAGCCACTGACATTTAACAGATGTTAACGTCTTGCCAACGTCCCCTTTAGGCCTCTTTGAAAACAAGAAGTCCAACTTCACGGATGGAGCTGCAGCCCCCTCGCTTCCTTCCCTTTTCCTGTCCCTCATGCCTCCCTCCTCCAACTTTTGGAAGCTGATGTGCAGTTTTCCTGTCTGAATTTGTGCTTTTCTACATATTATATATTTATAAACAATGTATACTATTTTGTGTATTTCAAAATACACTTTTTATATTTAAATAAAAAGTATCCTACCTTTCAATGCTTGCTTTTTGACTTTTGAGATTTATCCACATTGAGAAATATAGATTTATTAATTTTAACTGATGTAGCCTACTATATGAATGAACGAAATGAGACACAGGGTGTTTCTACCACTCACTGCAGTCTTGAACTCCTGGGCTCAAGTGATCCTCCCCACCTCAGCCTCAGCTGGGACTATAGGCACCTGCCACTGTGCAATTAAAAAAATTGTTTTTGTAAGCTGGGCGCAGTGGCTCACGCCTGTAATCCCAGCACTTTGGGAGGCTGAGGCGGGCGGATCACCTGAGGTTGGGAGTTCGAGACCAGCCTGACCAACATGGAGAAACCCCGTCTCTACTAAAAATACAAAATTAGCTGGGCGTGGGGGTGCATGCCTGTAATCCCAGCTACTCAAGAGGCTGAGGCAGGAGAATCACTTGAACCCGGGAGGCAGAGGTTGCGGTGAGCCGAGATTGCGCCATTGCACTCCAGCCTGGGCAACAAGAGCAAAACTCCATCTCAAAAAAAAAAAAAAAAAAATTGTTTTTGTAGAGGCAGGGCTTCCCTGTGTTGCCCAGGCTGGTCTCCAAGTCCTGGACTCCTGGACTCAAGTGATCCTCCTGCCTTGGCCTCCCAAAGTGTCGGGATTATAGGTGTGAGCCACTGTACCTGGCCTATGATGTCTTCTGTTGAAGTTTTAATTTTAATGGGATACATAGTCTGTCTCTCTCCCTCCCTTCCTCTCTGTCCACAAATCCCAGGGACATTTATTGAATATTCTATTCAACTGTTCTATAATGCTACCTCCGTCATATACCAAGTTGCCATATGTTTGTAGATCTATTTCTGAGTTCTCTTTTCTATCCCTGTATTAGTCTACTCAGGATGCCATAATAAAATATCCCAGACTGGGTGGCTTAAACAACAGACATTAACTTTCTCGCAGTTTTGGAGGCTGAAGTCCATGAGCAAGGTGCCAGGAAATTCAGTTTCTGGTGAGGGCTCTCTTCCTGGCTTGCAGATGGCTGTCTTCTCACTACGTTTTCACATGGCCTTTCTTTGATGCGTGCGTGTGTATGTGTGTGCATGTGTGTGTGTGTAGAGAGAGAGCAAGCGGGAGAGAGAATTCTCTGCTCTCTTATAAAGATACTGGCTGGGTGTGGTGGCTCACACCTGTAATCACAGCACTTTGGGAGGCCAAGGCAGGCAGATCACCTGAGGTCAGGAGTTCAAGACCAGCTAGGCCAACATGGCAAAACGCTGTCTCTAGTCAAAATTACAAAATTAGCCGGGCTTAGTGGCGCATGTCTGTAATCCTAGCTACTCAGGAGGCTGAGGCAGGAGAATGCTTGAACCAGGAGGTGGAAGTTGCAGTGAGCTGAGATTGTGCCACTGCACTCTAGCCTGGGTGACAAGAGCAAAACTCTGTCTCAAAACAAACAAACAAAAGACACTTATTTGATCAGGGCCCCAATGTTCTGACCTCATTTAACCTTAACTACCTCCTTAGAGGCCCATCTTCAAGTACAGTACAGTGGGGGTTAGGGCCTCAACGTATGATTTTGCAGAGTGGGAGACACAAACATTCAATCTGTAACAATTTTGTTAGTCTTCTTGTCAATCCCTGAGCTAGTACCAAAGCTTTATGGTAAATCTGATATCTTGTTGGGTGAGTCCATCCTTGTTAGTATTTTTTCTTCTTTGATAAGAATTTTAGAATCACCTTGTAAAAGTGCCATGAAAAACCCATGTTAGGTTGAAATTTTATTTAATTTATAGATTAATTCAGAATTGAATTGACATCTCTATGATAAGTTTTCATATTTGTGAATGTGGAATGTTTCTCTATTTACATTTTCCTTTGATGTCCATTACTAAAGTCTTATAATCTCTATGTAGTGTCTTACACATCTTTCAGTAGGTTTATTCTTAGACACCTTGTAGTTTGTGTTGCTGTTTTAAGTGATTTCTTTTAAAGAGCATTTTTTTTTTTTTGAGACAGTCTCGCTCTGTCACCCAGGCTGGAGTGCAGTGGCTCCATCTCGGCTCATGGCAACCTCTGCCTCCTGGGTTCTAGCGATTTTCATGCCTCAGCCTCTCGAGTAGCTGGGATTACAGGCATGCACCTCCATGCCTGGTTAATTTTTGTATTTTTAGTAGAGCTGGTGTTTCACCATGTTGGCCAGGCTGGTCTGGAACTCCTGGCCTCAAGTGGTCCACCCACCTCGGCCTCCCAAAGTGCTGGGAGTACAGCTGTGAGCCCCCGTGCCCAGCCAAAAAAATCCTATGTTTCTCATTGTTCATTGTTGGTATTCAGGAACACTACTGCTTTTGTGTCTGGTAACCTTGTGGAACTCAATCAGTTCTAGTGATTTGACTGTAGATTCTCTTAGATTTTCTGTGTAGATAATTCTATTAGATTTTTCCTCTTGTCAATCTCTATACCTTTTGTTTTTCTTGTCATATTGAACTAAGGTCTCTATCACAATGTTGAATACAAGAGAAGCTAGTAAGCATCTCTAAGGAAATGCTCCTGAAGTGTCACCTAAAATACAATTTGTGCAGGTTTGGATAGATGTCTATTTTATTTTATTTTATTTATTTATTTTTTGAGATGGAGTCTCACTCTGTCGCCCAGGCTGGAGTGCAGTGGCACGATCTCGGCTCACTGCAAGCTCTGCCTCCCGGGTTCATGCCATTCTCCTGCCTCAGCCTCCTGAGAAGCTGGGACTACAGGCACACATCACTGTGCCTGGCTTCTTGACACCTCTTTTATTATTTTTTAGACAGGGTCTCACTCTGTCACTCAGATTGGAGTGCAGTGGCACCATCAGAGCTCTCTGTAGCCTTGACCTCCTGGGTTCAAGCCATCCTCCCACCTCAGCCTCCTGAGTAGCTGGAACAACAGGCATGTGCCACCATGCTTGGCTAATTTTTAAATTTTTTTGTAGAGACAGGGTCTCCCTATGTTGTCCAGTCTGGTCTCAAACTCCTGGACCAAAGGGACCCATCCACCTCAGCCTCCCAACGTGCTGGGATTACAGGTGTGAGCCACCACACCCAGCCCAACAACCACTGATGGATGTTCTCACTCATTGTTCTGTCTCAATCTCTTATTTTCTCTCTCTCTGTGTGCTGTGTTCTGGGTAATTTCCCCATACCTTTCAGTTAACAGTTCCCTCCTTCAGCTATGTCTGATCTGTTTTTGAATTCATCTATTGACATTTTTATTTCAATAACTATATTTTCTATTCTAGACACTGTACTTTTTAAAAATCTGTCTATTTTGTCCTCATAGTGTCTTACTCTTTTCTCAGGACTCTTATGTCTATAATCCCTTAAAATATATTATTATTTTCAGACAGCTCTTCTATTATCTCATATTCTCAGGATTCTAATCCATTTGTTGTGTTTGTTGATTCTTAGTAATGGGGATTTTTTAAAATCAGGTGTTTAGTAGTTTTGAATTATTAGTTCATTTTTGACAAGGTTTTCCCCCCACCCCCACTGTGAGAATCTCTTCATGCCTTGATTGTGATTTTGCATTTGTTTCTATCAGGAGTCCAAGGATATCAGCAGAATGTCATCAGACTGGGATCAGTTTTTATGGTAATTCCCAGGGATGAAGGTTTCTGGGCTGCATGAAGGTTTCTAGGCTGCAGATAACAAAAATTCAAACTCCAATCTGTACAAAGGGCAGGCTTAAGCTTTCTATTTCTCAAGGAAGACTTCCTCTCCGCCCACTCAAAGCTCAGGCAGAGATGAACATGTTTTCTTATTCCTCTGTGTTGGGAATAAGAAGGGTATGTGTCTTTGTCCATCTTTTCCCTAAGGAGGTAGTCTTTCCAGGGCGCTGGCTTTATACAGGGTTTTCAGTTCTAAATTCCCACTTTGCTTAGGATCAAGGCCTTATTTCCTGACTTGAGAGTGCATGAAAATCCAGGCTGTAGGTTCCTGAGACAATACCTCTTGGACCATTCCCACTCATACTTTGTAGCTTATGTGATCACTGCCCTGTTTGCCATTTCTGGCGCCTGTGTGTTTTCATTTCTTTTTTGCCAGCTCATTCATTCAGTTAAAGCAATACTGGTTACATTTCCCCTGGTATTTTTAGGTAAGCACAGTGGGAAGATGTTCAGGGTTCATTGGTTTTTCATCTTGCTGGAACTAAAAATGTCTTCTCAGGCTCCTTGTTTAGGAACTTGTCCTCTGCCTGTCCTTTTACCTTGTCCTCTGCTTGTCCCTTTTCTGAGAGTCCTTATTTGGCCCTCCTGTCCTTTCTCCCTGTATCGGAGGTCCTCATCTGCTTCACCAAGACCTCTGGATCCCTGGACCCTAATAGTTTTTAACAAGAAGGCAGGATGAAATGTACTCATAAAGCTAAGTTTGAAGCTTTTTTCTGCTACTTACCAGCTGAGTGACCTGGGGGCAAGTTACTTGGCCATTCTAGGCCAATTTCCTCATGTGTAACGTGAGTGAAACAGTGAACAAGAGGGCTCTGGAGGCAGGCTGTGAATGTGCAATGAACAAAGGGACTTGGGAATTGGGGTCTTCATTGACTGGCAAGGGGTTAGGTGGTTGTGCCCTGTGGTTAAACAGGTGATGGGCAGGGATTCAATTCCATGAGTCCTCAGGCACGGTGTCAAGCAATTTACATTTAATCCTCAGGATTGAATGTCAGTTCTGCAAGGAATGTGACTGTCTCATGTTACAGATGAGGAAACAGGCTGGGAATGGTTTAGTAACTTGCCCAGTTCTGTCTCTTTCCACTAGATGACTGCTTTGGGCTGAACATCCTTCTGATCCAAACATCCTTTATAGGGATATTCACTGGAGACCTAACGCTGCTTTAGAAGTGATTTTTAAAAAAAATTCCCATTTTGTTTTATTTTATTGACTTATGGGAGAGTAATTTTCTTCTTTGAATTTTGGGAATGGGGTCCTTCTGGGGTGATCTCCTGTCAAGTGTGAGCTGGCACAGGAGTTCGGAGGAACAGCTGGTTGCTACACCTCCCCTTCCCCTAAAGAGAACAAAGGCTCAGGCCCTCTTTGACCACCAGGTAAGTAAGAGTTCCCCACTCTCACTCCAACACACAGATAGGCTTTTTGGAGCATTTTCTGCCTAGCTACCCCTCTTGCACCCAGCTGCCTCTGCCTGGGCCCCACTGATGTTCTGAGTCCCTGACCCAGGCACAGATATGGGAGGTGAGGTGTGTCTCTCTGTTTGGTGACTTTCCAGGTGCCAAGACACACCTGATCAGCATTCTGGATGCAGGCACTCCCCATCACCCCTTACTTACAGAAATGGGCCACAGGATGAAGGGTATGTATCTATGAATGGCAAAGCTGTACAGTAAGATGAAGAAGCTGAAGAAGGATATCTCCATGGTGATGATAAGCCTCAAGATGGGGTGCACGGTGAGTGAGGACAACAGTATCATTGCAGCTATTAGGCAGCCCTGCAGTGAGACATAGACACCTGAGCCAGCAGCAAGGGCCTTTCACCATCTCTCTGAGGACCCCTGGAGCCTACTCCTCCTTCCCCCCACCCTCGGCCAAGGCCCCCCACCCAGGGATACCAGTTTAGCTCACCAAACTCCGAATCTTGATCTCAGCGTGCCCCAAGAGCCAGAACTCTTTATTGCTGTCTTTTAATTCCCACCGGTAGCGGCGACACCCCCTCCTCGTGCCCACTTCGTGCTTGGGCTGCACCGCCTTTTGAGGTTTGTCCGATGGCTCCTTATGGTCCTGCACCGCCTTTTGAGGTTTGTCCGATGGCTCCTTACCGTCCTTCTTGTCTTCCTCGGGTTTGGCCCCGGGTGGAGGTGGAGCTGGTGCTGGCTCTGGCTTGGCCCCCTTTGCCGCCTTAGGTGCCATGACTGACTCGGTGTCCTTGGCTTCTCACAGCTGGCCTGTTTCTTCTCTCTCCTGCTGTTTCTGGGTAGGCCAGGCCTACTAGAGTGCCTGGTGTCCACCGAGCGGCTCAGAGGGCGTGCTCAGCTAACTGCCAGGACCACCGAATGCCAACTCCCGCGCCCTCTCCACGCGCGCCCGTCTCCTCGCGCAGCTCCCATCCGCCCGGCAGCGGCCGGATCCTCCCACCCTCCACGCGCCGGCCCCCGACGGGCCCCAACTCCGTTCCCAACCCGCCGGTCCCACCTCCGCGCGGAGCTGCCCTCGCGGTCCCATCCCGGCGTCTCCAGGTGGCCCCAGGTCTGTAAGCCGCCGCTCCGCTGCGGGGTCGGGGGGCTGCGAGCACCGGGTCACGGCCCTGAGCTCCGCGGGCGCAGCGCCAAGCGCAGGAAAATACAACGCGACTTTCACACAAGGCAACGAGAGGAAGCAGGTGTTCTCGATAAAAGCAGCAGCCCTAATTTTATGGTCACATTTAGGCTGGAATGGGTGACAGCATGCGAGCTCGGGGGTGGGCTCGGAGGCAGCGATTCGACAGACACGTGCATCTGCTAGGGCGCCGGGCTGGCTTCAGGCGGGCCTCTGCGGGGCGTCGGGGCCGGTTTCGGGGTAGGCGTCCTTGGCGGGGGAAAGCTTCCTTTCAACTTCGACTCCCAGGAATCTTTTCAAGTTGGTCCTCATCTTCGTGGTGACCACAAACGCATCGATGCAACACACGATTACCGCTGTGAGACACAGGGACTGTCAGATACAAGACCATATGCGGGAAGGAAAGACGGGGTTATTTTGCAGCTCAGTAGCAACCTCTCGAACCTATCCCTATCCAGGGTGGGCGCTGCGGGTGGCCTCCTGTCCCCTCTGACCCTTCACTACTTTCTTGGCGCCTGCCCAATTGGCTGCTGCAGGCGGATTCTGCCTTTCCCAGAAAAAGGGATTTTGGAAGTGGGGGATTTTGTTGCCAGTAGTAGCCTCGCTTGATGTCTGAGGCACCCGGAAAGGACTAGGGAAGGGCAGTGGCCCTAGGTGGCTGCAGGTAGGGGTTAGGTCCTGAGAAGCCCTCTCCGTGGAAAGACTTTTGGGCTATGTTTGCAAAGGGCAGGAAGGAGTTCCTAAGGGGAGGAGGAGGACCCAGGCACTGGACTAGGGTCTCTAAGGAATCTGGTGTGGCCAGGACCTCCAGAGCCGCTGAGAAGGGGGCAGAGTTGAGGCTGGAGAGGTGCAGGATCTGGGACTCTATCAGGAGGTCAGGTGTGAGATTCAGAAAACCTGCTTGCAGTGTTCATGAGGTGAATGGAAGGTGAACCAGGCTGGAGGCAGGAAGACCAGTGCGTGGTGGGGTGGGATGCTGCCATCCAGGTAAGAAATGGATACCTGGGGGTGGGAACCCCTGGCAGTAGAAGGAGTGATAGCGGAGTCAGCCGATGGGGACCAGGGGCTGATGGCACAGATATTCCCCTGTGCACTCCGGGACTCTTGACAACCTTGGATGTTTCTCTTTATGGTCACTTAATTCCTGGCTGCTTAATGAGCTTTTCCTAGGTATGTCTTGCCCCAGTGAATCTGTGAGCTTCCCCAAAGGGGAAAGGGCTCTATCCCCAGCACTGAGCTCATGTCTGGCACAATCAATGGGATTGACAGATATTTATTGATTATAGAATGAATTCAAATGAACTCTTTTTCTGCATTAATTTCTGTTCTCATTGTTTAACTTCTTGAACCAAAGCCCTACCTCCCCTCCCAACCCCCTGAATCTTCCAAGCATTTGATCTGCCATTTCTTTTGAGTCCCAATTTGTCCCAGTCTTGTGGCCCAGAGCAAGGTATTTAACCTCAGTTCCTATATCTGTACAAATGAGAGTTGTAAAGATTAAGTCAGAGTGTGCCCTGCTTGGTGCAGGGCATATACTGGGCACTTCAACATGTGGCAGTTTCCTTCCTTCCTTTCTTCCTTCTTTCCTTCCTTCCTTCCTGAATAGGCTGGATTCCTCACTTTAGACAGTGCACTTTTCCCCCCTTACAATCTCTCTTATCATCTGTCTTTAAAATACAATTCTCTAGTCCAGAAAATCAAAGTCCTATTTATAGACAAAAAGATCTTGCTTAACATTTCAAAAATAGTGTCCACAATTCTCAAAAGGGGTTTAGCAGACTCTTGTTTTTGTACCTATTTGGAGAATGCATGTTAGAATTAAGATTTTCATGAGCTCAGAGTTTGTGCAACTTCATATCACCTGAAGAAGTCAGTGCAAGAAGGAGAGTG
The DNA here is from genome assembly GCF_000001405.40 of Homo sapiens. Lineage (NCBI taxonomy): Eukaryota > Metazoa > Chordata > Mammalia > Primates > Hominidae > Homo > Homo sapiens. The sequence continues at coordinate 66,577,312 of NC_000016.10, read as the reverse complement.
GGTGGCAGTGGGGATTTTGCTTGGTTAATGATATAATGGGGTCTGCCAATTTCCCTTTTCAAAGTCTTGGAATACTGATCTTAAATGGAGTCATGAAGGCCTCTACTTACCCCCCCGACATAGAGTAAATGCCTTCTTTTCTTTTCTTGCATGGCCAAGATGGCAACTACTGAAAGGAACACAGCTGTAATGATACTGTTGGTAAGATCCTGTAATAAAGAATTGAAAATTATCAAGTTTACACAACAATATAATTTCACAAATATTTAAACTGGTCAATTACACATCTAAGAATAGATGCCTTTAAAAAACCTTCCATTTGATTAAGATGAGGAGGAACCTTCAGAGGCATAATTCTTACATCGTCCAGAGACATGAGTTTATGTGGTTTTAAGATCCTAGATATGACTTTGTCTGTAGAAACGGGTTTATTTTCATTAAAGAATACCATTAGAAAAAAAGCTAACAACTTTTTCCTTAAAGGGAATAGGAAAGTGAGCATGAAAAAACCTGGTGGTCAAGGGGCCTATCCCAAATTGGCCCTCCATAAATGTGATTTTTTTTGGGAAGTCTTATATTTTTTAATGTAAATTCTGCATTCTATTCCATAACTCATTTGTTTTAATATAAAAATAAAATTTTAGATGAGCACTTTAATTATTGGTTTACTTCTTCTCCCAAATCTGCAGGTAAAGCCAACGCTCTGGAAATTGGGCCACATTTATTCTGTGAGTTCATGTGTCCCAAGAGCATATGAACTCATCTGAGGAGCAGGCCTGATATTCTGGAGTGAATGTTTTTTGCTCTTTCCTGAAACATGGCCAGAATTGGGTGTGCCCCGACATCTGCAGGCTCATTGTGCTCCTTCTTCTGGGTTTCAATTGGATTTCAGTCCTGAGTTCTTTTTTTTTTTTGAGACAGAGTTTCGCTCTTGTCACCCAGGCTAGAGTGCAATGGTGCGATCTTGGCTCATTGCAACCTCCGCCTCCCAGGTTCAAGCAATTCTCCTGCCTCAACCTCCTGAGTAGGTGGGATTACAGGTGCCTGCCACCACACCCAGCTAATTTTTGTATTTTTTAGTAGAGACAGGGTTTCTTCATGTTGGCCAGGATGGTCATGAACTCCTGACCTCAAGTGATCCACCCGCCTCGGCCTCCCAAAGTGCTGGGATTATAGGCGTGAGCCACCGCGCCCGGCCAGTCCTGAGTTCTTTAACTGCTAGCCCAACCTGCTTCTTTGTGTGCTGAAATGAATAGTGAGGATGAGTGCGTGGCAGTGCCCTCCTGGGTGAGCAGTGGCTGGGTTTCCTTAGCAAAACAATAATGGAGGAACGAGTACACAGTGTGTCAGTGGCAGCAGTGTATGGCTATGGGCAAAAGCCCAGAGGACATAACCACAATATGGGCCAGAGAGCTAATCTGAATAGCTCAAGTCTTTGAGTGTTGATGGTCTGCCTTGGTAATGGCAGCCTTTCTGGCACACTCGTCCAAACACAGCAAGAAGCACTGCCATCCAGTGTATGGTATCATGGAATCACAGTGGCTCCAATGGAGCTCTTTGATGTGTCAAGCATTTCCCAGTCCATCATTTAACCTCATTTAACCCTCACAAAGCAGCCTCCAAAGTCAGAATTGCCATCATCCCCAGTTTACAGAGGACATGGTGGAGGCTTGGAGTTTTTCAGTTGCCTAGGATTGAATAATGGGTGGAATCAGAACTCAACTCACTATTGCCTCCCATGAGGGACACCCAAATAAGGAGGAAATGAGCTATTCTCCCAGTCTGGAAGTGCAGCATCCAATCCATCTTTGGCATTTTCTGTGGAATGGGTCTGGAGGGTCAAAATGATACAGTACCAGTCAGTTGAGTATTTTTGTTGATGAACTCTTTTGGCCTGCCAATTCCTAGATTGGGCGTATTTTATCACCCATCTGCCAACTTGCTAATTTGTAATATGGGGATAATGACTGAGGTTCATTGGCTCTGAGGATTAAATGGCATAATGAATCTGAAAGCATCTGATAACATGCCTGGCATCTAGTAGCTGGTGGGAGTGCATCAAAATGTAGGTTCATATCTGCCCTCAAAATGTTAACAGATAGTAAACTCTCTGCAAACTCCAGATGTTCTTCCTATTGGGGCTGGCGACCGAGGAGCCCTCTTGTGGAATGTGACTTGCCTCTTGGAAAGGCACTAATGCCTACTGTTTTGGTGCCTGGTAGTTAATGCTGGAACAGGGGTATGTAGCAGGGCTGGTGGAGGTTGGAAGTAAGTCCCAGCTGGGTTCTGCAGGCTGAGCGAGAGGTCTGCCCATAGTGGGCAGGCCTGACTGAGGCAGGTACAGTGGTTTGCAGCTTTGCAGGAAGCTTACACCTGAGGATTGTATAAACCAAGGTAGTCAAAGATGTGAACAAGGATTCTTACAACTGAGAAGCAGAGTATAAACTTCAAAAGTCAAATATTCTTTTTTAAAAATTGCTCTCTGTTGGCCAAAATATCTATATAACCGGAGCTCAGTTTCTCTGACCACTAACCAGCTGTGGTCTTAGATTACAAGAATTTGAACAAACGCACATCATTAATGATAATAATAAACCAACCACAGACCAGGCCCAGCCAGTCTTTGACTTCCTGTCATAATTTTATCTCCTTGTTGGACTATGGACATTATAGTTTACTGTGGTCCTTACTTACAAAGAAGCGCTCTCCTGAACTGTCCATTGGAGCTAAGGTTTGCCTTGCATCTAACATTTCTATTGTAGCTAGCTCACATTTATTGAGCACTTACTGTGCCAGTGTGTTAATATGTGATCTCATTTGATTCTCACAACAAACTCTCATTATCCCCAGTTTACAGATGGGTAAGCAACTTGCCCAGGGTTGTTCAGCCAGTAAGTGGCTATGACCTTGGGCAGTCTGATTTGAGTGCCCATGAGCCTTCTTCCTGCTAACCTCCTCCCTTTTGCCTTAGACACAGACTCTCTTATTTGCCTCATCTGGGCAGAGAGACAGATATCCCTGATGGCTGTGTTAAAATTGCAGCTGAGCTTGGCCATGTGTGGGAGGACTTCCACTTTCCTCATAAATACCATCCTTACTTGTTATATTTTTCTTTCTCCGCTAAATACCTTATTGACTCAAGTAGCCTGCTCTGACTAAAATGAGAAATGTGTTTTTTCTTGACAATTTTTCCATAAAGCTTCCAAACTATTCTCTGAGATATTAAAATCATGTAGAATTATAAGTAGGAAAGAGAAAGATGCCTTAATGGTGAGTGCTTATTATTAAAAAAAAAAAACACTGAATATTAGGAAAAAAGTTAAACAGGCCAGGCACGGTGGCTCATGCTTGTAATCCCAGCACTTTGGGAGGCTGAGGTGGGTGGATCACCTGAGGTCAGGAGTTCGAGACCAGCCTGGCCAACATGGTGAAACCCTGTCTCTACCAAAAATACAAAAATTAGCCAGGCATGGTGGTACGTGCCTATAATCCCAGCTACTCAGGAGGCTGAGGCAGGAGAATTGCTTGAACCTGGGAGGTGGAGCTTGCAGTGAGCCGAGATCGTGCCACCGCATTCCAGCCTGGGCAACACAGTGAGACTCCATCTCAAAAAAAAAAAAAAAAAAAAAGAAAAACGTTAAACATGATTTGTTTCACAAAATGTAGTATTTGTAATAGGAATTTACATACAATGAATATTATCTGGTATTCAATTAACTGCAACTTTCATTGGTTTCATTTTTTGTTTTAGTTTAAAATGTTTATTCCTTTTAAAAAATTGCTTTCTGTTGGCAAAAACATCTGCTTCACCAGAACTCAGTTTCTCTGACCATGCTGGATTATATTCTTTATGATGTAGAAGTGTTTAAAATATGAGCTATTTAGAAGACAATAATTCAAATTCATAATTTCTTACGATCTTGGTACCTGACACTAGGCTAGAGTGGGGCGAGTTGGTAAACCTAAAAATGAAGAGCATGTGTGGGGTGAGGAAAATTGTACTTTTCCTAGCTTTGATGCAGACTTATGCTGGTAAAAATGGGTTTAAATTTTAAATTAACTTTATTTACTGATTTAATTCCACTCTCAAGTCTGCAGGTAAAACCAGTGCTGTGGAAGCTGGCACATTTATTCTGTGAGTTCACATGAATCAAGAACGCCAAGAGCCCATCTGAGGAGACCTCATAGGCCCTAACATAGGTTAGGGGTTGAAAGCAGGACCTGTGTCTTTCCCATGGTGTCAGGGTCCCTGGCACACCCTTCACAGCTGCAACTCAGAGACTGAGTATGGGTCCATCCTCTGTCCAGAGGAGGCGGCCTTGACAAAATATGGTCCCAGAGCCCACAGATCTGAGCAGGTCACCTGTATCTGCAGTAAGTTCTCTTTGGGGCTTCCCTGCTGAGTCCAAGCCCTGATGTATCACAGTCTGTCTCCCTGGTGGAGACTTTTACCCTCACCCCTTTTTCAAACAATAATCGGAATAGGGAAATAAGGAACTCTATCCTTTTATGAGCCTTTAAGTTAGAAATCGCCACTTAAAGTCAGTACTCCTTACCCTAATCCCATACCTCCTGGGAGCCAAGCCTTCTTGCCTGGAGGGAAGGGCTGAAAGGAAGTGGTAGCTGCATGCTGGGCACTCTCAGCTGTGGGCAAGCCTCTGAAGCTGTGCAGAGCCCGACTCAAACAGTTCTAGTATGAAATTGACCGTGTGTTCTGTGGCTTCCTGCACTGACCTTATCATAAGGTCCCAAGTGACTCCTGAAGCTTGATTCTAAGCCTGCCTACCTTCTGAAGTGCCAAGTCATCACCTCCTAGCACCAATACCCTCACAAAACTAGCACATTCCCTACTGTGCCAAGGCCTCCCAGTGTAGCTACTTGCCCCTCTGAAAAATTGTGTAGGTACACATCCTTCATCTCACAGAATCTGAAAGAGCACATTTGAAAGGAAGGGACTGGATAGGAGAAGAGAACACAATTTGGGTCCTGTTTTGATGAGTCTTTTTCAAAAACTTCCAAGTTAATTAAATCACTTACCATCTGACCAACTGTGTGGTTGCTCAGTATGTGTCCTGCTAGTGTGAACTGAACATCAGAATAACTGGGCAACCATCTTGGTAACAGAGAGTTTCCCCACCATGAAGCTCCTGGGAGCTCACAAGGCATATCCTGTGCTGTGCTAGGTCTGGCCCATGCTCTCGAGGACAGTAGCAGGAAAGGACAGGGGCTCCGAATCACCTCTGGGCTCCCAGTCATCCCCAAAAAAGAGGATACTGTCACTTAAGACAGACACAGCAAGGGGGCCTGGCTTTATTGGAGTTGACCAAAGGCCTGTAACCCTGCAAGAGCTGGGCTGAACTTCCTGTGACCACTGTGAGAACAGGTTCTCTCATAGGACACTCACGGTTCATGCTCAGGAGATCCTAGTTCTTACCTTTGTCTGGGATACTTCTTGGGCATTACCACTGAACCCTACAGCAAAGTATGATGTCTCCTGGCCCTCTCCAGCTTTATGTGTGGACCCAGCCTGCATGAGTCCATTTCTCAGAGGGCTCTGATCCTCCTGACCACAGCTGATGGTGCTGTGGAGCCATCAGTCACCCACCCCCAAGGGCCTGTGTACACCCACCAGGATAACCAATTCACCTTTGGTGCTGTATTTTAAGAAAAGCATGAGGAAACAAGATACAGAGATAAAATTTAGAGAAGCTGAGGAGGACATAAAGACATAGTTTCACTGAGTTTCTTACCTTAATGGAGAATGGAGATAGAAAACCATCACAAGATAATAGGTTGTAAAGTCTGCAAAGAGTCTGGGCTTTAGAGTCAGATAGACCTGGGTGCATATCTGAGTTTCTGGCACCTACATATGGCTACTGAATTGAATTCAATTGGCAACTGAATGTCTTTAATCCAATTTTCTCATCTGTTAAATGAGGGGTGAGGGGTGACCATAACCTCACTGGGTTGTTGTGAGGATTAAATAAGGTGACATGAAAAAGTATCTGGCACATGGTATATGCTCAAAAATGGTTACTTTACCTTCCCTTCTTGAAAATTTCCACGGACAGAGATTTGAGTTTCCCCTGAGAAACCTCTCCATAACTAAAAGGGTCTTCCACATGTTCAATTAAAGTTGCTCATATTTGCTTTGTCTGCTTCCTGTACTCGGCATTCTGTGGGACAGAGAGAGCTCAGCAGCCTTTGAGAAAATCTCTCACAGATTTGAAGACAATGTTTGAGTTTTAGCTCAAAAGGAACATTCTGACTTTAAGGTTAGAAAAATGTTCTATAAGGAAGTGGGATGTGGAAGAGGCCTAAGCTCTGAATTAGGATTGTTCACAGCGCAAGACAGAATGGCAAACGCCACCCAGCTATCTGATGGGTCTGATGGGTGGCTGTTCTTTTTGGACATTAGAATATTTAATTTGTGTCACATACTATGTTATTGGCTTTGCACACATTTAAATGTTTCAGGAACCCTATGAGGTAGTTATTATCATACTTTTCCTTCTCTGTATTTCTTAAATGGGGAAACTGAGGCTAAAGGTTACATAGCTAGTAAGGTGGCAGGACCAGAATCTGGGCCTATGGCTGCCTCTGGACAAAACCGTACTGCCTCTCTAGTCTGAGACCTGAGGGGTTAGCTTTAGCAATTGTTCAGTTGGCAAAGAATGTGAAAGTCTGGGAAAAGCTATTAAAGAAGGCTCTGTAATGTCTTTTTCTGGATAGTCCGGCACCTCTTTGTGATATGGACCCTAACACACACACACAGGTTGACTACAATCTTTAAGTGTATGCACGGCAATTTTCTACAATGCCATCATATCAACTTTTGCTTTTGGGGAGAATGTTTATAATCAGAGTGCTCTCTGCAAAGTAGAAGCATGCACTGTTGTACAAGCAATGGCTGAGAAATGTGCTTACCTACTTTATATACTAAGTATATATATTTTTTTAGGACAAGCTGAAAAGTACCATGTGTCTAGTGCCATAATGAGGGGTTTTACACTCAGGGCTGGAGCAGCGGTGTGTTGGCTGTCCTGCAGGCACAAGGGTTCAAGGAATCCTTCTGGACCAGGGCAACACCCTAACTGTCACAGCTCAGCTATGTCCTTGTCTAGAGAGATAGCTCCGTTGTTTTCACTTAAGGAGAGCCCTTACTCTGGGGCTGAGGGCAAAGCTTGGATTTGAAGAATTGTAAAAATGAACACTTACAAGTAAGGGCCAATGTAAATAGGTCAGCAAGTGGTGAAGGGTTAGCACATATATTAGAATAAAAAAAACGACAATGCAGATTTCCAGACTTGTGATTGTTATAAATGACTCATTGGCTTGGGTGATGATGAAACAAGCTAATGCTCCTAAGATAAGACTCTGCAATAAAAGAAACAGGATTTGTTTTAATGCATGATTTAAAAAAATCTACATTGTCAGAATGTAAATCTGATTATATCACAGTACAGTGGCCTGTATTGTTTTGCACATACATTTTTAACATTTCTTACATTTTGAAGAAATGAAATACATGAAAATAATAAAAAAAGCACACAGTATAGAAGGATAAAATAATACCAATTTCTTTCTCTTCCCCCAACCCAACCTTAGTCTCTCTCCTTAAAAGTAACCACTATTAACAGTTTATATTTCATACTAGAAAGAAGTCTGTATATATACTGGTAAAGTACATATACATTGATTTTGGTAGAAACAGTGAGGAAGAGCCTCAGTTTTCTTTCTTTCCAAACAGCTGCTGATTATCTCAACATCATTTATTGGGAAATGCCAGTATTATCCCTATTGATCTGAAATCCAACCTTTATTGTATACTAAATTCTCAGATGTAGTTCGGTCTCTTGAGACTGTTCTCTTCCATTGAATTGGTGCTTCCTTCTCTAGTACTCTAAGTTATAGACAATTCACTCTATACTGAGTTATTGTTTCACCTAGTCTTCCTCTTCTTACTCATTCTCAGACTGTTTATGTCTCCCATGTTTGTGTTGGTCAAGTTCCCCAGACTAAGCCTGTTGGCATTTTAGTTGGGATTTCTAAATGAAATACTTACTTATAATTTGGAAAAATTACAGAATTTAGTTTTTCTCAAGAACAAAATATATCTTTCCAGTTATTTTAGTGGTTTTTAAAAAATATCTCTCAGGAGAGTTTTAAAGTTTTCTTCCCATATGTGTATCACATTTCACTTATTTTTAGATATTTGATCATTTTTGATGACTGTTGTAAACAGAAATATTTTCTTATATTTTAAGTGGTTATTTGTCTAGGAAAGCTTTTATTTATTAACACAATAACGAGTCACCTGACTAAATCATCTTGCTCTAAATTGTTTCCAGTTGATTTGTTTTTTTCTAGATATGCAATTACATTAGCTGAAAGAAAGCATATATTTTACCTCCTTTTTTTTTTTTTTTGAGACAGTCTTGCTCTGTCGCTCAGGCTGGAGTGCAGTGGTGTGATCTCAGCTCACTGCAACCTCTGCTTCCTGGGTTCGAACAATTCTCCTGCCGCAGCCTCCCGAGTAGCTGGGACTACAGGCGCGTGTCACTAAGACTGGCTAATTTTTGAATTTTTAGTAGAGACGGGGTTTCACCATATTGGCCAGGCTGGTCTTGAACTCCTGACTGAGGTTATCTGCCTACCTTGGCCTCCCAAAGTGCTGGGATTACAGATGTGAGTCACTGCGCCTGGCCACCTCTTTTCAAATATTATTTCCCATTCCTAATTATGATGACTAGTGGTTTCAGAAAAAATTGACTCATGGTGTAGGCATCATTTTTCCCCTCATTTAATAAATAATACTTCTGATATTTAATTAAATATGCTGACTCTTAGTTTGAAATGTTTATTTTTACAATGTCAATGGAATATTTATATACTCCTATCTTACTGGTCTCCCTTCTTGGCAATCAGGGACAAATGTTGAATTTTGTCACATGTTCTGTGACATAATCTCCTAATTTTTTATAATGTGATAGATATAATCTCATTTTCACTTTTACTTCTAATACAGTGAATTATTTTAATAGAATCTTAATATTGAATCATCCTGTTTCTTTCTTGTGGTATTGTATTTTCAAAAAATACTGATGAATATTATCTGCTAATAGATTGACATTTTGTTCTGATGCAAGTGAGATCTCTACTTCGTTTTCTTTTTCTGAACTCAGTCAAGTTTTCCTATCAGTATTATACTGATTGTGTAAAGATAGTTCAGAAGTTATTTCTTCTTTCTCTATTCTTTGACAAAGTTAGAGTAGTGTCAGAATTATATCCCATGAAGGCTTGAAAGAGTTAACTTGTAAAAAGGTCTGGGCCTGATACATTTTTGAAAGATACTCATTTGCTAAAATTCTCATTTTCTTCTATGTTTATATTGCCCTGTTTAGATTTTTCCCTATTCTGGGATCAGTTTTGGTGATTTACATTATTCTGGAAAATCAACCATTTCATCCAATTATTCACATCTATTTTGCAAGGTACTCCTGTAGATCCTTTCAGTTTTGCTGATGTTTGTGATTATTTTCCCCTTCTGGTTTCTAATTTTAAATATATGTCTTTTCTTCCCCCTTTTTTTCTTGGTTGGCCAATGGCTTATCAATTTAATAGGACTTTCAAACGACAGCTCTTGTATTGACTGATTCTATTATTTTTGTTTCCTAACTTATAAATTCCTATTATCTTCATTGCTTCCCTAATTTCCTTTGTGAGAGGAAACTGAACCAACCCAAATGTCCATCAATGATAGACTGGATAAAGAAAATGTGGCACATATACACCATGGAATACTATGCAGCCATAAAAAAGGATGAGTTCATGTCCTTTGCGGGGACATGGATGAAGCTGGAAACCATTATTCTCAGCAAACTAACGCAAGAACAGAAAACCAAACACTGCATGTTCTCACTCATAAGTGAGAGTTGAACAACGAGAACACATGGACACAGGGAGGGGAACATCACACACTGGGGCCTGTAGGGAGTGGGGGACTAGGGGAGGGATAGCATTAGGAGAAATACCTAATGTAGGTGACGAGTTGATGGGTGCAGCAAACCACCATGGCGCGTATATACCTATGTAACAAAACTGCACGTTCTACACATGTACCCCGTAAGTTAAAGTATAATAAAAAAAAAAAAAAAAGAAAAAATAGGGAAAAAAAGAGGCAAGTTTAGTAGGAAAGGTTTAGTGTGTGGGGAGCAGGGGGTGGTGGGGAGGAAAGGTGAGGCAAAACAAAGGTGAGTGGCAAAGTGAATTATGGAAGGTTTCTGGAGCTGGCACCCCGTGGGCATTTCCCCGAGGCCACTGCCGGCCACATCCGCCCAGCTAGGTCTCACCAGCTCTCCGCTCACCAGTCTCAGGATCTTCAACATTCCAGTGGGCGAGAAGGAGAAACGTTTGAGGCTGTCCCTGAATTTGTACGGGACTTTGGCTCGGCCCTCCACGCGCTCTTTGATCGCCATCTCATTTAAGAGTTTGGATTCAGTGTGTGCAGAGGGCGTGGGGGGTGGGAGTGTGGGCTTTGGGGGTGGGCGTGTGGTGGCTTTCCTTGAGGGTGCGGTGCCCTCACTGCCTTGGGGACGTGCGGCGGCTGCGGACTGCGCACTGCGAATTGAGACTGCGGGGTGCTTCCGGGGTGCGGTCTTCGCTGAGATGTTGCGCTGTGCCTTGGGTACAGAACTCACTACGCTGCCGCTACTTGCCAGGGCTGCGGCAGTCTCCGGTTGTTTCAAGTTCCCTGAAGGTGCCTCGGATGACTCAGGTTTGGCGTGTTCAGGATCCATGGTGGGTCCCTAGGGCCTGGCCGTCTGAACCAGTGCCGCGGCAGCGGCTGGCTCTCCCCTGGGAACCAGCGTCGCGTCCCAACGGCTGTTGGCTACCTCCCCGGCGCGTGCACCCGGCTCTCGCTGCCCCACCGACAAGCCGAGCCCTTCAGCCACCCTCATTGCCACAGGGGGTGCAATGCCACCGCCTAGCCCGAGAACTCAAAATCTCTGCAACCCCACACCTCGGAGCTGCCGGCCAGCCAGGCAGTAAAGAGATTCAAAGATCCCTGAGGCGGATCCCGGCACATTCTTCCCTGCCACCCAGGCCCGGGTGCCGGAAAACCCGATCCCGCTGCTCCCAGCGCTCCCTTGGAAGTTACAGTAGTGCTCTGCGCGGGGTGCAGACTTCGGAAATCTCTTCCTCTAGCTCCTATACTGAGTTAAAATAACTGCAGAAAATATGTGGAAGAATACAGAAATATGTTTAATACTTAGTATCAAACTAAAAAGTAATATAAAATTACAAAACTTCTTTTTTTTCATGCACAGGCTTTTTCTGGTAAGGACCGCTGGGATTGAACAGAAGCTTCCGGTAAATAAGGGCCCCGTCGGCAAGACAGCATACTGCTGTCACAAGTGCAAACACCTGGAAAGAAAGACAAGTGTCACTGCCCTAACCATGGTCCCCACTCCTGTCATTCACACAAGTTTTAAGTGGTCTGCCCACCAGATTCCTCTCTTGCTAGGGTACTCGGATTGCTCCCTGTGCTTCATCTAATACTAACATGGAGAGACTTCAGAGATCATCTTATTCTCCTCATTGCTAAGTTTTCTAAATACTTGCCTATAGAAAGAGAAAAGATAATTTAAGTGAGCAGAAAAATAATAAAGCAGTGTGGGCTCTGAAATCCATACTTGTTTGCTTTTATCTCTTGACCTGCTCTTGCATGTATTCTTTTAAGCCCTACTGAGGATATTTAGTTATTAATATTTCTAACCCCAGTGTTCAACTCTGACTTCTCTACTGACAAACTCTACAGAAGAAAAGGTCAAAGTTAACACCAGCTCAATATTAAATCATGGGGACTGTAGCTCCAGAAAACTGGAGTTAATAAGATGATCCAAAGTGAACTCTCAAAGGCTAGGCTACATCTGCTTAAAGGGTGAGATTCTAAATAGACCTTAAGAAAGTAAAATTAGATAAAAACAATAACTAAGAACACGTGGGGGCCTTCAGACACTCTGATGGCTATCTGAGAGCTGGTGCCTGGGGTGGGAGAGGGGGATGTCATTCCTTGCATGCTGTTTGGTCAGCTTCTTCCAGTCATCAGGAAGTTTGGCTTCCTGGCTCCAGACATGGCTCTCACAGTCTCCTTTTCCACCCAGAGTCTCAAGCCACTGCCTCCTAGGTTCTGACCACACTGAATACCTCCTACCAATCTTTTCATGACTGGCACTCTGTACACTATTGGCTCCTCTACCTGGAACCTTTTCCATTTTTTTTCCTTTATTCTCAGCAAACAGCAATTCCACTGCCAGAGAGGTAGTTTCCTCTTTTCTGCACCATGCAGCTCCCTGTCAACAGCTTATATACAGCGGTTTCCACTTGTGTCTCCTGTGTTAAGCTCTAAGCAACTTGAGGACGGGGCTCACACTCTAGTCAGTGCTGTCTGAAAGCAGCATAATATGAGTCACCAGTGTAACACAGCCACATAATTAAAGATTTTTTAACAGCCACATTATAAATGTAAAGAAAAAAGTCGGCCGGGCGCGGTGGCTCACGCCTGTAATCCCAGCACTTTGGGAGACCGAGGCAGGCGGATCACGACGTCGGAAGATCGAGACCATCCTTGTTAACACGGTGAAACTCCGTCTCTACTAAAAATACAAAAAATTAGCCAGGCATGGTGGCGGATGCCTGTAGTCCCAGCTACTTGGGAGGCTGAGGCAGGAGAATGGCGTGAACCCGGGAGGCAGAGCTTGCAGTGAGCTGAGATAGCACCACTGCACTCCACCAGCCTGGGCGACAGAGACAGACTCTGTCTCAGAAAAAAAAAAAAAAGAAAAAAATAAGTCATAGATTTTAATATATTTAGCTCAGTATGTCTAAAATATTATCATTTAACATGTAATCAACAAAGTTATTAACAAAATATTCTACATTCCTTGTTGGGGGTAATAAATCTTTGAAATTAAATGTGTATTTTTATACTTACAGCTGATCTTGATTCAGACTAGCCACATTTCCAGTGCTCAGTAGCCCCATGTGGCTAGCAACTATGGTTACTATACTGAATAGCACAGCTCTATATTTTGTCAGCCCCTGCCAAAGTACACTTAAGAAATGAGTAAATGAATGAATGAGTAAAAAAGTGAATGAAAGTAAATCCTATGCCTGGTCCTTCCTTCTTCACAGTAGAAAGATGAGTATTATCTTCAAAAACAACTGGGGGAAATTGATACAGAGCTATCTCATTTCTAGAATAATTCTGACTCCTCATGAAGTTGCTCAGGGCCTAAGGGAGATGAAAATCATGGCTTCTGACATATATGGCTGAGAGTTCTCCTAAGTGACCCATACTATGAAAGAACATGGAAGTAGGAAGATTTATTTAAGAACTTTCTAATTCAATTCTCTAGGTCAGAACCTAGAAAAGCTAAATGATTTTGAACCTTGTATGAGAAATCTTAGAAGAATATCAGATAGAACTATAACTAAATTACTTGAGTCATATTCTGGCTTGCTTTCTAGGATGAGGTCTGATGGAATTGATCTGCTTCTCTTCAAGCCGGGTTCAAAATGATCCTTTAGTTGCAAGGTGCCCTGCCAATGTTCTCTTACCGTAAGGACATCATCTATTATATTCTATCTGAAGGATCTGAACAAGAAATAACTGAGCTCAAAACAGTCTGTCTCATCTTAACAAATGGTATGTATCCTTTTCTGTAAAAGGGAGAGCTATGAAACTCATCCATCCTTTTGTTTTGTTTTGCTTGACATCAGGTTTCTCAGAGCTAAGTGCTGTAACTGATTCCAGTAGCTTTTGTCAGTCTAGTCTAGCCCTACGTACCTATAAGAAATCTGTAGGAACCCCTTTATTGGGTTAATTCTGCTTCTAGTATAAAATCATACTCCTTCATGTTAATCAGGGCAAGCATTCACAGACAAAAATATTAAGCCACTAGGCATTGTATATTGGCCTAGGAATCTCAAGGATGAATATAGTATAGCTTTCTATTCTTACATCTGTTTTCCAAGTAAATTTGCATTCTGATAAAACCTGAAGAAAGCAAGCAGAAAGACTTCCACTTACCCCTCCACCAACTGTCAATGTTGTGGTTTCTGGTATCAGTGCCAACACAGATACGATGAGCATGAATACTGTTGTTACCAGTGAGTTGATAATATCCTAAAAACACACAATAAAGCTGAGCCTTACATGAAGACTACCAAGCAATGCTAAAAAGGAAAAACAAAAAACAAAAAAACAACAACAACAAAAAACAAAGTCAGCAGGCAGAATGCACTGGCTCCCGCCTGTAATCCCAGCACTTTGGAAGGCAGACAGATCACTTGAAGCCTGGAGTTTGAGACCAGCCTGGCCGACATGGTGAAACCCCGTCTCTACTAAAAAAAACAAAAATTAGCCAGACATGGTGGTGCATGCCTGTAATCCCAGCTACTCGGGAGGCTGAGGCACAAAAATTGCTTGAACCCGGGAGGCAGAGGTTACAGTGAACTGAGATCATGCCACTGCACTACAGCCTGGGCAACAGAGTGAGACTCTGTTGCAACAAAAGGAGTCAGCTTCCTAAATATTTTGAAAGTTTCATTTTATTAAACAAATTTATTTAGCATCTATCTTTCAGGAAACCAAAATGTCACAGTAAAATGATACCTAGATAGTATCTGGTCTATAATGACACCTAGTGGTTTTCTTTTACCTGTGATATGCCAATCATTTACTTAAAAAGCTTTTTATTTCTTTTTTACTTAACATAAATGTAGTTGAAGGGAAAACTCATCTGATTAGGAAATAAAGTAGATGATGTATTATGTAGAAAGTTTAAGGTAGAAGGGGTGCCATGGGAAGTAAAAATGCTCATTTTTAATAACGTAAGAAAATGCAGAGTAGTCTACATTGTATATCAAACTTTAAGTTACTAAATGCAATTAATGCTGGGCGCTGTGGTGCATGTCTGTAATCCCAACACTTTGGGAGTTCAAGACCAGCCTTGCCAACATGGTGAAACTCTGTCTTTATTAAAAAATACAAAAATTAGCCAGGCATGGTGGTGAGCGCCTGTAGTTCCAGCTACTTGGGAGGCTGAGGCAGGAGAATTGCTTGAAGCCAGGAGACGGAGATTGCAGTGAGCCAAGATTGCACCACTGCATTCCAGCCTGGTGGAATTTTTTTTACTCCGTCTCAAAAAAAAAAAGGCAATTAATAAAACTTAAAATAGCACACACTTAAGAGAAAGTGGTAATTTTCAGGAAACCCCCACAGACATCTCTATGCAATGGATGACCAATTATGTTATTATTGCTGATGATATAGCTCATTCGCTTAATACTTTTACAAAGTAAAAATCAGTTTCATTCTTAACTGTGATGTCAAGAAGTGCAATTTTACATTTTTAAAATGGATGTGTAGCGTGGGAAAGGTAAACTGTCTAGCTGAGAAAGGTTTATGTATGTTTGCAGATAACCACAGGCAGGAAGGAATAACCCAAATAGCAAACTGCAAAACCCTGGTAATTTAGAAAAGCAGTTATTAGAAAGAAAGTAGGAACAGGTTCAATGGGGGTAGGGCAAGATCAGATATACTTAGGAAGAAAAAAGTTCTCATTTGTAGGAGATACTGAGACAACTATTCTAGGTTAACTCTCTTCTGTGTTGGATATTTGCTCTGCTTCAAAAGGCAACAGACCACACTCCTACTTCAGACAGGCAGCCTGCCTCCTGTGAGCAATCTGGGCAAGGGTTTATAGATGGCTTTGGATCAAAGTGGTGTTCTAGGGAGTGCAGAGAACCACAGGGGGAAAAAAAAAGATATGCCTGCCCCGAAACACCAATGATCCTCAAGAGTAATTTAGACCATTTATTTTATATTAAAAATGAAAACATCTATATGCCACAGAGTAGAATGTAAACTTAATTACAAAAATAGGGATTTCAAAGGAATTCTGAGCCTATGCTTAGATACCTCCTCAAAGCCATGGGTTGACTGGCTTTTTGTGTTTTCTGTCATTTGGGGCTCTCGGGGGGGAACAATCAGAGAAGGCCTGCTCTACAGACTGTTATCAGGGACAACAACTTTGGGACAATTTGAATGGAGATGACCAAGCCCTCTCCTAGTTAGCAAAGGCAGTGGCTAGCAGATGGAGGTACTTCTAAGTTACCTTTTCCCCACCTACAGATTAATTGGAACAGTCAGCCATCTCTGTGTCCTACACTTTAGGTAACATCCCCAGGCAACTTCTCCACCTGTGCTCTGGCTCCAATTCTACTCTGCAGGGACCTCACTCTATTCATTACTTTTATTTGTCCCTGGCCATATTTCCTCAGTTCAGAGATGACCCCTCTAGTTGTCTCTTTCCTTGCCTGCTCAGTCCTACAACTTTCCTGTCACTTGCCCACTGGAGGCAAACTCCTCTGGAAAAGGTCACCAGGGGGCAGAGAGAGAGAGAAAGTGTGTGTGTGTGTGTGTGTGTGTGTGTGTGTGTGTGTGTATACTTATCTTTCTGTTTAAATGTGTCCATTCTTCTTGAAATGTATTCCCATCTTGGCTTCGGTGACACCAGTCACACTTGGGTGCTCTCCTGCCTTTTCTGGCCACTCCTCATCTCATATGTTGGCGTTTCCCAGTTTTACCTTCAGCTCTCTCTACACTCTCTCTGAGCTATTGTGGCCAGTCCGAGCTCAGTTAATATCACGAGGTGATGATTCCTAAAACGGCAGCTCTAGCTCCTCTTAAGTTTCACACCATTTCTGAATATCTCCATATGAATATCTTTTAAGTAACTAAAATCTAGTATTTATCAAGCTAAACTCATTACATACTGCTCTCCTGCACCCTTCCTTAAACATATTCTTCCTCTCTCAGTATCCTCTCAAGACATGGAGGCTGATCATCTGATCATGCTACTCTCCTACTTAAAAACCTCCAAAAACTCCCATTAGCCTTTGGGTTAAAGTCCACAGCACACAAACCCTTGTATGCCCTGACCCTGTTTTCACAAACCTCACTCTTGCCCCAGCTCTTGTTCACAACTCAATACCCAACCATTCAGATACACCTGCAGGTCCTGGAGGGTCATGCTCTTTCTCCACCTAGACCCTCACATATGCTGCTGCTTTTCTAGCAGAAAAGCACTTTCCCTTCCCTGTATCAGTCATCTGCTAACTACGTTTCATCCTTCAGCCCTCAGTTTGGGCACTTTTTCTTCACAGCCTACTGTGACTTGGTCCCTTTCCCTTGCTGGGTTGCATCCACGCCATCCTAGGTGTATATCTCTCATAGCACCTATATTCTCTGTGTTGCTTCCTGGGTGCATTTAAAGTTTCTGAGGTACAAGGTTTTTGTTTTGTCTTAACCAAAGAACCAATTACAGAATCTAGGATTAGCAAATACTTAACATTTGCTGAATAAATAATTTCATTAGATCAAGATCAGAAAGGATTCTGGGTTTCGTAATGGAGCAAAAACTTAGTTACCCATATAACACCCCATTTCTAAGAGATACAATATCAGTAAAGTTTGATCCTTAGAGATTTGGGGACTATTCCTTTCAGTGTGCTACATATAAGCTACTCTCTCTCAGTGTATTCTGTTACACTCCTGGCTCCCAGTTTATTACTGGGACATGTAAGAAACTCCAAGGAATTATGTTTGGAAAAAAAGAAAGGCTAAAATGTGTTAGTTTTATTAAACTCTAGAGAAGCAGAGTGTGAAAAGCAACTATACAAGACCTAGAGGATGTGGACCAGTGTTCATTATCCTCTTGAAGAAATCTTTAGAAAAATTTAGTTTAACCCTTTCTGCCACTAAATGAGGGCCAACTGAGGAAGACTTTGTAATCTCTTCTCCTAGACCTCCCTCCAACGAAGTCCAGCTCTGAAGTGTACATCAAGTAGTTTTGAGAGGAGAGGTTCTATGAAGATCCTATTTCCCAGCTTTTCCCTTTTAGGACTTTTAAAAAGCTTATGATTTGCCTGAAATGCTTGCCACTGGCCTTGAAGGTGGTTCCAGAAGGTACCATTTAAAGGCATGCTTATGGTTTAAGAATAGCTCTAAAGTCTTTTCTTGTTAATAGGAATTATCAGCTTGGATATTAGCACTGTGGCATCCAAGAGGATGAGACCACTGCAGCCAAGGAAGACATGGCAGCAATCAGTCCAGCCAAAGAGGAGAAGGGCAGCAGGGGGATTCAGGAGGGAGACCTACAGAGACAGGATGCTGGGAATGAGACTTGCAAGAGGACAGAGGAGAAGTCACTCAGTTTTTCTTAGAATCAGCTTCTAGTCCAGGCTGAGGGGCTGCATACATCTTAACGAATAACTTCAATCTGCCCAATTTGACAGTTTTCAGAACCATCTGGGCATTCCACTGGGCAGTTATTCCTAATTATATGAGTATGGCAGGTTACAGTCTATATACTATGAAATATAAGAGGTGCCAACATTATTTAGTAATAACTACAGATATTTTCAAGTGAGATAACATTGTACTTTAGCCTCCCCAATTAGTTTGATTTTCCATTTAGTGACCAAAGATGTGCAAGGATAGATACTTGTGTATCTGTCTCCATCTCTATCCCAATTTTGAGGCCATATTAACATGCATCCAAATAGGTAATAAAGATTAAGAATGCACTACAATTTTGTTAACATGGTCCTAAATTTAAATTTCTTTAGAAGATCTATCCAAGTGAATTCTAACAGAAGCGTCAGCCACATCTACTGATAGATGGTGCAGAGAACTTATGCTCTGTGGCTGCCCTGCATCCTTGAGACCCTCTCCCAAAGCAATACAGGGCACATTAGCAATGGGTAGAGCTCCTCCTTCCTAAGCCTAACAGAGATTACCTTAAAGGTTTAAGAGAAGCAAAAAACAGAGTTCATTAGAATATCTCACTATGGTAGGAAAAAGTAAAATTTAAGGATGAAACTGAACACTTACAAGCAAAGGCCAAAATAACCACTTCATTAATCGATCAAGTCTGAGTACATATAAAAGTATGAAAAATAAGATAACGGTGACTTCAAATCCAGTGATAACAATATATGGTTCAGGGGCTTGTGCGATGATAAAAAAGGTCATAGATGTCACAGTTAGTGCCTAGAAGAAAAAAACCCACGATTTATTCAGTGACAACTGAATACAAATTTAAACTGTAAAAATGACAATTTCTAAAATAATAGGCTGGGCACAGTGGGTCATGCCTATAATCCCAGCATTTTGGGAGGCTGAGGTAGGAGGATCGCTTGAAGCTAGGAGTTCAAGACCAGCCTGGGCAACATAAGGAGACCTCATCTCCAAATAAACAAAAATAACCAGATACTGGGGTTTCTGCCATATACACACACATATAAAACAGCCATGCCTAAAGTGTATGATATTGACTTCTCTTTGTCTTTTAGAGGACTGGGTATTCCTCTCTGTTTTAAGTCCAATTAATTATTCCTCTTGTGCTTCTGACACTATCACTTCCCACATCAGTTCTCTTGATGTTTTTCCACCAAGTACCTCCGTTCCCCCTTGTACTTTCAATCTGTCCTCTGCTAGCTCCTTTTCTCATCATCCTAGAAACATCTCAGTTGTGTTCTTTTAAAATACACACACACATACTCCTTCCTTTTATCCTGCTCCCCACAGAAACCCTTGTTCTGTTTTCTACTGTTGTTATGCTTCTTCAAAAAGTCTGTATACTGGCTGTCTATAATTTCTTACCATCCATTTATCACTCCTTAATTCTTAACAATCTGGAGTCTACTGTCAGATTTAAACTTAGAATGCTGCCATGAAAAATACTGAGGAGCAAAGTTCAAAACAAATTGTCAGGGTGGGCGCGGTGGCTCATGCCTGTAATCCCAGCACTTTGGGAGGCCAAGGCAGGCAGATCGCCTGAGGTCAAGAGTTTGAGACCAGCCTGGCCAACATGGTGAAACCTTGTCTCTACTAAAAATACAAAAATTATCCAGGTGTGGTAGCAGGTGCCTGTAATCCCAGCTACTCGGGTGGCTGAGGCAGGAGAATCGCTTGAACCCAGGATGCGGGGGTTGCAGTGAGCTGAGATGCCACTGCACTCCAGCCTGGGTGATAGAGCTAGACCCTGTCTCAAAAACAAAAACAAAAAAAATTGTCAGAGAAAAACAATTCTGATGTTTAATAGCTTTATTACCAAAGTACCATTTTTTACACACCCCACCTAAACAATGCAATCAGAATCTATGCTATTTTAAGTGGAAAAAAAAACATAAAAAACTCTGAAATTTCTTCATTTCCAAATGAAGATACAGAACATGGCAATGTTAAGTGAAAAAAATAGCTGGTGGGTCCCAGGGGAGTTCTGTCAATGTTCTTAGGAAATAAAGCTCTTTCCAAAGCTCTGTGTTTTTGGTAAATGGTTTGGTCAAGAGTCTTCCCTGGCTAGACTTTTAAAATATCCTGTCAGCTGGTAACATATACATACTCATTTTAAGTCCATATAGGTTACTTATTCATAATTCTTCCAATTACTTTATTAGCATAAATATGCCTTTCTTTTAAACTTCTAAACTGATCAGTTTGATTACAAATAACTAGTTACTAAGTAACTTCATTCTTTATAATTAATATAATTACTATTAGCAACACATAATCTCAAACTACTCCAATTACTCTATTGGACCAAGGTCTTCAGCCCACAGATTATGAAATGAAGGGCCACTTTTTCAGTCCCTATCCTCTGTAACCTTTTTCATCATGGTGATTTGCACTGGTGATTACTCCATTTCCTTAAACCTTTCTATGGTTTCTGTCAAACTGTGTTCTCCTGTGATTTATATTTACAGTTCTTACATCTTTCCTAAGCTCCTGGCCTTTGTTTCCAGTTATCTTTTACATATCTCACTAATAATATTTCAGACATTACCACTCTATGGATATTGCTTTTGCTAACATCAGTGATTTCAGAAATACTAAATTTAATGAATGCTTTTTTCTTTTTTTCCAGTACTTTGAGCTGCTGTTTTACAATGAACATTTTTCATTCCTTATCCTAGTGGACCCCTATGACGTTATTGCCATTGGCTGTCCTTCCCCTACTAGTGTTTTCTTTTGGCTCCCGTGTCAGTTCTCCGAGATTTTAAACCTCCGCGACTGTTCTCTCTTGGTGGGTTCTTCTCCTTTTATTCTCCCCTGTAAAATGCTGTCATTCTCATTCCACTCAATGAGTCTGGGTCTCTAACCCAGGTCCATTCTCCACATTTCACACCAAGTAGCCATTTAGAATCCCTATCTGGATAACCTACAGGAATCTCAATTCACCATGTCTAAAACTGAAATCCCGCCCCTTCCTCCTGGATTCACAACCTCAACTGGTGGTACCACAATCTACCTTATCACCCATGCCAGGAACCTAAGATCACTGTTCCTACCCATTCCCCAACTGATCAATAATCGGGTCCTGCTAACTTAATGCCTAAACATTTTGGGCACTCCCTCCTCTTCATCCTTACAACTACTGCCTTTCATCGTCTTTTCCATGAACTATCATGATGAAATTTCTAACATGCAAATTTGTTTACGCATTTCTTCATCTATTTAAAATTCTTCAGTGGCTCTCCAGGGTCTTTAGAGCCTGCTTCTCACCATGTTTTCAAGATCTTCCACAATTTGGCTCCTGTCTACTTCTTGAGAAAAGACTTGCTTCACAATTTATCCACATGAATCAAACTCCTGATCCTTTTTTCACATTTGCTTTATCAATAGGCTGTCTCATCTCAGTGGATGGTGACTCCATCCTTCCAGTTGCTTAGACCAAAAACTTCAGAAGCTGTCTTGGACTCCTCTTTTTCCCCACATCTGGCTCATCAGCAAATCTTGTTGGTGCTACTTTCAAAATATTACATCCCAAATGTGGCCACTTCTTATTACCTGCTTTGCTACCACCAGCCACCATCATCATTTCTTGCCCAGATTACTGCAATTGGTCTCCTTGGTTTTACCTTTGCCCCTGCAGCAATCCCCTTCTGTCCTTCCCTACCAATCTACTGTTAACATAGCAGCTAGTATATTTTTGTTTGTTTTTGAGACGGAGGCTCACTTTGTCACCCAGGCTGGAGTGCAGTGGGGTGATTTTGGCTTACCTCAACCTCTGTCTCTCCGGTTCCAGTGATTCTCCTGCCTCAGCCTCCCGAGTAGCTGAGATTACAGGCATACGCCACCATGCCTGGCTAATTTTTTTTGTATTTTTAGTAGAGATGGGGTTTCACCATGTTGGTCAGGCTGCTGGAACTCCTGACTTCAAATGATCTGCCTGCCTTGGCCTCCTAAAGTGCTGGGATTACAGGGTGAGCCACCGGGCCTGGCCTAGTATACTTTTAAAATGTAAGTTAGATCATATACTTTACTTAAAACCTTCCTCATCTTCACTCACTCACCCCAGTCCAGTTACGCTGGTTTCCTTGCTCTTTCTTGATGCCTTCCCACACATTCCTGCCATAAGGCCACTGCACTGGATTTTCTCTGCTTCAAACACTCTTCTTCCAGGTATTCTCATAGCTAACTCCCTCATTTCACTCAAATCTTTGATCAGATGTCATCTCAACAAAGCCTAGAATTCTATTCATTACGCAACTTTTCTCTGCAACTCCTTCCCCGCCTTACACTCCCTTACCTGGCTTTTACTTTTCTCGTTCCACTGCACGTACCACCTTCTAGAATACTAAAATTTATTGTGTTTGCTTCCCCTGCCCTCCCATCCCAATAATGTGTACTCCACGAGGGCAGGGATCTTTGTTTTTTTTCACTAGTATTTTTCAAGAGCCTGGAATAGTGCCTGGCACATGACAGGCATTACACAGATTATTTGTTGAATAAATGAGGTAACACTCAACTTCTTATATTTCTCTGCATCAATTGTGCTATTTTTTGCCTCCATGCCTTTACTCAGGTGGCTCTTAGATCCAACCCTAGATTGCTCTAGGAAGAGCTTTTTTCTGACACCTCTCCTTGGTTAGACGCCTCGCTTCTGTGTTCTATCTCCATCTTATCACATATCTTAACTATCTGCTCATGTGTCTGTCTCATAATTAAACTGAAGAACTCCATGAGTCAGGGATTTTTGTCCTGGTTCGTCTTTGCTGTTCCAGCTCCTAGCCCAGAGTTTGGACCATATTAAGTATTCAAATGGTTTGTTGAGAGAATTAATATATCAAAAACTAACCATTCTCACAGGACCATTCTCACATGGTTCCCCCTTCAGTGTTCAAGATCTTTCCTTTTTCAGTGTTCAAGATCCCAGACCTTCTGGTCACTTTTGCCCTGAGTATTTACTCCCAATCAAAAGTTATTTCTCCTTCCCTCAACTCCAGAGTGGTTTCTAAACCTCTTATGTATCTCAACTTACATGATATGAAAGCTACTTCTCACAATCACAGACTTTTGGTGTGAGAAGGATCTTATATGCACTTTGTTCAACCCACTCACCTTAAGTTTGAGTCTCCTTTATAACATCCTCACCAAGTGCTCACATATGCCTGGTACTTTTGTCTGGGAATGTACTGCCTTCCCAAGTGGCCATTTAGTTTTGGGAGCTCTCCCAATATAAGATTCCTCCTCACATTAATTGGAAATGTTTTCCTTGTAACTTTGAACTATCTCCATTTTGCCTCTCCCATGTCAACTCTTTAAAACTTAAAATGATTTATTTTTTCCTTCCCTGTAAGGTTTCTCTGTGAATTCCTCCAATGATGAGTTTCTAGAATAGATTCCTTCAACTAGGATAGTTTCCACTTCTCTAACTAGCTAGGTCACTTCTCTCCAAATGATCAACTTCCTCCAAACCTGTTCAGAAGTGACTGCAGTGCTCCCGGTAGGAAGTCTGCTCCCGGAAACGAGCAGTTCTCTCCTTGTCCTGGTTCTGGGCTGTATCAGCCTTGAACTCAGTCACATCAAACGTCTGTCTCACGGAAGTCCACACAACATTCACCGAAACCCCTGAGGCTTTTTTTTTTTTCTTTCAAATCTTGTGGGCTTCTGAGAGGTATAACTGCAGTTGTCTCGCCTGGTAACCTGGGTACCCGGTTTGTGGGTCCAAATGTAGACCATTTGGGTAGATCTGATTTTTAATTTAAAAAAAGGGTTTTTTTTTGTTTTTGTTTTTAAAGAGGCAGGACCTCTCTGTCGCCTAGGCTTGTGTGCAGTGGTGCGATCAACGTTCACTGCAGCCTCGAACTCCTGGGATCAAGCGATCCTCCCGTCCCGGCCTCCCAAAGTGCTGGGACCACAGGTGTGCGCCACGGCGCCCCGCCCTCTCTGGTTTTCATGAATGAGTGTGTCCCTAAACCCTCCTAAGGGGAGGACAGTGCCGTATCTCTCTCCTTCTTCCCCAAGGAGGCCATGCCTTGCCTTTCAATCTTGATCAAAGCGAGGTTGAAAAGCAAACAGGCGTTCAGCTTTGCACTTCACACCCACATCTCCCGCCCCCCAGCAGCTTCATCAGCCTCCCGC
Source organism: Homo sapiens (assembly GCF_000001405.40). Lineage (NCBI taxonomy): Eukaryota > Metazoa > Chordata > Mammalia > Primates > Hominidae > Homo > Homo sapiens. The sequence continues at coordinate 66,552,813 of NC_000016.10, read as the reverse complement.
CCTCCGCGGCCCGGCCTCACCAGCCGCAGCATCTTCACGTGGCCTTTCACACTGAAGCAGAAGGGGCGATGTTTTATTTTCGGCTGCACGTTATCCATCGCGTCTGCAGACCCAGCAGCAGCACTTTCCCTCAACTCTTCTCAGCTGGCTGCCTGAGTAGGTTCTGCGAAGCGATAGCAACCGCCACCGCGGCGGAGCACCGCCCTCCCCTACTTCTCGCCCAGCTCGGCTTCCCGCTCTCTTGCGCGCATGCGCACGGCGCCGCGTTCGCTCTCGCGCATGCGCCCCAACGGGATCCCGCGGCCGTCCGCTCTGGCTTGTGCTGTCTTTCAGTTATCGCGTAGCACATTAGCGGACCTAGAGCTGGGCACATATTAGCGGACCTAGAGGTGGGCACGCAGGCCAGCGCCCTGTTAGCCCGCCGTGTTCTGGCCTGGCGTTAATGACGGCAGCACTCCAGCTCTCCTGAGGAGTCTTCCTGTCGGGAAATCCTCCCAGGGTTGGGAGCAGAGGAGAGGGAGGGGGCTGTAGAAATGGCGGCCCCATCTCCCAACAACTTGGGCATTGTGAATATCACCTCCTTAAAGGGGATCTCCTTTGGTCATCCCGTCTAGAGCAGCCACCATAACTTCTGAGCGTTTATTGCTAGCTGATATATATCAGAAAAATACAAATTCCACAAAAGCAGGGACTGGTCTGCTTCTCTCCCTGCAGGGCCCAGGTTCTGGCACATAGTTGGTGCAGAAAGTGTGCAGCCTCAGGTCCTATCCAAGCCCCCAGGGCATCACACTCGGGACTTGTTCTGCATATTTTTACTTTTGCCTCCCACTGGTACTAGTTCTTCCGTGGAACAGCCTGAGTCCCTTCAGATACTTAATGTTTTTTCTCAAGTGCTGCCATGAAGCCAGATCTCCACCGTCTTGGGGCATTCCTTTTTAGGGATGGGAAGTATATGTCGCTCCTTTTATGTGATTTACATTCTATCTTGGATAATTTGGCCATCACCGTAGTTCATTCAGATCTGTTTGGATCCTGCCCATCTCAGCTTCAGTCCATTTCATTCTTTTAAATCTGATCGACAGTTACCTCCAACAGCTTCATCACAAATCACTCACAAAAATGGCCTTAATCCTGAAGTTTATTTACGGAGAGCACACTTGCTAGGTGTGTGGCAGATATACAGGAAGCACAAGATGAGGCAGCAGATCTAGAGGCAAATGACTTCCTTCTCCCTGCCTAGTGGTGACTGCCAGCATCACGCCCTCCCGGGAGAGGTGAGAAACCCCTCCACGCAAGCACTGGAACCTTCACAGTCAAGAGTGGCAACAGCTCCGGTTACTGGACTTGGGCCTGTTGAATTCTAATACTCTGTGACTCCACATCTGGGCTGAATTTTTGCTGAGTATGATGGAATTTACATGCTTCCTCCCTAGCCCCTACTTGTCTGTATAGTTGGAATATTTGGTTGCCTCCTCTGGAGGGATCTAGTACGTTTAGAGTCTAGACGCTGGAACTGTCAAAGTTCAGAGGAAAGAGCTCCAGCTGCAAAGCAAGAGAAATGGGCTGGAATTCTAGCTTCACCCCTTAATGAATGCTTCTGATTTTTTTTTTTTTTTTTTTTTTTGAGACGTAGTCTCACTCTATCGCCCAGGCTGGATTGCAGTGGCCACGATCTCAGCTCACTGCAACCTCCGCCTCCCAGACTCAAGCGATTCTCGTGCCTGAGCCTCCTGAGTAGCTGGGATTACAGGCGTGCGCTACCACGCCCGGCTAATTTTTGTATTTTTAGTAGAGACAGTTTTTGGCCATGTTGGTCAGGCTGGTCTTGAACTCATGACCTCAAGTGATCTACCTTCCTCGGCCTCCGAAAGTGCTGGGATTACAGGCCCGAGCCACCGCGCCCAGCCGCTTCTGATCATTAAAAAAAAATTTTTTTTTTGGCGGGGGGAACGAAGTGTCCCTCTGTTGCTCAGGCTGGAGTGCAGTGCAGTGATCTCGGCTCACTGCAATCTCTGCCTCCCAGGTTCAAGCGATTTTCCTGCCTCAGCCTCCTGAGTAGCTGGGAATACGGGTGCCCCCCACCACACCCAGCTAATTTTTGCATTTTTAGTAGCGATGGGGTTTCGCCATGTTGGCCAAGGCTGGTCTCGAACTTCTGGCCTCAGGTGATCTGCCTTCCTTGGCCTCCCAAAGTGCTGGGATTACAGGCGTGAGCCACCGTGCCTGGCCAAAAAATTTATGTTTTAAAAAGACTAGTCAAGTGCAGTAGTGAGAAGGGGGGAAAGAGTAGAGCAAGGAGTTATATCTGTTGCTTCTGACCATTTTGAACAAGTTACCTAATTCTCTGAGGACAAGCTCGGAGAATGGGAGAGACAGTTATCTATTTGCAGGGTTGTTGGGAGGAATAAGTGACATCATGAGTGTGTGCCAGGTGTCTGATTACAGAAGGTGTTCAATTAATCTGCAATCATTAATTAACCCTTCAGTCGCTGGTATTATTTGCCATCCATCCTCCGAGTGTTGCCAAGTTATGGGTGCGTTCTGCCAGCGTCCTAGCAGTGGTAAGGCTTCTGGCTGCCAGCGGCGAACCTCTCCCTTCGAGTATTTCTCCTCTTGCTGAGATGAAATGCGACCGGGTCTCTTTAAGGGCCAGGCGCCGGGATCCAGGCGGCGCCCAACGGCTGGACTAGCAGTCGTCCGCGCCGACTCGCACAAGAAGGAACCCCGGGCCTCTGGATCCGCTCGCCCGGCTATGCTGCTGTGGCCGCTGCGGGGCTGGGCCGCCCGGGCGCTGCGCTGCTTTGGGCCGGGAAGTCGCGGGAGCCCGGCCTCAGGCCCCGGGCCGCGGAGGGTGCAGCGCCGGGCCTGGCCTCCCGGTAACGCGCGTCTTGGTCCCGCCTCCCAGGAGCCCCTATGCGCCCACCTACTCCCGGCCCCTCGGCTTCCGGAACCCGCCCGAGCCCGAAGCGCCTCTTCCGAGGCGCGGGATTTCCTCCCCGGCTGCGGCTGGGACGGGGGCGGCCATCGGCCGTTACCCGGGCGCGAGACCGCAGCGAGCGCTGGGGGCGCTCGGCTTTGGTTCTGGGATGGAGAGAGGGCCTTTAAAGAGCAGGACGGACACGCTCTGAACATTCCGGCCCAAACTCGGTCCCCCGACCCATTTCCTGTCCCGATTCTTTCGACCTTGGGGGCGATGGGGACTGGGAGCTGCCTTAAGCCGATTCTGCTCACACTCTGGTGCCAGCGTGGGGGAGGGGGGTTACGCCCCCGGCGCTCTCCTGCCCTCCCTGGGAGTGGGGACCCACACAGAAACGGGTCACTGTTACACCCGGGTTCTGGTGTCCGCCATATGGCTGTTGAGAGACGCCTCAGAACCACCTGTGGGACGGATGGGCAGCGATGCCCGCCCTGGGCCTAGAGGAACACCTGGGTCCCAGGCCCAAAACCACGTCCGCCGCCCACTCTTCCCCGTGCACCGCGAGTGGAGGCTGTTCTGCCTTTCCACTTGCTTAACATCCAGTCTGTGAAGATCTAAATAAATAACGTGGAAAATGCAAAGTATAATGTACTAAGTGAAAGAACTCGAGCACACTGGGGGTCCACGAAGCTGCAGCTGCAGCCCAGGGTGGCACATCGGCGAGACGGTGGTGCGCGCCTCCAATCTCGGAGGGCGCCCAAAATGGAAAATGTTTTTAGGCCAGGGAGTGAGCATAAACATTAGTGTTTTTGTGGTCATGTAGCAAATTAGGGCAGAGGAGAGTTATTTAAAAGTGAGTTTAAAAACTGATTTCCTTTCTTTTGTAGATAAAGAACAGGAAAAAGAGAAAAAATCAGTGGTAAGTCCCTCTTTTATGTGTACTCTCTAGGATAATTTGGTTTTTTGAAGAGGAGAGAGAAAAAAGCAGAGTAAAAAGCAAAAATACATTCCATAGTAAAAAGCAAAAATACAAGAGGATCTCCAGGGAGAAGGAAGTCTGTCACCCTCCTAGAAGGCCACCTCTGTTACCAATTTCTTGTATCTTTCCCCAGAGTCTGCACAGATAGGAGCACACAAGTATTTGTATCCTTCAGGTAGATTTGGGCTGTTAAAGCTTAAGGGATGATTGTGAAAGGATTTGAAAAACGCTCATTGTGTTGTGGGGAAGGTCAGTTTCATCTTGGGTTGGGCAGCTCAGATGTGAGGGAAGCTCTGTCCACCACCACCCTCTCCCCCCAGTGTTGAGACTGGTGGGTGGGCAGGGGATCAGAGAGAAACCATTAGGGTCCACAGATGTGGGTTCAGTTATCAGGGTGGCTTTGAGATGCTGGCTCTGGGCTGGGGCTGTGACTAGTGTGAGGCTGAAGGTCAAAGAAGGGTCAGGTTGGTGTCCATGGGGATATTGGGTGCTTTAGCTGGCTGGGGTAGGGAGTGATATTTTGGTCACAAACCAAGGCTCAATTCCTTAAAAGAACTGAAAGTCCCTAGCTCCAGTGGCTGGGAAGGGGGTGGCTTGGCAAGTGGTGGCAGGAGTACCGTGGCTGGGATCTGCAGAGGGTAGACAGTGCGGGCAGGCCCCCAGCGTACTCAGGGTGGTGGAGAGCTCTTGGGAAGTAGTGAAACCACATAGAGAGGATTGAAATGCTTGAGATTTGTGGAAGTTTGTTGAAATTAGGAGAAGGATATGCCAGCGGGTGCCATAGAAGGGGAGGGAAATGCAAAGTTGAGCTGGATGGTAATTAATGTATTTTTGTTTGTTTATACATTTAAGAGACGGCGTCTTGCTGTGTTGCCCAGGCTGGCCTCCAACTCCTGGGCTCAAGTGATCCTCTGGCATCAGCCTCCTGAGTAGCTGTGATGACAAGTGTGAGCCACTGTGCCTGGCTATTTATTAGTTATTGAGCTAGCATTGATGTGAGCTGGGCCTGTTCTTTGTGCTTTTTGGGTGTGGTTTGATGTGCCCCCAGACACACAATAGCTAGTTCATAGAAAGTGGTATGGAGCCTGCATTCAGGCTCAGGACTGTTTGTAAACATTCAAGTCCTGTGAGCTCCTGTGTGGGATGCACTGGGCTAGGACCTGGGCACCTGGCAAACAGCCCTGACATTTGGGAGTCTGCGGTCTGTCTGATGGGGGAGGTTTGTCTGATGGGGGAGGTCTGTCTGATGGGGGAGACAGCAGTAACTAGGAGAATGGTGGAACTAGAACAGCAGTGAGTATGGTGGCTGTGAGTAGGGGGGCTGATGACTGAGAGGAGCTTTGGGAAGCCTTATTGCCTGCTGGGAGATGGAGCAGAGTTTGAGGCAGGAGTGTTGGAACAGGTACAAGTCACAGAAGAATGAGAACCTGCAGGCCTGGGCTTGTGGCCAGTCCCTAGAGAGGTGGCTGGGGAGGGCTGGGGGATAGGTGCAGAGGGACTGAGAATAGGTCCTAAAACCCAGAGTCACTGAAGGGCCTCACCCCCACCCAGCACGATCCGGGTTGCCTCTCAGGGAGCGATGTGGGGAACCATGAGTGGAGGGCCTAACTGGGTGAGACTGGAAGGGGAGAGACCTTAACTAAACTAGAGATGGCACAGAGCCCGCAGCTGAGTGGGAAAGCAGGGCCCAGGGGAGTTGCTGGTTGGTTGACTGGTGTTGGTGGGTGAGGAGAGATGTCCAGAGTGTTAAAGGTGTCTGGGTGGATGGTGCAGCCATTACATGGCACAGTTTACAATATTAGATAATTGAGTATCACAACAAAGTTTTTTAATAAAATAACTGGACAGAACTTAACATCCAACAGGGCCATACCTAATGGCTCATGCCTATAATCCCAGCACTTCGGGAGGCAAAGGTGGGAGGATTGCTTGAGCTCAGGAGTCTGAGACCAGCCTGGGCAACATGGCAAAATGCTGTTTCTACAAAAAATACAAAAAATTAGCTGGGCATGGTGGCATGCACCAGTAGTCCTAGCTACTCGGGAGGCTGAGGTGGGAGGGTTGCTTGAGCCTGGGAGGTCAAGGCTGCAGTGAGCTGTTATTGCATTGCTGCACTCCATCGTGGGCAACAGAACGAGACCCTGTCTCAAAAAAAAAAAAAAAATCAAATAGTAGGGAGTTCAATAAATTGTGACAGGTCTTATATAATGGATTATGTAAAGCCATTAAAAACCATGTTTTTGAAAAATATTTAGTGACCTGGGAAGGCACTCACTATGTAAAAGATGAAAAAAAAAAATAACAAAACCAACAAAAGTATATGAAGTATGATCCCAAATGAAAAAAAAAACTGTCCTTAGGAAACAAACAGGAAAGAAATATTATAAACATTAATGCCGAAATTCTCAGTCTAGTTAAGAGATAGATGTGGGGTTAACAAGGAGCATGTAAGAGAGAGTTTGTGGTGTGATGGGGTAAAAGTGTCTTCCCTTAGTTATTTGAATGTTAAATGAAATTCAGCTGGGTTCCTTTTTAAAACAGCTTTATTGTAATTTGCATACCACAAAATTCACCCATTTAAATGTGCAATTCAATGATTTTTAGTAAATTTACAGAGTAAACAGCACTACAGAGTAAACACCACTACAATCTAATTTTATTTTATTTTATTTTTATTTTTTATTTTTTGAGACAAGGTCTGGCTCTGTTGTCCAGGCTGGAGGACAGTGGCACAATCACAACTTACTGCAGCCTTGACTTCCTGGTCTCAGGTGATCCTCCCACATCAGCCTCCCAAGTAGCTGGGACTACAGGCACATACCACCATTCCTGGCTAATTTTTGTATTTGTTGTAGAGATGGGATTTCTACATGTTGCCCAGGCTGTGCAATCTAATTTTATAACATTTCCATTACTCCAAAAAGAAACCTTGTGCCCATTTGCAATCTCTTCTGGCCCCAGGTGACCACTAATCTACTTCCTGTCTCTTTAGGGATTTGTGTTTTCTGGACGTTCCATATAAAATGGAACATATAGCGTGGGATCTTTTGTATCTGGCTTCTTTCACTTAGCACATTTTTTTTTTTTCTTTTTTGAGATGGAGTTTCTCTCTGTTGCCCAGGCTGGAGTGCAATGGCATGATCTTGGCTCACTGCAACCTCCGCCGCCAGGGTTCAAGCCATTTTCCTGCCTCAGCCTCCCAAGTAGCTGGGATTACAGTCATGTGCCACCACGTGCAGCTAATTTTTGTATTTTTAGTAGAGTCGGGGTTTCACCACGTTAGCCAGGCTGGTCTCGAACTCCTAACCTCAGGTGATCCGCCTGTCTAGGCCTCCCAAAGTGCTGGGATTACAGGCGTGAGCCACCGCTCCTGGTTGCTTAGCATAATATTTTGACATGCATCTGCCTTGTAGCACGTATTAGTATGTCATTTTTTCCTATAGCTGAATAGTATTCATGGCGTGGCTGTAGTGCACTTTGTTTATCCACTTGCCAGTTGTTAGACGTTTGGGCAAGTTTCTTTTGACTGCAGATTTCTCAGGGTCTTTGATAAGACAGGATATTTGGATTCTCCCTGTGGAGGCTTTGGCACCCAAGCCAGTTTGCCTCTGGAACCCTGGGTTCTAATTAAACATCCAAATGACAATGATTGCTGAGATTTACGAGTGATTTTTATTTTCTTCTTTTAGGGATTGTGTAATAAGGTTTGATCAGAGAAATCCAACTGATAAATACATATATGCATATTCATAAACATATACATATATTCATGCATACATACATTCTTGTGTGTGAGAATGTATTTCTTTTTTTTTTTTTTTTTGAAGACAGGGTCTCACTCTGTCACCCAGACTGGAGTGCAGTGGTGTGATCTCGGCTCACCACAACCTCCACCTCTCAGCTCCCAAGCTCAAGCGATTCTCTTGCATCAGCCTCCCCAGTAGCTGGGATTACAGGCATCCGCCACCACGCCTGGCTAATTTTTGTATTTTTAGTAGAGACGGGGTTTCACCATGTTGGCCAGGCTGGTCTTGATCTCCTGACCTCAAATGATCCCCTGCCTCGGCCTCCCAAAATGCTGGGATTACAGGCGTGAGCCACTGCGCCTGGCCACTGAGAATGTATTTCTTAGCACAAGAATGCTTAATTTCCATTTTTAGGAAAGATTAAATATTGTTACTTATAATAGGGATAGATGGCTCATCACAGTTTCAGTTATAATCATGGAAAATTGGACTCAAGGGCTCATAGCAGAGGAAAATGGAGATAAATTGTAGCGTAATCACAGAGTGTTGGGCCAGGCCGGCCATGTGCTCCCACAGCATGGGGACCATCTCCTTTTCACAGTTTCCTGTTGCTTTCCTCCACACACTCATGAGCTCTTTGGCCGTTGCAACGAGGCCCTGAGTACACAGTGCCTGGCACAGCATAGGCCTTCAATAAACAGTTGAAACGTGCTCAAAGATGAGGACTGTATAGAAAATAATATTTGGCATGAAATATGCTCATATGTCATGGGGTTTATCTCTTAGTATTGGGATTATGGGTGATAGTTTCTCCTTTTTGATTTTCTGTATTTTCTTCAATGGGCATGCACTTCTCTTATAATATTTTTAGACATCACTTTAAAAAGAAATGTAAAGACTCCCTTTGCTTGCTTCCTGTTCCCCCTTCCATTTCAGGGGAACTTTGTGAGATTCTTCCTGCGTTGCCTGCTGTAAACCGGAGGGCAGATTGGCTGAGCTCATTCAGGGCCTGACATTCACCAGCTCTTCAGGATTTCATGCTGGGGATAGGAACAAGTTTCTGGGAGAAGGGCTTATCTGAACAACCTGTTAAAATGCTTCAATGAACAGGAAAGAAAAAAGACTGTAGAGTGATGTCTAGGTTGAGCTCTTTTTATATATCTAGGAAGAGGAAAAGTTTTCTTTAAAGAGCAATAAAAAAATTAAATCCATTAGTGCCCTAATGGGGTCTTTTCATGCCCTTTTGTTCATTCCCTTGGGTTCATTTTGTAGTTTGGGGCTCTAAAGGAGTGGGCTGGGAGGGACCCAGGATGGGAGAGTGGCCTTGTGTCTCCTGGATACCCGTTAGGATCAAGGCAGGAGGAACCTTCTCCGCCAGCTGACAGAGTTCTAGTTGCTGGGGAGACTTTAGTGGGGTCGGGTGAGACGGCCCACTGTGACCTGGTGTTTATGTGAGGTGTGACTGAGGCTCCATCAGGAGTCGTGAGAAGGGGCCTGGATGTGAATTCTAATTCTGATTCTTCCCTAGCCAAGTCTGGCACTTGGGTAAGTTACCTGTGTTGCCCAGGTTTCTCTGGGTGCTTCCAGCCTGAGTGCAAAGGAACAGGCCTCTGTGCAGCAGGTCGGGCCCCTCTCTGTGTGTGCCCCTGGAGGATGTCTAATGTGTTCTCAGGGGACAGTTTGTCTTATGTATTGGAGCTGCCCGTTCCCTGTGGCCATCTGCTGGAGCCAGAGCCACTGGGCCTATGTCATCAGCAGTGCCTGGCTGAGCAGAGCTTGGTCAGAATCACTGGGCTACAGGTTCAAGGGCTCCAGCCTAGAGTCTGATTTAGGGTCTGGATGCTACCTGGTGCCACCTCATGTTTAACCAGCTCCTCTGGTGCATCTGAAGCAGGCATCTGTGGACTAGACAGGGAGAAGCTCTGCTCCAGCCTCGTGGTTCCCATCCTTGCCTGCACATTGAAATCGCCTGGAGAGCTTTAAAAGTTACTGAGGCTTGGCCGGGTGCAGTGGCTCACGCCTGTAATCCCAGCACTTTGGGAGGCTGAGGCGGGTGGATCACCTGAGGTCGGGAGTTTGAGACCAGCCTGGCCTACATGGTGAAACCATGTCTCTACTAAAAATACAAAAAATTAGCCGGGTGTGGTGGTGGGCACCTGTAATCCCAGCTACTCGGGAGGCTGAGGCAGGAGAATGGCTTGAACCCAGGAGGTGGAGGTTGCAGTGAGCTGAGATCACGCCACTGTGCTCCAGCCTGGGCAACAAGAGTGAAACTCTGTCTCAAAGAAAAAAAAAGTTACTGAGTCTTGAGTCTCACTCCCAGAGATTGTGGTGTAATTGGTCTGGGCTGTGGCATCCCTGTAGAGATTTTTAAAAGGTCCCAGGTGGTCCTAGCGTATAGCCAGAGCTGAGAACCGCTGCCTGGAATACCTTCTCTCCCTAAGATGAGTTACTTCTAGGATGCTCCTTGGTCTTTGGTATAGGTAGACCCAGAAGGCTGTTTCTGGCCCCTCCCACTAGTGCCATGACCCCCTTTCCCTCCCACGTGCAGTCATTGTGAGCAGAGTCTAGGTTCAAGCTGTCCTTGCTTTATTGTCTTCTACAAGCCTCATTTTTGTTTTCTGTGAAAAATGTTAGGACTTACCCTTCTCAGGTTTCAGTGAGGTTACATGTGATAATGGTGTGTTACCTGTCTCAGGGCTTGGCCTGTGACAAGGTGCTTAACAAAGTCCTTGCTCTTTTTTTCTTCTCCCCTTTCCTAATGGTTTCCAGTCAGTGACCAAGTGCTTTTTTTTTCTGTAAAGCAGTGAATTCGATTCTAGATAACATATATGTGTTTCCTAGCCTCAAAGCCATTGATTAAGCTCTCGTTAAGGAGGCAGGACACTTAGGCCTAAAATCTAATAGTCTGTGGGGTTGAACTAAGGAAGGGCAGAGCTGGGCTGGGCAGACAAGCTGTGTATGGTTTAGGAGTTGACGTAAAGGAGGATCTGGTCTGGGGGGACCACATGAGCCTGCCACTCAGGGAGGATCGGCTTATCTGTTATTACTAACAATGGGACCTTGCCAGTTTCCCGAGGAGGGATTTTGGTTTACATGTGAAAGTCTTGGACTGAACCAATTATGCTGGTTACATGAGCCCTTTCCGTAGCCATTATTCCCTGACATTCCCCTGGGTGCTTGAGTTCTGGCTCTAATATGCATTCGTCTTTTGCCAGATCTGTGTCGAGGGCAATATTGCAAGTGGGAAGACGACATGCCTGGAATTCTTCTCCAACGCGACAGACGTCGAGGTACAGCCTCTATGCTAGGTTTGAAGGAAGCGGAGAAAGCTTGATGGGATAATTTATAGAGGGTGTGGACTAACCTTGTCCAATAGGACTATAATTTGAGCCACAAGTGCAAGCCACAGGTGTAATTTAACATTTCTAATATCCTCATTAAAAAAACAAAAGGGGCCGGTGCAGTGGCTCAAGCCTGTAATCCTAGCACTTTGGGAGGCGGAAGCAGGTGGATTGCTTGAGCCCAGGAGTTCCAGACCAGCCTGGGCCACATGGCGAGACCCCATCTCTACAAAAATATGCCAGGCATGGTGGTACGTGCCTGTAGCTCCAGCTACTTGGGAGGCTGAGGTGGGAGGATTGCTTAAGCCCAGGAGGTGGAGGTTGCAGTGAGCTGAGATCACGCCATTGCATTGCATCCTGAGCAGCAGGAGTGAAACCCTGTCTCAAAAAAAGAAAAAAACCCACAAAAAATAAAAAGGACATTTTATTTCACATAACATATGCCAAATGTGATCATGTCAACATTTAATCAATATAAAAATCATCAATGAGCTATTTTGCATTCTATCTTGTTATACTAAGTCTTTGGAATATGATACTGGTTGAGCATCCCTTATCTGAAATGCTTGAGACCAGAAGTGTTTTAGATTTCAGAATTTTTCAGATTTTGGAATATTTGCATAAATGTAATGAGATATCTTGAGGATGGGACCCAAGCCAAAACACGAAATTCATTTATGTTTCATATATACATAGCCTGAAGGTAATTTTATACAATATTTTAAATAATTTTGTGAATGAAACAAGTTTGTGTTAAGTATTTATGTGTGGAATTTTTCATTTGAAGTGTCATATCGGTTTCCAGAAAGTTTTGGAGTTTGGAGCATTTAGGATTTTGGATTTTTCAATTAGGGATGCTCAAACTGTTTGTATTTGTAAAATAAGTGTAACTTATAGCATATCTTAATTTGGACTACTCATATTTCAAGGTCTTAATAGTTGCCTGTGGCTCATGGCCACTGTATTGGACAGTGCAAGTGTTGACTGCCTCAAAGTCTGGTTAGGAAAAGAGTCTACATGGGTAAGAAGAAAGGACAGGCTATTGAGCAGGGCTAGAAGTGTGACATCTGAGATAGCAATGTCTGAGCAGTGGGTATTACTATGCATAGGCAATTAATTTAATTTCTAGTTCATTTAAAGCCTAGTCACTAAAACTAACCTCAGAGATGTTTAAGAATCATCTCTACACTAAGACATTGACCTGTCTTCCTTGTTCTAGATTTTAGTGGTATAATCTTCTCTATTGATGGCTCTCTTTTGTTACTACAGAAGCTACAATTTCTATACTTTTATAGTCATTTTCTTTCCTTCTTCCCTTCCTTTCCTGTTTTTACTTCTGCTAGAAATATATGCATGGCCAGGTGTGGTGGCTGATGCCTGTAATCCCAGCACTTTAGGAGGCTGAAGGGGGAGGATCACCTGAGCCCAGTAGTTTAAGAGTAGCCTGGCCAACATGACAAAACCACATGTCTACAAAAAATACAAAACTTAGCTGGATGTGGTGGCACATGCCTGTAGTCCCAGCTGCTCAAGAGGCTGAGGTGGGAGGATTATTTAAGCCCAGGAGGTTGAGGCTGTGGTGAGCCAGGACTGTGCCGTTGAACTCCAACCTGGGTGACAGAGTGAGGCCCTGTCTCAAAAAAAAAAAAAAAAAGAAAAAAGAAAGAAAGAAAAGAAATATATATAGTTTGATAAAAATAATAATAAACATTATATAGCCCTTGTCCTGCTGTGTTCATGTGCTGCTGTGCAGGAAAGAGTTAACATAGCAGACCTAAGACTGCTGCCCTTTAGAAATGCCTGCTTGCAAGGGTGGTCTTTGGCTGGCATCTGGGAACTTAGATCTTGGGAGGGCCCCCACCATTCCTAACTGATAACAGTGGCTCTCTGCTTAAATTGTTTCTGCAAACAGTATGGTTTATGCTGACACCTGCTTTCTTCCTGGGAGTCCGGAATTTTGGTACATGTCAGGAAGTGGTTGTCTGCATGGCTGAGCGCTGATGAAAACCCTGAACTCCCAGGTTCAGGCCAGCTTGCCTGCTAGACAACATTTCACATGTATTGTCACATCTTGTTGCCTGGGGAATTCAGTGTGTACTGTGCAGCTCCTCTATGAGAGGACCCTTGGAAGCTTGTGCCTGGTTTCCTCCAGACTTTGCACCTGCCCTTTTTCCCTTTGCTGATCCTTTTTTCTTTTTCTTCCTTTTTTTTTTTTTTTTTTTTTTCTGAGATGGAGTCTTGCTCTGTCACCCAGGCTGGAGTGCAGTGGCATGATCTCGGCTCACTGCAACCTCCGCCTCCTGGGTTCAAGCAATTCTCCTGCTTCAGCCTCCCAAGTAGCTGGGATTACAAGCACCCACCACCATGCCCAGCTAATTTTTTTGTATTTTTAGTAGAGATGGGGTTTCACCATGTTGGCCAGGCTGGTTTCAAACTCCTGACCTCAAGTGATCCACCCACCTCAGCCTCCCAAAGTGCTGGGATTACAGGCGTGAGCCACCGTGCCCGGTCCCCTTTGCTGATCTTGTTTTGTGTCCTTTCGGTGTAATCCATCTTAGCTGTGAGTATGACTGCGTGTTGTGTCCTGTGAGTTCTCATGAATCATCAAACCTGGGGAGGAGGGGGGGCTTGGGGACTCTTGACCCCTGTCCTGAGTGATATGACTCTTAATGGCACTTTAGAAGTGCTTATAGTCTCACTGAAGACCTTGGACCCGATTAACAACGATAGTTAACATCCAGTGAGTATACTGCTATTTGCCCAACACTGTGTTGAGGGTTCATCATAAATACTAAATGATCTCACCCTCACAAGAATAGTCCCTCTGAAGTAGGTACCATTTTTACCACAGTTTTAGATGAGGAAACCATGGCCTAATGAGGTTAAGTGGCTTGTCCAGGGTCGCTAGGCCAGTGTATGATACAGCCAGATCCCAGCCCGGATACAGCCAGATCCCAGCCCAGGCTGTCTGGTTCCAGGGGCCACACCCTTGTTTGATTCTGTGGTACGAAGAGCTTTGTTGGCTTTAGGAAGACCACTCTCCCTTCAGATCTGAGCTCCGTGTCCCCTGACCTTCCCAGCGAGGTTATGCTTCCTGACAGAGGATCCCCTGGCCGCTCTGTACCTCTCTTTTATACCACTTCTTGGGGTTTGAAAACATGTTGGCTTCTGTGATTACCTGAGTAATGTCTGCTTCCCCTGGTAGGCTTAAGGTTCTGTGAAGGCAGAGGCTGGGCTGGTTTTGCTATTGTTGTGTCCTCAGTGCCTAGCATGGATATCTGGCACACAGTGGGCACTCAATAAATGTTTGTTGGGTGACAGTGCTATGGATGGAGCACCCCTGAGCTGGGTCGGGGAGCAAGGCTGCCTGTGACCCAGACTCTGGTGGGCCTGTGTGGTGCTGTGTATGCTACTTAGGGGCTAGGAAGAAGACCTAGAAGAAGGAGAGGGGGTTTGAGAGGGGCAGGGGAAGGGCATATTTGAACTGGATTTTGAAGGGTATACAGGAGTTTTCCATGTGATGAAAGTTGATGTGAAGTGGAATGGGGTGGGAATGCTGGTCAGAAGAAACAACGTAAGCAAAGACACAGAGTATCTTGCTTGAGGGTGGATCACTTGAGGTCAGGAGTGAAGGGTGGGGGGTGATTACTTTTCTTTTCTTTTTAGAGACGGAGTCTTGCTCTGTCACCCAGGCTGGAGTGCAGTAGCGCGATCTTGGCTCACTGCAACCTTTGCCTCCTGGGTTCAAGTGATTCTCCTGCCTCAGCCTCCCGAGTATCTGGGATTACAGGCATGCACCACTACATCCGGCTAATTTTTGTATTTTTAGTAGAGATGGGGTTTCACCATGTTGGCCAGGCTGGACTTGAACTCCTGACCTCAAGTGATCTGCCTGCCTTGGCCTCCCAAAGTGCTGGGATTACAGGTGTGAGCCACTGCACCCAGCCAGGGTGGCTACTTTTCAAGAGTTCCATGCATTGCCTGCCATTGGTCTTTTGTCACCTATGGCCCCTTCTCACATGTACTCTGAAAGTTCCCAGATGGATCCTGGCACTCTGAAGATCTTGGCCCCAAGAACACCATTTAAATCTTTTCTAGCACACACCTGCATACCCAGAAAGGCTCTAGCAGAGTCTGGGGTTGTCCCAGATTTGTGTGTCTAGACCACAGATGGAGGCTCTAGAAATGCCCAGCAGAGATCCTGATATGTGTCTGAAAACACACAGGATGTTGGAGAGATTGGCAGTCATCCTAAAAGGTACAAACAGGACCAGAGGGAAAGAATGCCTCCAAACCAGTGAGACAGGGAGCGTACTAAAGAAACAGGGACTATCAGCAGCCAGTGCACCCAGTGCAGTGATCAGAGGCAGGAAACGGAGGCAGGTGGCCTGCCAAGGCCTAGCCCTGTCCAGTGTCCCTCCTGGCTTCTCCCACCCACCTGCCAGCTTGATGTGGTAGGCAGGCAGGGGTGGGATAGAATACACAGAAGAGGGATGGACAGAGCCAGCTCTGACCTTGGGGAGGCTACCAGGGCAATAGAGAGGTAGGATGTACCTATGCTTGGCACATTGGGTAACATGGATAGAGTTATTCTCAGGACATTTCTGGAAGTAATGTGAGGAAGCCGTGTCTAGATAGAGTTGTGACCTCACGGGGGTTGTCAGCTATTTTGGCCTACCTTGGGCACCCAAATTTGGATAGTCTTTTTCTCTCTTTTTCCCTTCTCTCCTCACTTTCCCCTCAACACTTACACACTTTTACAGGGTTCAGCACAGAGAAACAGTAGCTCTGATGTTTTCTTTCCTTCCAGGTGTTAACGGAGCCTGTGTCCAAGTGGAGAAATGTCCGTGGCCACAATCCTCTGGTGAGTGGGTTGTTGGTTGCATGAACCCCCGGCTTCCCCTTAAGCACCTGAGAATGATGGTGCCTCTGCCTGAGCCCTGCCTGCCCAGGCATTCTCTGCGCTCTTAACTGAGTTGGAGAAGACCAGGGAGGGACAAGCAGAAAATGGTGGCATGTTGGTGTTCTGAGGTCAAGGATCTCTGAGGCCTGAGTGGCTGTGCACAGAGCCTAGGGACTTCCCGTCAGCTATCCCATACTATTCCCAGTGGCCGACCTTAGCCACTAGGGGTGTCCATTTCTTGTTGCTCATTCCAGCCTTCCCCTCCCCTAGAAGAAACCTATCAGAACCCGGGACTTCTCAGGCCTAACCCCCCCAGGACCTATCTCTAAGTAACCAGGATCCTTGGTGGACCCCTGACTTGGGTTTGCAAACTTGGCCCTGTCTGGTAACAGGGGCCACCTCTGGCTTACCTGGAAGCCACCAGCCTGCTTTCCCAAGGGTGAACCTAGCAACAGGGGCTGTAGTGTGCTGTGTCCCTTCCTTCACCTTCCCCAATTCGAGGTTCTGCTCTGGTTGCTTGAAAGAGATGGATAGAATCTGGGTCCTGCAAGAGAGAGCTTTAGAAGAGGATGTTGGTTCTG
This sequence comes from Homo sapiens, assembly GCF_000001405.40. Classification (NCBI taxonomy): domain Eukaryota; kingdom Metazoa; phylum Chordata; class Mammalia; order Primates; family Hominidae; genus Homo; species Homo sapiens. Next base: position 66,536,343 of record NC_000016.10, on the reverse strand, counting down.
AGCTCCCATCCCATGAGGTAGGGATGATTAGTCTCATTTTTCAGCTTAGGAAATTGCACTTATATAAGTTGCCTGAGGTCACACAGCTAGTAAATGGACTTGGAAGCCTGTGCTGCCCTGTGATTTTTTTTTTTTTTTTTTGAGATGGAGTCTCAGTCTGTCCCTAGGCTGGAGTGCAGTGGCGCGATCTCGGCTCACTGCAACCTCTGTCTCCCAGGTTCAAGCGATTCTCCTGCCTCACTCTCCTGACTAGCTGGGACTACAGGTGCGCACGACCATGCCCAGCTAATTTTTGTGTTTTTAGTAGAGACAGGGTTTTACCATGTTGGCCAGGATGGTCTCCATCTCCTGACCCTCATGAGCCACCCACCTCAGCCTCCCAAAGTGCTGGGATTACGGGCGTGAGCCACTGTGCCCGGCCATGCCCTCTGATTTTTAGCAACACAATTGGCATCTCCTGTGTGGTTCATTAGACTCTGAGTTCTACTAGGAGCAGGGACTGTATCTACTTTGTTCATTGTTATTTGCTAAAACCAAGGCACACTGCCTAGCACTTAGTAGGGGCTTGTGCATTCATCCATTCATTCAACCAATATTCAGTGCATGTCAGCCATGTGGCAGACACTGTTCTGGATGATATGGCAGTGATAAATTCAAAGCCCTTGCTCTCCTGCCCCTAATATTCCAGTGTGGGGAGGCAGAAGTCAAACATATAATCTGGCGGGTGGTGATAGGGCCTAGGAAGAAAACTAAAGCAGGTGAAAGGATGTTTCTTAAATAAGGCAAAACCTCTCAGTCTTTCAATAAAGAATCCTAAAGAGACATGAGAAGAATTTCTTCTCTGTGCATTCGGGAGAAGATGGAATACCAGTCATCTTCTTTGGATATAACAAAGAAACCTCTGTAACATTCATATTCTCTAGAAGCCAAGGAGGAACCCAGGCTTAGTTATTAAGTAAGACAGCTAGAGTTGCAGGTGTTAGGGATCATAAGTGACGTTTCACGGGACAGAATCACAGCCTCAGAAGTCTTAGTGTCCTTGGTACAGATAGCCTTTTCAATGAGAGTTTCCTAATAAAAAATACAATAGAAGTAGCCATTTTTATATAAGTTTCCACTCTAGACCAAAAGAAAGATCGATACTTTTGTGAAAAATCTCAATTCATCACTTTATCTGAATTGGTTTTCTGATGCAGAAAGGTGACTGTTTCTGCGGCCATCAGGCAAGAGGGAGTGTTTCTCCTAGCCTTTATGAGATTTTCTCTCAACTGCAGTCAGAGGAGTCTGCAGTTCTCAATGAAGAACACTGGAGTTTCATTAGTTTGCACCAAGAGAAAAATGAAAAGCAAAAATGAGGAAAAGGCCGGGTGTGGTGGCTCATGCCTGTAATCCCAGCACTTTGGGAGGCCAAGATCAGAGGATCACTTAAAGCCAGGAGTTTGAGACAACCCTGGTCAACATAATGAGACCTCCATCTCTAAAAGAAATAAAAGTAAATAAAATTAATTTAAAAATGAGGAAAGGAGCAGAACAGGTTTCTTAGCAAGTATGCTGGAGCATGAAGTGTTTTGCTTCTAGAAGGGATGGAGAGTGATTGAGTAGGTGGGTTGGCTTCTGTTTTACATGAGATAACCAGGGAATGTGTCTATGATAAGGTGCTTAAACATGAGGGTGTGAGCACTGCAGATATCTGGATGAAGAGTGTTTAGGCAGAAGGCGCTGCAGAGGCAAAGGCCCTGAGATGGGACCATGCTTGGCATGTTTGAGGAATGCTAAGTAAGCTCATGTGGTTGGAAGCCAACCAGGCCAGAGGGAGATGGGTAGGAGATGAGAGAAAGCCTTGTGGGCCATGATAAGGGTTTGGATTTCATTCTGCATGCAATGGGAAGCCACTGGAAGGTTCTGAGCAGGGGAGTGGCAAGAACTGATTTAGGTTTCACAGACTCACTCTTGTGGCTGGATAGAGAACAGACTACAGAGGGCTCAAAGACCATTCACTGAACGACTTGAACGCATGTTCCTTGGTGATTTTATTTTATTTTTTGAATTTCCAAAGAAAAGTAATTTATTTTTTGCAGTTAGGGCAGCTGAGAAGTCCAGGGTTGAAGGGGTGCATCTGCTGAGGGCTTTCTTGCTAGTGGGGACTCTTCAGAGTCCCCAGGTGGTACAGGGTGTCACATGGTGAGGGAGTTGAGCATGCTAGGTCAGGTCTCTCTCCCTTTTCTCATAAAGCCACCAGTGTAAGATAACCCATTAATCTATTAATCCGTGAATAGATTAATCCATTCAAGAGGGCTCTGTACTCATGATCCAATCTTTTTTTTTTTTTTTTTTTTGAGACAGAGTCTCACTCTGTCGCCCAGGCTGGAGTGCAGTGGCGCGATCTCGGCTCACTGCAAGCTCCGCCTCCTGGGTTCGCGCCATTCTCCTGCCTCAGCCTCCCGAGTAGCTGGGACTACAGGCGCCCACCACCACACCTGGCTAATTTTTTGTATTTTTTAGTAGAGACAGGATTTCACCGTGTTAGCCAGGATGGTCTCCATCTCCTGACCTCGTGATCCGCGCACCTCGGCCTCCCAGAGTGCTGGGATTACAGACGTGAGCCACCATGCCCGGCCGATCCAGTCATTTCTTAAAGGCACCACCTGCTACATACTGCCACATGGGGGATTAAGTTTCCAACACATGAAATTTAGGGGATTCATTCAAACCAAAGTATTATTTGTTAAAGATGATCTTAAAGAGCTTAACTTCTTTAAAAATTTTAAACTTATTTATTTATTTATTTATTTTGGAGATAGGGTCTTGCTATATCACCCAAGCTGGAGTGCAGTGGCACAATTATAGCTCACTGTAACCTTTAACTCCTGGGCTCAAGTGATCCTCCTGCCTTGGGCTCCCAAAGTGCTGGGATTATAGGCATGAGCCACTGCACCTGGCTCTCTTTTCTTTATGCTAGAAACATTCAAATTATTCTCTTATAGCTTTTTTTTTTTTTTTTTTTTTTTGAGATGGAGTCTCGCTCTGTCACCCAGGCTGGAGTACAGTGGCATGATCTGCCTGGCCAGCATGGTGAAACCCCGTCTCTACTAAAAATACAAAAAAATTTAGCTGGGTGTGGTGGTGCATGCCTGTGATCCTAGCTACTTGGGAGGCTGAGGCAGGAGAATCGCTTGAACCCAGAAGGTAGAGGTTGCGGTGAGCTGAGATCATGCCACTGCACTTCAGTCTGGGTGACAGAGCAAGACTCTGTTTAAAAAAAAAAAAAGATTTTTATCAAAAAGACAGGTGATAGGTGTGGAGAAAGGGGAACCCTCATACATAGTTGGTGGGAATGTAAATTAGTACAGCTACTATAGAGAACAGTTATGAAGTCAGGCAGTGTGATGCCTCCAACTTTGTTTTTTTTGCTCAGGATTGCTTTGGCTATTTGGGGTCTTTTGTGGTTTCATATCAATTTTAGGATTTTTTTTTTCCCTATTTTTGCAAAGACTGTCATAGGTATTTTGATAGAGATTACATTGAATCTGTAAATTGCTTTGGGTAGTATTGTCATTTTAATAGTATTAGTTCTTCTGATCCATGAGTGTTGAATATCTCTTTTTTTGTGTGTGTTCTGTTCAATTTCTTTCATCAGTGTTTTATAGTTTTCCTTGTATAGATCTTTCACTTCTTTGGTTAAATAGATTCCTAGGTATTTTACTTTTATTAATTAATTAATTAATTTATTTTTTTTTTCGAGACAGGGTCTCACTCTGTCATCCAGGCTGGAGTACAGTGGTACGATCTCGGCCCACTGCAGCCTCTGCCTCCTGGGTTCAAGCGATTCTCATGTCTCAGCCTCTAGAGTAGCTAGGACCACAGGTGCGTGCCACCACACCCAGCTAATTTTTTGTATTTTTAATAGAGACAGGATTTCGTCATGTTGGCCAGGCTGGTCTTGAACTCCTGGCCTTGAGTGATCTGCCTGCCTCAACCTCCCAAAGTGCTGGGATTACAGGCATGAGCCACTGTGCCTGGCTGGTATTTTATATTCTTTGTAGCATCGCAAATGGGATTCCTTTCTTGATTTCTTTCTCAGGTTGTTCACTGTTGGTGTATATACATGCTACTGATTTTTATATGTTGATTTGTATCCTGTGGTATTACTGAGTTCGTTCATCAGTTCTAACAGTTGTTTGGTGGAGTCTTTAAGGTTTTTTTTTTTTTTTTTTGGTCATTTCAACTTTTATTTTACTTTTAGCGGGGTACATGTGCAGGTTTGTTACCTGGGTATATTTCATGATGCTGAGGTTTAGGGTATGATGGATCCCATCACCTAGGTACTGAGCATAGTACCCAATAGGTACTTTTTCAACCTTTGCCCCCTCCCTTCCTCCCCACTCTAGGAGTCCCCAGTGTCTATTGTTGCCATCTTTATGTCCATGAGTACCCATTGTACCCACTTATAAATATCCACTTAAAGTGAGAACATGCAGTATTTGGTTTTCTGTTCCTGCATTAATTAGCTTAGGATAATGGCCTGAGTCTTTAAGCTTTTCTAAGTGTAAGATCATGTTGTCCGTGAACAAGGTTAAGATGACTTCTTCCTTTCCAATTTGGATGCCCTTCATTTCTTTGTCTGGCCTAATTCCTCCGGTCCCTCGGAGACTTTCCATAGGCTCCTATTATAGCTGTTACCATACTGTCCTATAATTGTTTCAGTGTCTGCCTTTGTCCACCCTGCTGTCAGAGCCCTGTGATCATGCTGGGTTTATCTCCAGCCCCAACCCTGCCTGTGTAGGTTTCTTGAGCTGTCCTTCAGTGCCTTGTGAGACCAGGGTCCTCCTGCAGATGCCACTTTGATGGAAAGTGCTGTGTTTTCCCTTCTGCAGGGCCTGATGTACCACGATGCCTCTCGCTGGGGTCTTACGCTACAGACTTATGTGCAGCTCACCATGCTGGACAGGCATACTCGTCCTCAGGTAGGTTTCAGATGCTCAGTTTCAGCCTTCTTAAACGTTTTCTTCAGACTTGGGGTATGTGATTGCCAGGAAGGGAAACTTTACAAGGAAGCCAGGCTAGGCCTTCAGTGCTGTGCAGGCCTCTCTGTGTGGGGCCAAGGTCTCTGGCTTCTGTGGTTCTCTTCTGACCTGCCTCTAGTGCCCCCACCTGCAAACCTCAGCCAGCCAGGTGGTGCCCCTGCCACCATTCTGAGCTCACATCTTTATGACCTGACCACTGCTGGGCTTAATGCCGTTTAACTCAGTTCTTCTCAAAGTGTGGTCCCTGGACCAGCAGCGGAAGCATCACCTGGAAACTTGTTAGAAATGCACATTTTCAGCTGGGTGTGGTGGATCCCACCTGTAATCCCAGCACTTTGGGAGGCTGAGGCATGCGGATCACCTGAGGTCAGGAGTTCAAGACCAGCCTGGCCAACATGGTGAAACCCCATCTCTACTAAAAAATACAAAAATTAGTCTGGCGTGGTGGTATGTGTGTGCCTATAATCCCAGCCACTTGGGAGGCTGAGGCAGGAGAATGGCTTGAACCCAGGAGGCGGAGGTTGCAGTGAGCTGAGATCATACCACTGCACTCCAGCCTGGGTGACAGAGTGAGACTCTGTCTCAAAAAAAAAAAAAAAGAAAGAAATGCAAATTTTCTAGTCACATCCCAGACCTGCTGAATTAGAAATTCTAGGGATGAGGCCCAGCAATCTGTGTTTTATCAAGCCCTCCAGGTGACTCGAATGCATGCTTTGTTTGTTTTCATATTTGAGAACCACTTATTTAACCTTCATGGGGTCTGGCTCTTAGTTCAAATTCTTGAGACAAAGAATCTGATTGGTTCAGCTTTGGTCAGGTGTCCAGCCCTGGTTCAATCAGGTGTTGGGGACAGGACCCCAAGGCACAAACATGGCTGCTTAGGCCTATTCCATCAGTGAGGATGCATCTAGAGACAGAGTCTCTTAGAAGAAAGGGGGCTGTGGAGGTCCTGATCAGCACCTATGTTTCAAAGCTGTAAGCACAACCTATGATGCCAGCTTTAAGGCTCTGCATGAAGGAGACAGACTGTCCCTACAGCCAGTTAACACTGGCACAGCTGCTGGGCTGGACAGTTCGGTCCCAGTCTGGGTACCTGCAGCAATAGCTACCATTCTTCTGTAAGTCTGTCTTTTAAAATTGAAAGATGTGAGTGGGCCGTTTTTGGTGAATAAGAATTTCCATCTCCCCAAATATCTGTCTAAATTGCACAAATCCACAAATCGAAAGATCTGAGGTTAGTGCATTTTGCCTTTGCTAATTTGCTTTTCCTGAGCAGGCACTCAATTGCAAACCTAAGTTGTATCTAATGATATTTGAATAGGAAGGGATATAAATGCACTCCTCTATTTAAGGAAATCTACCTCAGGAGGCAGAGAGAGATGGACAGACCAGGAAAGATGAGCAGAAGGAGACCAGAGGGATGAATGGGGAGCTAGGAAGTAAGGAAAGAGAGGATGGAAGAATGGAAAGGAAGATGGATGGGCAGAGGATGGATGGACAGAGGGACAGCAGGGAGAGGGAGGAAGTGCCTGGGTTATGGCTTTGAATCTGCCTTGGATTTGTTGGCCCAGGTCCCATGGGTGCTGTGGGCCATGGCCAAGTGAGAGTAGTGTTAGTGTGCCTGGCATCAAGGGTCAGGGCGCCTCTTGCTTCCCAGAGGAACGCTGGACAAAGGGCAAGGTCGTCTGCAGAGGGTTTGAGCATCCTGGCAGAAAGGGGCACTGTCAGGCTGTCTTCCTCCCTCTTGGGCATCGTTCTTACCAGTTTCCTTGGGCAGAGCCCCCAGAACGTCACCCCCAACCCGACCCTCTTGGGGCTGTACCTCATGCATGTGGTCCCTCTGCTTAAGCAAACTCACCCTATTTAGGTCCGTGGTAGTCACCACATGTTGCCTCAAGTGGACAGCTTTGGATGGTTTCTCCAGGGCTTGACCGTGTTCTAGTTGAGACTCACCTGCCATCAAAGAGGCAGCTGCTGATGAGCCCTCAGCCTCGGCATTGCTGGGCCATGCATGCAGCTTTGGGGTGTGGGGCAGGTCAGGGTGGAAGGGGGACACAGCCTGAGCCTGGTGGCAGATGTGGCTTCTCCTCCCGGCAGGGGAGTGAGGAGGTCCTCCTGCTTCACTCTCTCTGCCGCCTTGATTCTCATATTCAGCAAAGTCCCCAGGCAGGGGGAGTAACAGACATTTCTCAAGGCCTCCTGGCTGTCTCCTTTTCCCCTGAGTTAGTGATTCTCTTTTTGTTTTCCTTTAGGTGTCATCTGTACGGTTGATGGAGAGGTCGATTCACAGCGCAAGATACATTTTTGTAGAAAACCTGTATAGAAGGTACTGTAGTTTGAATAGTTGATAATTTATTAAACCACTAATTTTTCAAAATGAAATAGAAACTTGTTTATTCGATTGACAGATATGGAGTACCCGCTGTTGTATCAGTTATCCATTGCCATAGCAATGCGGTGTAACAAACAGCCACGAATCCTCATGGCAGACAGCTATCTGCATTCATTGCCCAGTCAGCCAGGGTGGTCACCAGGCAGCTCTGCTTACCTTGGCTAGGCTCAATGAGATGTCTGGGGATCAGCCGATGTAGGATAGCCTAAGCAAGGGTGACTGGAGGTGGCTCATCTCTTTTCCTCTTGCCTGTCACTCTCCTTCTGGGACCAGCAAACCAGCCCAGGTGTCCACTTCTCACGGTGACAAAGGGTAGAAGCAACAGCAGAGATGCAAGGACATATTTTTCAGGCCTCTGCTCCAAGTTTGCTAGCATTCCATTGGCCAAAGCAGATCACATGGTCACATGAGCCCAGGGTGGAAAGGTGGGAGGGTCCAGTGAGTTACACAGCATGGTACAAGGCTAAAGGGAAGGGTGGAGAGTTGGGCGAGTCAGACGCACAGTGTGCGTCGCATTTGTTGTGTTTTTCACTAAAAGCTTCCCTCATGAGAGCAGACTCTGTGATGTATACCTAGTTAGGGGCTTCTGGTGGCCTGTCAGTGCCAAGGGCTCAGGCATGGGGCCCTCCATCCCTGTGCTCAGAGACTGCCGATTTCTAGGGGTCTTGGAAATGGGTTGCAGACCCCACCTGTCCCTGCCGCGAGCTTGGGATACTGCTGTCCTTCCCTCGCAGAGCTGTTCGGATGTCAACGCTGGAGGCCCTTCCTCCCACTCTCATCTGCAGCTGTCTTCCTAAATGCCACCCTGTCTCCCAGCCCTCCCCGACCACGCTGTCTAGATAGGGCAAGCTCCTTGTTAGTCTTTGTTTCGTTTTTGGTTTTGGTTTTTGTTTTTTGAGGCAGGGTCTGGCTCTATCACCCAAGCTGGAGTACGGGGGCACGATCTCAGCTCACTGCAACCTCCGTCTCTCAGGCTCAAGCCATCGTCCTGCCTCAGCCTCCCGAGTAGCTGGGACTACAGGCACACACCACCACACCTGGCTATTTTTTTTGTATTTTTAGTAGAGGCAGGATTTCGTCATATTGCCCAGGTTGGTCTTGAACTCCTGGGCTCAAGTGATCCTCCTGCCTTGGCCTCCCAAAGTGCTGGGATTATAGGTGTGAGCCACTGTGCCTGGTCCCCTTGTTATTCTTAAGGACTACTTTCTGTTAGTTTTCTTTGTAGTATTTAAGGCAATCATATGAAATTGTTTAACCAATTATGACCTACAAAAATGGCAGTTTTGTGTGGTTCAACTTAGTATGTGTCTAATTGTTTATTGCCACCCACCCCCCCGGACCATAAGCTCCTAAGGGCAGGCACCAAGTTTGTTGTCCTTGCCTAGGGTGGACCCAGCACAGAGCAGGCTCCTCGTTGATACCTGTTAGCTATTGTTGGATGAGGGGACCTGTGGCTGTGCTTTGGTCTCCAGCCCAACTTGTTCCCCAGGCTCTGGTCCCCCACTGTTTTGCACCTTTCATTTGAGGGGCCACTAAAAAGGCTTCTCCTAGGAGCCCTGAGCTGCCATGGATCATGCCTTTGAGCCTGTGTCACCCCCCAAAATGAGAGCCTCTGCCCCAAATCCACCCAGAGCATCAGAGCAATGCTGTGGGCTCAGGGGCTGGCAGCCAAGGTGAGTCCTGGCCGTGGCTTTGCCCCCTGGCCTCAGACTTTTCTTGTGGGCTGCAGCTTGCCCTCTGAGCAGGTGGCATTCCTGACCTTACGGCCCCATTTTCACCTGACAACCTGGGTTTCCAGGTGTCCACTGCTAGGTTTATCCAGCCCTCTGCGGTCCTCAGCTCCTGCTCCTTAGCACCTCAGCCAGAGGGAGGACAGGCAGGACAGAGGAGAGCGAGAGCAGAAGGGAGCCTCTGTTATGTTTGTGTACTGCTCTGATTAGAACTGTAACCCGAGGCGGAGGTTGCAATGAGCCGAGATTGCGCCACTGCACTCCAGCCTGGGCAACAGAGCGAGACTCCGTCTCAAAAAAAGAACTGTAGCCTGAGGAACAGATCTTGGCAGTGGGGTGGGATTACCTATGAACCTCGCAGAGTGGGGCTGTGTCTGTCTTTTAATCACATTCAGCTTGGCCTGTTCTGTGTGGGGTCAGTGGCTCTTGTTGCTTTTTTTATTTTTGAGATGGGCTTGTGCTCTGTCACCCAGACTGTAGTGCAGTGCCATGATCATGGCTCACTGCGGCCTCGATGTCCTGGGCTCAAGAGATCCTCCTACCTCAGCCTCCTGAATAGCTGGACCTACAGCACATGTCACCACTTCTGGCTAATTTATTTCTTATTTTTTGTAGAGACAGGGTCTCCCTGTGTTGCCCAGGCTGGTCTCAAACTCCTGGGCTCAAGCGATCCTCCTGCCTCAGCTTCCCAAAGTACTGGGATTACAGGCATGAGCCTGATTACAGCTCTGCTCGGCCTCGTGGCTCTTTTTGAAGCAAGTAATCTGGAATGGAATGACCAGAGGTTAAGGGGAGAGGATAGAGTGTGGCATTTGGTGGGCCTGGGTTCTATCCTGGCTCTGAAGTTTGCTCTGTTTGTGAGCAAGACCAAGTTTCTAAATTTCTCTGAGCCCATCTCTCATCTCTGATTCCTCTTGTCCATCTCTGAAGAGCCTTTGGACCTGCCACCTCCTTCGTGTCTTAGGACCCTTTTGTGGGTCCTTGCCCACCTTGGTCTTTATTAAATTTGTGAGTTCCCCAATCCTACCCCCAAACCTGTAGGCCACCCAGCGCTAGGTAGATTTCCCCAGGAGCCATTTGTCTTTGTTTGGCCGGTCACAGTTCCTGCTGATGGCCATGGGCTTTGGTAACTCACGCCCATGGTCCTGCATCACCACATTTCTGATGCGTCAGTTCTGTATCTCCCAATCTCTGTGGTTACGGCATTGGTCTAGATGACATGGGCCTTGCCTGGAGCTGTTCTGTGGGTAGTTTAGGAAGAGAATGTAGCTTTTAATTTTTTTAGCTCTTTTCCTGTCCTGATGACTTTATATTTATGTCTCTCCCTGGCCCTCCCAGAATGCATGGCCTCTGTGGTTAGGATTTCTGTGGGACAATGAACCACAGAAGAAACTTACAGTGTCCTTTCTGTTCTTGGGATCTAATTGTTTTAAGTTCATATGGCTTTCGGGGGGCTCAGATTCCCCTGAAGACCTTGTTGGGGCCTTGAGATCCATCACTGGGATCTCTTGAAGCCAAAGGCTCTCAGTGGGCATGTGGCCTCGGGCACTCCAGAGGCTACTGGGAGCACTGTGGCTGCCTGGAGGGCCAGGCTATCTACCATGGTCTCCAGAGAGATGAGAAAAGGCGGTGTTCCTCAGACCCTTTCATCGGATTCCTCTGAAGGCAGAGGAAAGCTCCCCACAGCACTGCTTCCTCATCCTCCCAGACCCTGTGGTCCAAAGCAGCCACCTGCCAACAACCCAGAAGTTTCTTGGAGTCTCCTATTTTAACCTAGAATTCATTGGGATTTTGCATTTTCCTCCATAATATGTTCTTAAGTTTGTATCTAAAAATAATAATTTACATAACTTATCATTGAGGACAATGGATGTTCCTGTATTAAACACCATGCTTTGCATGTGGCTTGGAGTTCCCACTCCCTCAGCCACATACCCCAGAGTCCCTAAGTCCAGGAGGCAGAGAACCAAGGGGTAGCGGCATTCAAAACACCTTCCCAGGGCAAGTGATTCACTTGTGAACTGCACCTGCTTATGTGTTCCCTGGAAACGGGGGCATCTGCTCTCATGGTTAAGGAACAGGGCAGGGACCCATGGACAGGAGCTGCATTTACTGTCTGGTTGTTGACCCTATTGGGCAGATAAGGAACTGAGAAAGGATTACAAAGCCAGTGCTCCTTCCTGATCGGGCAGGAACTAACCACAGGAGGGGAAGGTGTTCCGAACCCTGCTGTGTGGGGGCAAGCAGCAAATGAGGAAGTGGCAGGAGGCATCTAGATTTCTCTCATCAAGGCCAAAGGCTTCAGGGCCCACTGGGTTCCCCAAAGCTGAGAATCCTGAGGTACTAGCCCAAGGGGGAGACTCTGCCTCTTTCCAGACAGGCTTTACCCTAAGCTTCTCCCACAACCACCTGTGCATCTTGTTTACAGGCAGATTCCACTTCAGTAGCACTGAGGTGGGGCCTGAGAGGCCACATTTCTAGCAGGTGCCCAGGTGGGACCATACTCCTACTGGTCGGGGATCACACTTTGAGGAATACGGGCCTCAGAAGAAGGTGGCAGGGCCGGGTGTAGTGGCTTATACTTGTAATCCCAGCACTTTGGGAGGCAGAAGGGGAAGGATCACTTGAAGCCAGGAGTTCGAGACCAGCCTGGGCAACAAAGTAAGACTCCCATCTCTACAAAAAATTTAAAAAATTAGCTGGGCCTGGTGGTGCACATCTGTAGTCCCAGCTACTTAGGAGGCTGAGGCAGGAGGATTACTTGAGCCCAGGAGGTCAGGGCTGCAGTGAGCTATGAGCATACCACTGCACTCCAGCCCAAGTGACACAGTGGGACTTTGTCTCAAAAAATAAAAATAAAAAAAGCTGGTAGCCAGGTGGTCCACAGGGCGCCCTCCATCCCAATGCCACGACCCTTTTCCCCTGGAGTTCTGACGGTAAGGTGGGCTTCCTTGGGGCTTCACTGGACCTTTGGGGGTCATAAGAACAAGAGCCTCGGCCTGAGGGTTGTCTTTGGGACCATGGTGAAAAGTTCTGCGCAGTGCAGGATTTCCTGTTTCCTGCACCTGGCCTGTGGTTTCTTAATTTCACATTTGTTGCTTCATATTTGGGTTGCTGGGGGCTGTGTTGTGTTATCTTTGTTTTTAAGGTTTCTGGACTTATTCCTAGGCCAAGAATCAGGCAGCCATAGGGCAAAGTAAAAAGTATTTTTAGCCAGAGCCACAGAAGGGATAAAGGGAAGGAAGACTAGAGCTTGGCCACTCTCCGGACAACTCCAGCTGCCCTCGATGGAGCGGTCATCCACAACGAAGTATTACTGAGAAAGTAGATGTGGGGTTTTTTTGTTTTTTGTTTTTTGTTTTTTTGATTTTGAGACAGAATCTTGCTCTGTTGCTCAGGCTGGATCACTCAGGCGATCTCAGCTCACTGCAACCTCTGCTTCCCAGATTCAAGCAATTCTCCTGCCTCAGCCTCCCGAGTAGCTGGGATTACAGGCGCCCACCACCACGCCTGGCTCATTTTTGTATTTTTAGTAGAGACAGGGTTTTACCATGTTGGCCAGGCCGGTCTCGAACTCCTGACCTCAAGTGATCTGCCTGCCTCAGCCTCCCAAAGTGTTGGGATTATAGGCGTGAGCCACCATGCCTGGCCAAAGTAGATGTTTTTAGAGGTTTCGGCTCCTTCAAAATGCAGATTACTGTCATTGTCACTACCTATGCAAAATGTAGCATAGAACTGACTTTGGCTGGGTCCTTTGCCCATACCTAGAATAAGGTGTCTTGGTTCCCACCTGCAGGGAGTTCAGCCAGGTACTGGGAACCACACGGTGGCATGTGGGGCGTCAGCTCCTGCCTGGGAGCTCGTGTTTCCTCATTTCCTGGGATGCTCTAGGAAAAGGCTTCCCAAAATGCCATGATGGGGAGCCCTTCACAAGGTGGGAGGGCACATTACCATTGCCCCTTCAGTGCTTGGGTTGATCTTTTTCTCCCTCTCAGAAGCTCTTGCAACCTTGGTTCAGGATCTGTGGGGGCCTAGACAGAAGGCTATATGGCAGGCTCAGGTCCCCAGAAAAGCCCACATATTGGAATCCTGCATCTCCTCGAAGTAAAATTTCTTGAAGGGTGTTCTTGCTCTTTGGGCTGTGAACAAATGAAGAGCTCGCCAGGGAAAAGACCCACCTCTTCTGGCACTGTCTACCCTGGCGAGGTTGGGGTGTGCAGAATGTAACTGCAGTTATGCCACCAGGGATTCGAGAGGGCTGTGTTAATTGCTGGAGAGGAAGATTCCAGTTACACAGTATCCTTAAAGACGGGAACTTCTTTTTCTTTTTTTTGAGACGGAGTTTTGCTGTTATTGCCCAGGCTGGAGTGCAGTGGTGCAATCTCGGCTCACTGCAGCCTCCACCTCCCGGGTTCAAGCGATTCTCCTGCCTCAGCCTCCCGAGTAGCTGGGATTAGTCATGTGCCACAACGCCCGGCTAATTTTGTATTTTTAGTATAGATGGGGTTTCTCCATGGTGGTCAGGCTAGTCTCGAACTCCCGACCTCAGGTGATCTGCCTGCCTCAGCCTGCCAAAGTGCTGGGATTACAGGCGTTAGCCATTGCGTCTGGCCAAAGACAGGAACGTGTAAGGGGCAGGCAGCTGGCTGGCATGAAAAGCTGAAGGTGGTGAGCAAGATTCATGTAGCTAAAGAGGCCACACAGGTGACTGTGTGGGCCGAGTAATGGGAAGCAAAGGTTTTACAAGATTGCCTGGTCGTCCTTTTCTAAGAACAGAAGTGAGGGCGTGGAGTGGGACCCAGCTCGGGAAGTGGCATGCTGACTCACCTGTGGCTTGTGGTTGGGGACACTGAGTAAGACCTGGTGTTTGGAACCACAGGCTGGGCCTCCTCCCCTGCTGATTGGCCCAGGGGCTTAAGTTCTTCCCAGCTCCTGTCTAGACTGAAACCTCCTGGTGTGGGTCATGCGCCTAAGAGCTGTGGCCTTCCTGGAGCTCAGGCTAGAGAGACACTGGACTTGATCCGAGTCAGCTGACAGACTGGGGTGGGCGGGTGGTGCAATGGAGAGCATTTGGGTTTGGGGGTAGGGAGAGCCAGGCTTGGACCCCTGCTCAGACAGAGTTGGCCTTCACTTCTCTGATCCTCAGGTTTCTTCTATAAACTGGGACTGAAGCCAGCCTCACAAGGTCTTGTGAAAACAAAAGGAAATAACGTATACAAGGGAGCTCTTCCATTCCATTCCGCACAGACTGGGGGGCTCTCTTGGCCTCAGGGAAGGATGCAAGAAATTGTACTGATGTAACAGCAGGATTCATGTGGATCAAGACCTTGGTTTTGCCCCCTTGGGGTCAGGGCAAGGGTGAGACCCCCATGCCCACTGTTGAGTTGTGTGCTTGGATTTGCCAAGCTTGGATTTGCTTGGTATTGCTCTCCGTGCATTCTGTAGAAATAAAGGCAGTGGCTTGTCTTGTCGGTGGTGTGGGGAGCCCCATGCTTGAGACAGACACAGGAGGAGCTGGGCAGAGTTCCTAGGAGGAAATACAGTTAGAGCAGCGCCCACTGTGCCCCATGTCCCTCGGAGTCATGGAGATCAGGCTTCTGTTTCCTCACTCAGCTCAGACACTGGTCATTCAGTCCTCCTGGATCCCCCAGCCTCTTCTGGCACATGGTTCTAGTCATGGAAGGGTTTTCAATAGGTCTGGCCTACTGACCCTGCCCATGGGAGGCCACCCGACCAAGGACCCCTTCCAAGAGCATTGGGAAGGGAGAGGCTGCCCCTCAGTCTGCACCAACCCTGTGGGGGAAGCCTTTTGTTTGGCTGTGATGGGGGTGGGAGTGGGAGGCCCCTGTGACTACCTGGAGCCGATTCCCAGGGGAGCTGTGGCAGGGGCAGAGCCACCGGAGTCTGTCAGTCCCAGAGTCCCCCACAGGTGTGACCCCCTCCCCATGTCTCCATGTGCAGACCCCCGTGTACTGTGACTGTTTTGCAGTGGTGGTTGGTTTGGTTTTAGTTAACACTGCTTCATTTGTTCTGAGCTGTGGTTCAGTTCCATGATCATATCTGTGGGCACCCTCCCAGCTCTGGGATTGGACAGAGTCTCCCTCGAGCTGTGCAGACGCATGAGGTACTCCGGTGGCTAGTCCAGCCTTGGACACTTGGGAGACTGTCCCATGGGCAGCTCAGCTTCTCCCCAGTTGCTGCTAACTGGCCCCACCCCTTTGGTGCCACCTCTTCTGTGCCCTCAAGCCATGAGTTTGCTGGAGTAGGCGAGAAGCTAATCAGCAGCTTCCTCATTGCACATCCTCATTTTCTTAGAGTCAATTTTGTTCTCAGTCTTCTTTTTCCAGAAAAGGAAAATAAGAGATAGTGGTTTGGTTTCTTGAACATCAAATATTCGGAGCTGAACTAACTGAAACCCAACTCAGGGTAGCCTGAACAATGAGGTGTCATCAACTCCCAACAGATGGCTTATTTGGTGCCTCTGGCCTGGTTTCTCTACATTTTGCTACTGTGCATCCTGTTCGTGTCCTCATGCAGTTCTCTCAGGGTGACAATGTAGTCGTGGCAGCATTGGGCTTCTCACTCGCTGGTTGGAGTAAGGGCAGGTGTCTTGCTAGTGGCTCTTCCCTAAGCGTGCGGAAGTATCTTTTCTGTAAGTCCCTGCAAACCTCCCTCACGCCTGCCTAATCCAAATTGGGCCCCTGGCTGGGGGAGGCCCTGCACTGATTGACTTAGCTTGGCTTCCTGAACGCATTGCTGGAACTAGGGGAGACGACTTCCTTTAGACCGATTGTGCCTACCCTAAAGCTTGGAAGCTTGGGGTGGGGTGAGGTTTCCCTGAAGCCCTTGGGTCTGTGGATGGACCCTGAATAAAGAATGGGCTACTTTTAAGGAGGTAAGCGGAGAGGAGGCAGGGAGGCAGCCTGTGGACACAAAGTTGTCACCTGAACTTGTAGTGCCTGAGTTTTGTTGCCTGGGAGTCCCCTCTGCAATGCTGTAGGATTTCCTTCCCACTCCTCCAGCCTCCCACGCAGCTTCTCCAGGTTTTCTGGGAGTCCTGGCCGTCCCACAGGTTGGTCTGCCCTGGCCTCTGTGCTGCAGTCTGCTCAGGCCCCGCTGCTGTTCTCCGTCCACTCTCCCGCTCCTCTGTCAAATACTCTTCTCTTCTGAGGACATGGGGGTGGTCTCAGAGACTAGGGGAGAATGTCCCTCTCCAGTTGGTGCCATGCCTTGCTGTTAGGGCCCCAAGACAGGGCTACTTGTGCCCTTGGCCTCCCAGAGTGCCTGCCTCACTCTTCCAGCCTCTTACTTCCTTCCATGCTCATCCCCTCGTGGGACTGGAGTCAGCCCCTCCCTGCCCCCTCCCCACTGAGAGCCTCCCATTGCACATGGCTCAGGTACGGCCACTCCCCCATGGCCAGTCTTGCCGAACCCAGCTCTGAGCGGGACCCACATGGAGCCACTAGTGGAATGGAGGATGTTAAAGGGAGAATTCCTCTGCTAGGCCTGTGAGGGTTGTCTGCCTGCTGATGGGCTTGTGCCCTCCAGCTGTGTCCATTCCTGCTCTCTCTTTCCTGTTCATTTCCTCCCAGGGCACAGGAAACCCACAGGAATACCAGGAATAGATGCCAGATTTCTCCTTCACCCTGGCTCGTTCTTCCTTCCCACTTTCTTGCCTTTTTTTCTTTCTTTTAAAGTTAACATTTAAAATGTGTAGTAGGCCGGGCGCAGTGGCTCATGCCTGTAATCCCAGCACTTTGGGAGGCCGAGGCGGGTGGATCATTTGAGGTCAGGAGTTCGAGACCAGCCTGGCCAACATAGTGAAACCCCGTGTCTACTAAAAATACAAAAATTAGCCAGGCATGGTGGCGCACACCTGTAGTCCCAGCTACTCAGGAGGCTGAGGCAGGAGAATCGCTTGAACCTAGGAGGCGGAGATTGCTGTGAGCTGAGATCACGCCACTGCACTCCAGCCTGGGCGACAGAGTGAAACTCTGTCTTAAAAAAATAAAAAATAGACCATCCTGGCTAACACGGTGAAACCCTGTCTCTACTAAAAATACAAAAAATTAGCCCGGCGTGGTGGCGGGTGCCTGTAGTCCCAGCTACTCGGGAGGCTGAGGCAGGAGAATGGCGTGAACCTGGGGGGCGGAGCTTGCAGTGAGCCAAGATCACACTACTGCACTCCAGCCTGGGCGACAGAGCGACACTACGTCTCAAAAAATAAAAAAAAAAAATAAATAAAAACTAAAATATGTAGTAATGCTCCCCAACTCCCACTGCTGATTTGAGAAGTAATGTGTTGTTAAAATTTGGAAAATACAAAAAGGTATAAAGAAAAAAAGAAAAGTCTCATGTAGTCCTGCAGCTTGAGAAAAGCACTTTTTACATTTTGATATTTTTCTTTCCCACCTTTCCAAGATGCATTGGTGAATACTTTTGGAAATGTGGTTGGGATATACACAGTTTTAGATCCTGTTGCTTTCACTGAACATTAGATTTGAAATTTTTCCATGCCATTAAATATTATTTTACAATATCATCCTTCAGTTACTGCGTGAATTTTCTGTTATATAGATTTACCAAGATTTAGTTTTTTATTGGTTTAAACAGTGCCGCGGTGAGCATCATGATTATTTTCACAAAATAAATTTTTTTGTTTTGTTTGAGTCAGGGGTCTCACTCTGTTGCCCAGGCTGGAGTGCAGTGGCATGATCATGACCCACTACAGCCTTAAACCCCTGGGCTCAAGTGATCCACCTGCCTCAGTTTCCCGAGTAGCTAGGACCATAGGCATGCGCCACCACCCCTAGTTAATTTTTTTGTAGTTTTTGTAGAGATGGGGGTCTTTCCATGTTGCCCAGGCAGATCTTGAACTTCTGGCCTCAAGTGATCCTCCCACCTCACCCTCCCAAAGTGCTGGGATTACAGGCATAAGCCACCACCCTGGTCCACAAAATAAATTTCTAGAAGTGAAATTGGTTTGCTGATTCATTGCCTAACCTGAGCACTGTCTCTGTTCTCAGGGTACAAGCTTTAAAGTCCCTTTCTCTGCTTAGAGTTCCAATCCCAAGTGAATTCTCCCATCACTCCGTGCCATGGCCCTTGCAGCATTGTGCCATAAGCCGCTCCCAGGCAGCAGGAGGTCGGGAATGCTTAGGGTCCTTGTCACTGCATGTCCAGTATTGCACGGATCACACTGTGCCCTGGTACCCTTGGTGACTCCTTTCATTGAGAGCCGTCTCAAGATCCTTTTGGGGGAATTGCATAGCCCAGAAGTTTTCTCTTAGGTGAATAAGCCCTTACAACTCTCATTGCAGTGGGAAGATGCCAGAAGTGGACTATGTAGTTCTGTCGGAATGGTTTGACTGGATCTTGAGGAACATGGACGTGTCTGTTGATTTGATAGGTGAGATGCACCCCTCCCACCTCCCTCTCTTGTCTCTCTCCTGGGTCCCTTGAGGATGTGCTTGGCTGGGCCCCAACCCTTGGGGGCAGTGGGTGAGGCACTTGCCCTTGGCAGTTCCTTCCCCATGGGAGTTCAGCTTTCTCCCTGAGGGCAGACAGAATTCGGGACTTCTGGTCTCTCATGGAGAAGAACCCTGGCCTTTGTTCTTTAAACTTCCCTCCCTGGCTCAGCTACTTTCAGACCCAAATCCACTGTGATCTGATGGGTTTTTCTAGTTTGCAAAGGAACAGGAAGGACAGAGCCTGAACATTCACTGAGACCTGCTGGGTGTGAGGCCTGTTTTGAGCTCTGTCTATGAACAGAATCCCATTCAGCCTCAAAACGACCCCACGGGGCCGCTGACACTGAAAGAGAATGAAAGTCGAGGCGGAGGGTCAGTGGTCAAGCCAAGAGCTGGCCCTCCCTGCTTCCTGCTCGAGCTGTGCAGACCTTCCTCCCGCCTTTGCCTGTGTGCCTGCTTTGCTTCCAAGCCATGAGCAGAGTCCTGAGAGCCACGTATTCTTTTAACCTCAGTTTACCTTCGGACCAATCCTGAGACTTGTTACCAGAGGTTAAAGAAGAGATGCAGGGAAGAGGAGAAGGTCATTCCGCTGGTAAGAGGCCTCTTTGACTTGGTTAAAGACAAACTGGGAAACCACCTCTGTCCAACCCGGCTTCCTCTCCCGGCCCCACCCCCATGAGATCATTGTGCCCTTGTTTGCAGAGAGAGAACAGGAACCAAGTGTATCAGAGGGTGAACTCTGACTTCCTGTTTGGCCAGAGACCCACGTGGATGTCCAGATCTGCTTGGCTTCCTGTGGTCGCTGACTCACAGTTTGGCAACCCTCCTGCTTGGAGGCGTTCCCCTCCCCTCCCCACCTGCCCCTCCCCATCTTGGCAGCACCAGGGCTTGTCTGTTCTGCCTCCTGAAGATTGCCTGGCCTTGTGCTCTCTGTGTCCTCCCTAGAATGCGAGTTCCAGGAGGGCAGGACCCAGCCCTCTTGTTCACTGCTGCATCCCTAGTGCTTAGCACAGTGCCCGGCACGGAGGCGGTGCTCATGCTTAGTGGTGTTTGCCCACTGGAGAGATGCCATGCCCTTCTGAGTTCTGCTCAGGCCACACTGACTCTCATGGGGACTCTGCCAGTATAGGCCCGGGCTGTGCATCTCGCCCTGGCCCTTCCCTCCTTGCATCTCCCTTCAAAATCTGGCCTCCAGGCTGCCGCCCGGCTGATATTTCCAATACTCATCACCACTCGTGCAATTTCCCAGCCCAGAACCTTTCAGTGCCTTGCTGCTGGCTAGAATGCAGTCCCCACTTTGTAATACGGCTTATGACCCGGCCCCAACTGCCTCTCTGGCGTTATCATCCTCCATTCCCTACTTTCTATGCTCTGGCTATAAGGAACTAGTTGTGGCCACACACAAACAACCACATACACAGTGGAGTTATGCAAATGTGCCTTTGCACAGTCGTTTCCTTTGTCTTTAAAGTGTTACTCAGATGTCACCTCCTCCAGGAAGCCACCCCTGACCTTCCTTCCATTGTAACCCCCCCCAAACCCACCCCCTGGCTTTCTGTGATCATGGGCCTTAGGACAGCATACTGACACTATTTGTTTATACCTTTGTTCCCCATCCCTCACTAATGTGAGCTTTTTAAGATTGGGTCTTATTCCCTCCGTGTCCTCTGCATGTGCCTTGGGGCCTGGTGCCTAGTAGTTGCTCAGTTAGTATTGAACTGAATGTCCCATGTGAGAAGCTGCCACTGGAGGGAGACAGAGGCTGGGCAAGCATTCAGTGGGGTGTCAGGGGCTCTGAGCTCAGGATAGGCTGGACTGGGGGCCCTGGGAAGCCTATCCAACTCCTGAAATCCTGCTCAGCCTTGTTTTTCCTTGGTGCCAGCACGATGCATTCCTGCCACGAGGGCCCAGGCGTCACTCTGGGCAGCTCCTTTGAAATCTTGGAGACAAGAATGCTAGGAAGATGGAATGTGGTGGAATGGGGCCAGGCTGGACCATGCTGTGATGCGCACAGCAGCTCTGTGCAGTGACCCAGATGCTCCCCAAGCCTGGGGGCCGTCCAAGCCGTGATCCAAGCCATTGTCTTAAGGGTTTGACCAGGTCCATGGGACACATCTGGCTCCTATTGCCAAGGGAGAGCTGGGCAGGAGATGTAAAGGCTGCTGCAGAGTTGACACGCGAGCCTCTGGGATGGCGAGTGGAATCTGTGTGAGGAGCCATCCCACTCTGTGCCTGGGAGAGCACGAGTATCTGCTCTGCCTGGCATGCAGGCCCCATGGCTCAGGAGGGCCTGTGCCCCTTTTCCCTTGGGCTCCGCTGCATCAGGCTTTCTGCAGTTGGTGGTCTTTATAGTCTGGAGGGTCTATAGGTTACGAGTTGTTGAGGGGGTAGAAGGGCAATGGGTGAGGGTCACAGTCCTCTTGGTGGCAAGACAGAGCGGAGGGTTTAGAGGCTGCCCAGGGCTGGGCCCCTGCCTGAAGGAACTGAGGCCCTGCTGCTGCAAAAGTGGCAGTAAATGGGAGAAGCCAGGTGTGGGTCCTGCCTTTTTTTTTTTTTTTAGTATTTATTGATCATTCTTGGGTGTTTCTCGGAGAGGGGGATTTGGCAGGGTCATAGGACAATAGTGGAGGGAAGGTCAGCAGATAAACATGTGAACAAAGGTCTCTGGTTTTCCTAGGCAGAGGGCCCTGCCGCCTTCCGCAGTGTTTGTGTCCCTGGGTACTTGAGATTAGGGAATGGTGATGACTCTTAATGAGTATGCTACCTTCAAGCATCTGTTTAACAAAGCACATCTTGCATCGCCCTTAATCCATTTAACCCTTAGTGGACACAGCACACGTTTCAGAGAGCACGGGGTTGGGGGTAAGGTTATAGACTAACAGCATCCCAAGGCAGAAGAATTTTTCTTAGTACAGAACAAAATGGAGTCTCCTATGTCTACTTCTTTCTACACAGACACAGTAACAATCTGATCTTTCTTTTCCCCACATTTCCCCCTTTTCTATTAGACAAAACCGCCATCGTCATCATGGCCCGTTCTCAATGAGCTATTGGGTACACCTCCCAGACGGGGTGGTGGCCGGGCAGAGGGGCTCCTCACTTCCCAGACTGAGCGGCCGGGCAGAGGGGTCCTCACATCCTAGACGATGGGCGGCCAGGCAGAGACACTCCTCACTTCCTAGACGGGGTGGCAGCCGGGCAGAGGCTGCAATCTCGGCACTTTGGGAGGCCAAGGCAGGCGGCTGGGAGGTGGAGGTTGTAGCGAGCCGAGATCACGCCACTGCACTCCAGCCTGGGCAACATTGAGCACTGAGTGAACCAGACTCCGTCTGCAATCCCGGCACCTCGGGAGGCCGAGGCTGGCGGATCACTCGCGGTTAGGAGCTGGAGACCAGCCCGGCCAACACAGCGAAACCCCGTCTCCACCAAAAAATACGAAAACCAGTCAGGCATGGCGGTGCGCGCCTGCAATCCCAGGCACTTGGCAGGCTGAGGCAGGAGAATCAGGCAGGGAGGTTGCAGTGAGTCGAGTTGGCGGCAGTACAGTCCAGCCTCGGCTGGGCATCAGAGGGAAACCGTGCAAAGGGGAGAGGGAGAGGGGGAGGGGGAGGGGGTCCTGCCTTTTGCCTTGGCTTTGATTCAGGCGCCAGGGGAAGGGCCAGTGTTTGTGCCCACGAACCCCCAGTGGAGCAGAGCAGGGTGGCTGGTGACACTTGTGCTGTTTTGCTCAGCCTGGCCACCGAGTGTGTGGCTGCGTCTGCCGCTGTCCACTTGAGCCAGGTTTGCTCTTGCAGGGTTCCTTTGTCTGAGTCACTGCCCATGGTCATTGACTACTTTGACCCCCTCTGCTTGACACCCTTGGTAGGTGGGGTCTGCTCTGTCCACTCCCGACAGACTGCTTGTGTTTCCCTGGCAGGAATACCTGGAAGCAATTCACCATCTCCATGAGGAGTGGCTCATCAAAGGCAGCCTTTTCCCCATGGCAGCCCCTGTTCTGGTAAGTAAGACTCCCTTACAGGGTACGAGACTGTTCTAGAAAGAGGAGTGACCCGGGGAATGTCAGCCACCTTGCAGACAGGGGAGGGCACAGTCCTTTAGAGTTTGACAACTTAGAAGAAGGAAGGTGGGAAGGCTGGTGCTCTCTCTCCCAGTGCCTGTTTCTGGGCTGAGTCTCAGAGTGAGTTGGCCAGACCCGAGGGAAGGCAGTCTGTGCCAGTGCCATCACACCTGGCAGTTGTCACTGATCCAGCATCTTCAGCGAAGACTCTAGACCCGGGTCTCAGTTTTCACCATTTGGGATAGTAGTTCCTCTGATGTGACCTTCCTCCTTCCGTGGATGACACAGAGCCTCATTTCACCTTTGTTTGGTGACTCAGGTCATCAGAAGGAATGTCATTGTCTGGTCTGGGCTGTCACACAGTGATGCCCTTAGGAATGCTGAGGTGTGTGGAACTGTCTGCCCTGCCCACTAATGTCTCTGCGTTCCTGTGTTTACTTTTTACAGTAATCCTCCTTTCTCTTGCTGCCATGTGTCATTTCTGACTGATATTGATGTGTCTGTCCCGTCAGCATTTCCTTACTTCCCCATCTCCTTGTTTTCCAGTTTGCTGTTTCCAGATTTCTTTACTCAGACAAATAAGCAGTGGCCCAGATGCTCCCAAGAAATGCGGAGTCTGGGGTCCCTCCGAGTCTTGATTGGAGGGAACCTAAGATGGTTACATATACAACATGGGATTGGCTGTGAGGCAGGGTTGTGCGCAAGCTTTGGTGCATGGCTATAGGAGCATTGTTTGATGGGATGTGAGGCAGGGCTGTGCATGAGCTTTTGTGCGTGGCCATAGGAATATCTGTTTGGGCTCAAACACTTCTGCTTATGGCTCTTGCAGGCAGTGAGGTTGCCGGAAAGTGAGATATTACTGTAGTAATTTTTTGTTTGTTTGTTTTTGAGACAGAGCCTCACTCTGTTGCCCAGACTGGAATGCAGTGACGCAATCTCGGCTCGCTGCAACCTCTGCCTCCTGGGTTCAAATGATTCTCTTGCCTCAGCCTCCTGAATAGCTGGGACTACAGGCGCATGCCACCATGCCTGGATAATTTTTTATATTTTTCGTAGAGATGGGATTTTGCCACGTTGGCCAAGCTGGTCTCAAACTCCTGGCCTCAAGTGATCTGCCTGCCTCGGCCTCCCAAAATTCTGGGATCACAGGCGTGAGCCACTGCACCCGGCCTACTGTAGTAGATTTTTAAATAAGTACAGCTTATTTTTCTCCCTCATTATGGAAAAAAAGGAGGGTAGAAAGTGATGAGGGAAAAAAACAAATCATTCATGAGCTTACAGGGTCTCACTGTGTTGCCCAGGCTGGTCTCAAACTCCTGGGCTCGTGTAATCTTCAGGTCTCAGCCTCCCAAAGTGCTTGGATAATAGACATGAGCCACCATACCTAGCTCTTGTAGTACATTCTTAAGTGAAAACCTCATTGGAAATGTAGATTGCCCTAGAGCTGAAAGCGATTTGGCTCTAACCTTCCTTTTTATCTGCCTGCAACCTTCTGTGCCCTTCCCTGCCCCCTGCTGCCTGCTTCCATCTGTCTGTCTCCAGCTGTGAAAGGAGGATGCTGCTGAGGTCAGTGCAGCCTTGTGACCCATGTGTCTAATTTCCAGGTGATTGAGGCTGACCACCACATGGAGAGGATGTTAGAACTCTTTGAACAAAATCGGGATCGAATATTAACTCCAGAGAATCGGAAGCATTGCCCATAGGAGGCAAAAGGTCTATGGCTCATGTCTGAAAAATGCCTGCTGCTGCCAAGTTAGCTATTGGGAGCAATCTGGAAAAACTTGCTCCCAGGAGGGCTTTGTGTCTGGCCAGCTTGATTTTCCTAATGGTCTCATCTCCTTTGCTAGTGTCTTTGTCATGCGTCTCTGGCCCTCGTGGGTAAATGACAAACGGGACCAATGGGTTTGCCAAGCCCTTTGCTGTTCGCAGCCTCACATTCCCCCGGTGCCTCTCCCATGGCTTTGTGCTGCTGAGTCGCTCTCATGAAGCCCTTAGGGAGAGCACCTGTTGTGTGCCTGACACCACGCTGGAGCTGTGTACCAATCGTCTCAGCCTTCATTAGGAGGCCGAGGTAGGAGTCTTATATCCCAGGTGAGGAATTTGAAGCTCAGAAAGGTTGAGGGGCTCCCCAGAGGTCACACAGCCTGTGTGCAGTGGAGCTGGCACCATTCAGACTTTCAGCCGACTCAGCAACTTTCCCTTGCCCTGGGCTGCCTCCTCCTGAGAGCTGTTCCCCACCGCCCTGCCTCTTCCGGTTGGAGGCTCTCATGTCTCTTTGGGGAGAGCTGGCAGTGTGCGGAGCTGATAACATTTTCCCAATATTGAGCAGTTCCCAAGGACAGTCAGCATTTCTAGACTTCCACAAAATTATGCTGCATTTGGCTGGAGCCCGGTGTTCAGTGGTTTCCCTGCCCGAGGTCGCTGCAGCCCCATCTACCACATCTTCATGTGGACATTGAGATTCACATGCTGGCTCCTGAAGGGTGCTCAGTCTCCTTGGTGATTAAGGTCCTGCTTGAACTGCTGCCAACTCCATGTCAGGGAAGTCGCTTTTGGTGCCTGGCTGGTTTGCCCAGAGCCAAGCTGGGGCAAGGGGCAGCCAGCCCTGGCTTCCAAGGCTCCCGTACTGTCTGTGTCCTTGTATAAGGAGCTTTGCTCTTGGAATTACTGAAAGTCTGTGGCCCAAGAGAGAGACACAAGTGGCCTTAAGTCTTTTTGAAGTGTTATTTCATCCAGGGAAATGCCTCGAGCCATAGAGCCTGAAATCATCTTTGTTGGCTCAGAAAATACCTTAGCTTCACTCAGCTGGACTGCATTGAAGGCGAGGCTGCCCCTTGGATCAAGCAGAAAACAAGAGAAAGAAAGAACGTTCCCTTTGGGGATAGTCTGGAAAGTTGGGATTTGCAAATAAAGGCTCTGGAAGCATTGCTGGTCCTGAAGCTTTGGAGGTGGGCAGAGAGAGCTTCAAGAAGACTAGATGCAAACCCTGGAAAGGATTAAGGCTCAACTCTGGAGAAACAGGCCACAGCCTCTCAGAGCAGCTGTTGGCTGTAAATAGAGGTAGCAAGGCCGCTCCCAGGCCCCTGTGAGTGTGGGCACCTGTGCATGCAATGCTCCGACTCTGCAGAGGTGCCAAGTGCCCCTGCTGGGCCAGTCCCAGAGAGTTAGGAAGTCAAGGCCTGCAACTCCTGGTTCTTCCTGTTTGGACCAGTTCTTGTGCCATTGGCAGGATGAGAGGCAGCAGCCAGGCGGGAGCTGTGTCTAGCAGCACCTGTAGCCCACGTGCTGCTAATTAGCTGGAAAACTGGCGAAGGCAGAACCTTTGCTACCAGGAATCTTGACATGTGGGGTCTGTCTTTGAGAATTTGTAAATGAACAGTCCAATATTTCCTCTCGGCTCATTTTGCACATCCATTTTTGGGGAAATGTGATTTCTCTCTCTTTTTTTTTTTTTTTTTTTGCCTAAGGCACAATCTCAAGAGGTCCTGAGACCACGTACCCATGATTTTTTTCTTGCTCTGTGATACCCAATAACTCCTTCACCTAAGCCCTGTTGTTGATTTTGAAGTGCTTCCTAGGCCAGTGATTTTAGCTTCTGCCAGCTGCTTTTGCCAGTAGATTAACGTGTTTTTATTTTTCAAACTCCGTGTTTCCTAACGTGGAGTGTATGGGTCTAAGAGAGCCTGCTGTCCTCCCTGCCTTCCACCTTGGAGAGGAGGCTGGACGCATCAGCAGTGGCCAGGGCAGGTCGCAAAATCTCCCAGCCTAGAGACCACACCTGAAACGGCTGAAGCCAGCTTGCACAAGGGCTGCTGTCCCTCTGCGGCAGGCAGAGCTGGTGGGGGCAGGGGTCACAGAGCAGTCATAGACACCATGGACCAGGGCAGGAGAAGGGCAGATGGCACATGGGCACAACAGGGCCTTGTCCTTAGAGCACTGGGGGGTCATGGCTGGGAGGGGCATGGCAGGGGCTGGCATCCCTGTAGAGCCAG
Source organism: Homo sapiens (assembly GCF_000001405.40). Classification (NCBI taxonomy): domain Eukaryota; kingdom Metazoa; phylum Chordata; class Mammalia; order Primates; family Hominidae; genus Homo; species Homo sapiens. The sequence continues at coordinate 66,509,678 of NC_000016.10, read as the reverse complement.
AGGGGCCACCCAGGGCAGTGACATTCCAGATATGTTGGGCTCACCTCATCCTTGCTGTGAGACTGGAGTTCCATGGGGACATGAAGTCAGTACACCGCAGAGCTGCTCAGCTGCTCTACCTCTCGCTGACTTTTTTGTTGCACATATACATTTTCTTTCAATTAGCATTTATTTCAGCTTTTATTTAAGCTTTTTGACAGTACATGTAAAATATATGATTATAACCATTTAAAAATACCTTATGTACCTGGTTTTTTTTGGAAACTAGATAGAAATATATTTATCTTTTACATAAAAGAAGTGTGTAGTGGGGTGGTCCAGGGCTTTGTGGTGGCTTAGTGGCCATCGGGGTCCCAGGCTCTTCCCACCTTTCTCTTTTGGGTCCACCTCTTGGCTCCTGGCTTCCTTCCTCTGGGGCCTGACTGTCCAGGATGGCAGCTGGAGCTCCTGCTCTGGGCACGGTTGGCATCAGAGCCCACTGCTCCCCATCCACTCTTTAATCCAGATGCTGGTAATGTCCCTTTCCAAGGCATAACTAAGATAAGCTGGAAGGTTCTTACGAGGCTTTGCTAGAGGCCCTGGGAGGTGGGGGGAAAGGCAAGAGGGCAGTGCCCACCCATAGACCGGGTCACATGACCTGGCATCAGCGCCGTGGGGTCCTTTGGGCTTCACCTCCCTCTCCCCTCTGCCCCCACGTCATCCCACCCTCATCCTCACCCTCACCATTCCCATCCCGTACCGTAATGTCCCTTGCAAGGCCTAACTCTGTGAGGAATGAAACCACCTCATCCTTGTTCCAATAACATGAGTGACCGAATTTACAAACGAGTGAATGTGGACCTCTGGAAACATTACCCAGCTTGTTTTTACTTTTCACTTTCTCTTTCTGCCCCTTTCATTTCCGTAGGAGCCCTTTACCTAGATGAGAAGTGTCCCCCCGCCTGGGGAATATATCAGTCAGAACAATCTTCCTGCAGACATGCACCATTAGACCCGAGTGACGGTGGTGCCATTTAAACCTCAGAGCAGGTAAAAGGTGGTCCTGAAACCTGTCTACCCACAGGGTGCTATGGAATCTGAATCACTTCTTTTTTCCTAGAGCCCTGGGGTGGGGAGCTCCCTCAAGTGTTCACATGTGTGTGGAATGAGGAACACCCATCTCCTTGGCCCTCTCCACCCTGAAGAGTTAGTTATTAAAATAATTGGCAAGCTCTTGCAAATGTCAGTCATCCATTGTTCAGAATGGAATAGCAATAATACATCCCTGGCTGCCCTGGGCTTGGCCAGGATTACTCACTGAAGGCCTCAGGGTTACTGGCACACACTTTCTTTTCCTAATAATCCCATCCCCTCAGCTTTCCTAAGGCTAGAGTGAATTTCGTGTTCCTTTAGTTTACATAAGATGGTGAACTTGGCAAAAGCTATCATTAAACAGAAGCTAAGAGAAAGCCTATGTCGTGGAATCCAGAATGGGTATTGCCATTCACTGCTGTCCACAGAAGCTGTCTTGAATTTCTTTCTGTGTCTTTTCTTTTTTTTTCTTTAAGACTGTTGTTTACCAGACTGGGCTCTGTGGAACACAGGTGTCCTGGGAGATGGTTAATCATTACAAAATATTGGTAACAATCTAAAGATGCATACATAAGAGAGTGGTCAAATAAACCATTTTCCATTCACATGGTGGAGTACTGTGCAGCTATACAGAAGAATGAGGAAGATCTCTCTGAATGGTTATGAAGTAATGTCTAGGACATAAAGTTATGTGAAAAATGCAATGCCCAAACGAGTGTCTATAGTATGCTACCCTTTATATTAGAAAGAAGAGAGGCCAGGCGTGGTAGCTCACGCCTGTAATCCCAGCACTTTGGGAGGTGGGTGGATCACCTGAGGTCAGGAGTTCAAGACCAGCCTGCAACATGGGGGAACCCCATCTCTACCAAAAATACAAAAAAGTTAGCCAGGCGTGGTGGTGGGCACCTGTAATCCCAACTATTTGAGAGGCTGAGGCAAGAGAATCACTTGAACCCAGGAGTTGGAGGCTGCAGTGAGCCGAGACTGCGCCATTGCACTCCAGTCTGGGCAGCAAGAATGAAACTCCATCTCGAAAAATAAAAAGAAAACCGATAGAAGAAAATACACAGATGCAAAGGAAATATAGGAAGGACGCCCAGAGACAAAATAGGTTGGTGGGTAAAGGCTAGAAAGAAGGGAAGGATGAGACTGGGCTACAGGGATGAGAAGGGAATGACACTTCTTTGAAATATCTTTTTATTTTATTTATTTATTTTTTTGAGACAGGGTCTCGCCCTGTCACCCAGGCTGGAGTGCAGTGGTGTGATCTTGGCTCACTGCAAGCTCCACCTCCCAGGCTCAAGTGATTCTCGTGCCTCAGCCTCCTGAGTAGCTGGGATTACAGGTGTGTGCCACTACGCCTGGCTAATAGTAGAGACAGGGTTTCCCCAGTTTGGCCTGGCTGCTCTCAAGTGATATGCCCACCTTGGTCTCCCAAAGTACTGGGATTAGTGAACCGCTGCACCCAGCCTGAAATGTCTTTTTCTATAACTGACTGTTACATACTGTGATGTAGCAATGTTTCACATACCCTTCACATACTGCCAAAATAAATAAGAGCAACCAGGATGTAGGGAAAACAGAAAACAAAATTACAGATGAACTCCACCATACCGCAGGTGAGTAACATAACCATACTGAAGGGGGCAGGAAAGAACAGAACTAACAAATAACTGTGGAAAACAGTATCTTTACTGGATATGGTAAGAGTAAAGGCAAAAATTTCTGTACATAAAAGTTGTAGTATAGTTATTAAAAATGTTTCTCGACCATGCGTGGTGGCTCACACCTGTAATCCCAGCACTTTGGGAGGCCAGGATGGGCGGATCACCTGAGGTCAGGAGTTAGAGACCAGCCTGGCCAACATGGTGAAACCCTGTCTCTACTAAAAATACAAAAATTAGCCGGGCGTGGTGGTGCACGCCTGTAATCCCAGCTATGTCGGAAGGCTGAGAATTGCTTGAACCCAGGAGGCAGAGGTTGCAATGGGCAAAAAAAAATGTTTCTCACAGGAGTATAGGTTAGTGATTCTGAAACTATGTATACTAAAGTTGAACAAACAAGTAAATAGATTGTAGACTATGAGGGCTGGATTTCTTACTGTTAGTGAAAGAGGTTACAAATGATAGGGGTCTAGAATAAACCCCGTGGTGCTGGGTTAGAATAGGAGGTGTCAGTCTAAACTCATGATTTTAAAATTTTAGGCTCTGGTGGCTCACTCTTGTAATCCCAGCACTTTGGGAGGCCAAGGCAGGTGAATAGCTTGAGCCCAGGAGTTAGAGATCAGCCTGGGCAATGTGGCAAAACCCCATCTCTACAAAAAATACAAAAATTAGCCAGGTGTGATGGTGTGCGCCTGTAGTCCCAGCTACTTGGGACGCTGAGATGTGAGAATAGATCGAGTCCAGGGGTTCAAGGCTGAAGAGAGCTGTGATTGTACCACTGCACTCCAGCCTGGGTAACAAAGGAAGACCCTGTCTCTAAATAAATAATAAATAAAATTATATATAGATGGATACAGAAATATAGATGTGTGTGTGTGTGTGTGTGTGTGTTTATGTGTGCTTAGTATACATACTTATGTTTCCTAGCTCTGTCCTGAGTGTGTCTAGAGGCAATGGCACCCAGTAACAGTGAGCACACCCGGTACCCAGTTCTTGGTCTCCAAACATCATTCTCCTGCAAAAGGAACCAGGTCTCCTAGGAGATGTGGTTGATTCCAGGGATGCCACAGGGGAATGACAGGATGACCCTGGAATATCTTGTGGTGCTAGAAAGAAAGTGCAGGGATGTGGGGGGATGATGGAGCCATGTCAAGGGAATTGAGGAGCTTGCCTGAAGTTCCTAACGGCCAAAGCTGGAACAGTTTGAGGAACAAAATAAATTATGTTAGTATTGGATTCTAACACATAGACTAAAATAAATATCCACGAATCCATGCTGATATAAACAGTTGAAGAAATAAGTAAACAGGGAAGAAAGGGAGTGCTTCCTTATGGTAGATTTCCAGTTAATACACACAAAAGGCAAGAGGGAAACAGAGACTTGCCATTACATAAACACCACAGTTAAAAAATCACAGGCCAGGTGCGGTGGCTCACGCCTGTAATCCCAGCACTTTGGGAGGCCGAGGCAGGCGGATCACAAGGTCAGGAGATCGAAACCATCCTGGCTAACACGGTGAAACCCTGTCTCTACTAAAAATACAAAAAATTAGCTGGGCATGGTGGCGGGCGCCTGTAGTCCCAGCTACTCTGGAGGCTGAGGCAGGAAAATGGCGTGAACACAGGAGGCGGAGCTTGCAGTCAGCCGAGATCGTGCCACTGCACTCCAGCCTAGGTGACAGAGGGAGACTCCGTCTAGGGAAAAAAAAAAAAAAAAAAAAAAAAAAAAAATATATATATATATATATATAAAATCACAGACAAGATTTACCTGTTGATACTAAAATTAGTGGACAGAAGTTTGAGGAAAAACAAGATTTGCATAGTTTCTATTTCCCCTAATATACTTATCAAGTAAAAAGGGAAAGAAATTAACTAATTTGACAGTGGAGATGGAAACCCCATAGAAACCAGCTTAATAAGTGATTAAGGTAATAAGACGTAGTGACATCATGAAGCCTTTACAAAGATGCACTGAGGACAGCATCTTTTTTTTTTTTTTTTTTTTTTTTGAGACAGGGTCTCACTCTGTCACCCAGGCTGGAATGCAGTGGCGCAATCACAGCTCACTGCAGCCTCGACCTCCTGGGCTCAGGTGATCCTCCTCAGCTTCCCGGGGAGCTGGGACTACAGGTGTGTGCCACCAGGCTGGCTAATTTTTTTTTTTTTTTTTTTTTTTTTTTTTGAGACGGAGTCTCGCTCTGTCACCCAGGCTGGAGTGCAGTGGCGGGATCTCGGCTCACTGCAAGCTCCGCCTCCCGGGTTCACGCCATTCTCCTGCCTCAGCCTCCCAAGTAGCTGGGACTACAGGCGCCCGCCACTACGCCCGGCTAATTTTTTTGTATTTTTAGTAGAGACGGGGTTTCACCGTTTTAGCCGGGATGGTCTCGATCTCCTGACCTCGTGATCCGCCCGCCTCGGCCTCCCAAAGTGCTGGGATTACAGGCGTGAGCCACCGCGCCCGGCCATTTTTTGTATTTTTTGTAGAATAGGGCTTTTGTCATGTTGCCCAGGCTGGACTTGAACTCCTGAGCTCAAGTGATCTGCCTGCCTTGGCCTCTGAAAGTGCTGGGATTACAGTGTGAGCCATCATGCCTGGCAGCATCATTTGTTTTTTTGGTGTGGTATCCTTGCCAGAAATGCATACTTGACTCCAGTATTAAGAAAGCACCAGACAAACCCAAATGGAGGGACATTCAACAAAATAACTGATTGGAAAAAACTCTTTAAAAGCATCAAGATCGTGTTAGACAAGGAAAAAACAAGAACTATTACAGACTGGAGGAGACAAAGGAAAATATACAAATGCAATGTGGGATCCTGGATGGGCTCCTGGAATAGAGAAAGGATTTTAATAGAACACTAGGAAACTTAAATAATATGTGTAGTATCGTTAATAACATTGTATCAATATTAATTTCCTGTTCTTGATCATTATATTATGGTTACATAAGATGTCAACTTCAGTGCAATGTGGGATCCTGTATATGCTCCTGGAATAGAGAAAGGATATTAATGGAACACTGGGGAAACTTAAATAAGGTTTGTAGTATAGTTAAGAACATTGTATCAATATTAATTTCCTGTTCTTGATCATTATACTATGGTTACGTAAGATGTCAACTTTAGGAGAAGCAGGGCCAGGAGTGGAAAGGAGTTCTTTGTACTATTTTGCAACTTTTCTCTCCATCTAAAATTAGTTAGAATAACGCCCTTCATGGGAAATAAAGGCAGAGCACAACACTGTAAATATTACAATCCCAAATGTTTAATATATGCGTATATAGAAAAAAGACTGGGAGGAATTGCAGGAATGTGGTGACATTGGGTATCGCTGAATGGTGGAAATTATGGTAAGGTTTGCTTTCGTTTTCATATTCATCTGTACTTTCTAAGTTTTCTACTCATTTGATGGTTTAATATGGTGGATCCTTGGAAATAACGGTGAATGAGACAAGATGAAGTTTATCTCTCATGGAGCTTATCTTCTAATGGGGGGAAATGGAAAATGAATACATGAATTAAAATCTTTGTGCAGAAAATTAAGCTGATGTGATAGATGGTCAGAGGGGGCCTCTCTGAGAAGGTGACATTTAAGGGGAGATGTGAATAACAAGGAAGAGAACATGGCAGGGTAGGGTAGGGAGACAGAGCAGAGGGAACAGTCTGTGCAGAGGCTGGGAATAGGGCCAGGCTCAGCATGTTCCAGAACCTTGCAGAAGCCAGGGTGGCTCTGGCTACAGCGGACAATGGGGAAGGGACCTGAGATGAGTTCAGAGGGAAAGTGAGGGGCTGAGCCTGGGACTTGATATGGCCTCGGGCACCCCTGGAGGGAACTGAACACATGAGAATCATGATCAAATGTAGGTGGTTTTTTTTTGTTTTGTTTTGTTTTTTTTAACATTTTCTATTTTATTTTATTTTTTAAATATATAGAGACGGGGTCTTTCTGTGTTGCCCAGGCTGGTCCCAAACTCCTGGACTCAAGCAGTCCTCCCACCTCAGCTTTCCAAAGTGCTGGAATTACAGGCATGAGCCACCACGCACAGCCCTAATGTAGGTTTAACGGAATCCTCCAGCATTCGGGTGGAGCACAGGCTGCAGAAGGCTGGCAGCCTCCAGGGACGTGAGTGAGAGAGGATGGTGAATTTGGTTACTGTGGAAGGAGGGGGGAAGGGGTTGGATTCAGACTCTGTTGTGAAAGAGAGGAGCTAGGAATTGGATGAAGGATGTGATAGAGAGAGAGAGCGGGGGGAGGAGGAAAGAGAGAGGAGAGAGAGATATATGTTGGTCAAGGGTGATGTCTGCATTGGATTGGAGTGAGTGAGTGGATGGTGGACTCATTTACCCAGATGGGGAATGCGGGAGCGGCAGGCTTAGTGGAGAGAGCAAAAGTTCTGTTTTGGTTTGGAATAAGCATGCTTATTATGTTAATGGTCAGAAAAGAATGAATAAAAAAAAAATAATTAGCTCGCCTTTCCTGCCCCTGGAATCCTTGGCCTAAGTTGCTCTCCCAGGTTCCTTTGCTGCAGGTCAGGTGCCCTGGGGGATATGCCTTGGAGTGGCTGTCATGGTTCCAAGCTGACGCAACCTCTTGCCTCATCCTCCTGAGATTGCTGACCTGCTCTGCCTCCAGATCAGCCTGTTCTTTTTTTTTTCCATTTATTTATTTTAAGAGACAGGGTCTCACTCTGTCACCCAGGCTGGAGTGCAGTGGTGTAATCACGGCTCACTGCAGCCTTGAGCTCCTGGGCTCAATCAGTCCTCCCATCTCAGCCTCCTGAGTAGCTGGGACTACATGGCTGGCTAATTTTAATTTTTTTTTTAAATTATACTTTAAGTTTTAGGGTACATGTGCACAACGTGCAGGTTAGTTACATATGTATACATATGCCATCTTGGTGTCCTGCACCCATTAACTCGTCATTTAACATTAGGTATATCTCCCAATGCTATCCTTCCCCCGTCCCCCCACCCCACAACAGGCCCCAGTGTGTGATGTTCCCGTTCCTGTGTCCATGTGTTCTCATTGTTCAGTTCCCACCTATGAGTGAGAACATGTGGTGTTTGGTTTTTTGTCCTTGCGATAGTTTGCTGAGAATGATGGTTTCCGGCTTCATCCATGTCCCTACAAAGGACATGAACTCGTCATTTTTTATGGCTGCATAGTGTTCCATGGTGTGTATGTGCCACATTTTCTTAATCCAGTCTATCATTGTTGGACATTTGGCTTGGTTCCAAGTCTTTGCTATTGTGAATAATGCTGCAATAAACATACATGTGCATGTGTCTTTATAGCAGCATGATTTATAATCCTTTGGGTATATATCCAGTAATGGGATTGCTGGGTCAAATGGTATTTCTAGTTCTAGATCCCTGAGGAATCGCCACACTGACTACCACAGCGGTTGAACTTGTTTACAGTCCCACCAACAGTGTAAAAGTGTTCCTATTTCTCCACATCCTCTCCAGCACCTGTTGTTTCCTGACTTTTTAATGATCACCATTCTAACTGGTGTGAGATGGTATCTCATTGTGGTTTTGATTTGCATCTCTCTGATGGCCAGTGATGATGAGCATTTTTTTCATGTGTCTTTTGGCTGCATAAATGTCTTCTTTCGAGAAGTGTCTATTATATCCTTTGCCCACTTTTTGATGGGGTTGTTTGTTTTTTTTCTTGTAAATTTGTTTGAGTTCATTGTAGATTCTGGATATTAGCCCTTTGTCAGATAAGTAGATTGCAAAAATTTTCTCCCATTCTGTAGGTTGTCTGTTCACTCTGATGGTAGTTTCTTTTGCTGTGCAGAAGCTCTTTAGTTTAATGAGATCCCGTTTGTCAATTTTGGCTTTGGTTGCCATTGCTTTTGGTGTTTTAGACATGAAGTCCTTGCCCATGCCTATGTCCTGAATGGTATTGCCTAGGTTTTCTTCTAGTGTTTTTATGGTTTTAGGTCTAACATTTAAGTCTTTAATCCATCTTGAATTAATTTTTGTATAAGGTGTAAGGAAGGGATCCAGTTTCAGCTTTCTACATATGGCTAGCCAGTTTTCCCAGCACCATTTATTAAATAGGGAATCCTTTCCCCATTTCCTGTTTTTATCAGGTTTGTCAAAGATCAGATGGTTATAGATATGCGGCAATATTTCTGAGGGCTCTGCTCTGTTCCGTTGGTCTATATCTCTGTTTTGGTACCAGTACCATGCTGTTTTGGTTACTGTAGCCTTGTAGTATAGTTTGAAGTCAGGTAGCGTGATGCCTCCAGCTTTGTTCTTTTGGCTTAGGATTGACTTGGCAATGTGGGCTCTTTTTTGGTTCCATATGAACTTTAAAGTAGTTTTTTCCAATTCTGTGAAGAAAGTCATTGGTAGCTTGATGGGGATGGCATTGAATCTATAAATTACCTTGGGCAGTATGGCCATTTTCATGATATTGATTCTTCCTACCCATGAGCATGGAATGTTCTTCCATTTGTTTTATCCTCTTTTATTTCATTGAGCAGTGGTTTGTAGTTCTCCTTGAAGAAGTCCTTCACGTCCCTTGTAAGTTGGATTCCTAGGTATTTTATTCTCTTTGAAGCAATTGTGAATGGGAGTTCACTCATGATTTGGCTCTCTGTCTATTATTGGTGTATAAGAATGCTTGTGATTTTTGCACATTGATTTTGTATCCTGAGACTTTGCATCCTGAGACTTTGCTGAAGTTGCCTATCAGCCTAAGGAGATTTTGGGCTGAGACAATGGGGTTTTCTACAAATACAATCATGTCATCTGCAAACAGGAACAATTTGACTTCCTCTTTTCCTAATTGAATACCCTTTATTTCCTTCTCCTGCCTGATTGCCCTGGCCAGAGCTTCCAACACTATGTTGAATAGGAGTGGTGAGAGAGGGCATCCCTGTCTTGTGCCAGTTTTCAAAGGGAATGCTTCCAGTTTTTGCCCATTCAGTATGATATTGGCTGTGGGTTTGTCATAGATAGCTCTTATTATTTTGAGATATGTCCCATCAATACCTAATTTATTGAGAGTTTTTAGCATGAAGAGTTGTTGAATTTTGTCAAAGGCCTTTTCTGCATCTATTGAGATAATCATATGGTTTTTGTCTTTGGTTCTGTTTATATGCTGGATTACGTTTATTGATTTGTGTATGTTGAACCAACCTTGCATCCCAGGGATGAAGCCCACTTGATCGTGGCGGATAAGCTTTTTGATGTGCTGCTGGATTCAGTTTGCCAGTATTTTATTGAGGATTTTTGCATCGATGTTCATCAGGGATATTGGCCTAAAATTCTCTTTTTTTGTTGTGTCTCTGCCAGGCTTTGGTATCAGGATGATGCTGGCCTCACAAAATGAGTTAGGGAGGATTCCCTCTTTTTCTATTGATTGGAATAGTTTCAGAAGGAATGGTACCAGCTCCTCCTTGTACCTCTGGTAGAATTCGGCTGTGAATCCATCTGGTCCTTGACTTTTTTTGGTTGGTAAACTATTAATTATTGCCTCAATTTCAGAGCCTATTATTGGTCTATTCAGGGATTCAACTTCTTCCTGGTTTAGTCTTGGGATGGTGTATGTGTCGAGGAATTTATCCATTTCTTCTAGATTTTCTAGTTTATTTGCGTAGAGGTGTTTATAGTATTCTCTGATGGTAGTTTGTATTTCTGTGGGATCGGTGGTGATAATCCCCTTTATCATTTTTTGTTGCATCTATTTGATTCTTCTCTCTTTTCTTCTTTATTAATCTTGCTAGCAGTCTATGAATTTTGTTGTTCTTTTCAAAAATCTAGCTCCTGGATTCATTGATTTTTTTGAAAGGTTTTTTGTGTCTCTATCTCCTTCAGTTCTGCTGTGATCTTAGTTATTTCTTGCCTTCTGCTAGCTTTTGAATGTGTTTGCTCTTGCTTCTCTAGTTCTTTTAATTGTGATGTTAGGGTGTCAATTTTAGATCTTTCCTGCTTTCTCTTGTGGGCATTTAGTGCTATAAATTTCCCCCTACAGACTGCTTTGAATGTGTCCCAGAGATTCTGGTATGTTGTGTCTTTGTTCTCGTTGGTTTCAAAGAACATCTTTATTTCTGCCTTCATTTCGTTGTGTACCCAGCAGTCATTCAGGAGCAGGTTGTTCAGTTTCCATGTAGTTGAGCGGTTTTGAGTTAGTTTCTTAATGCTGAGTTCTAGTTTGATTGCACTGTGGTCTGAGAGACAGTTTGTTATCATTTCTGTTCTTTTACATTTGCTGAGGAGTGCTTTACTTCCAAGTATGTGGTCAATTTTGGAATAGGTGCGGTGTGGTGCTGCAAAGAATTATATTCTGTTGATTTGGGGTGGAGAGTTCTGTAGATGTCTATTAGGTCCGCTTGGTGCAGAGCTGAGTTCAATTCCTGGATATCCTTGTTAACTTTCTGTTTCGTTGATCTGTCTAATGTTGACAGTGGGTTGTTAAAGTCTCCCATTATTATTGTGTGGGAGTCTAAGTCTCTTTGTAGGTCTCTAAGGACTTGCTTTATGAATCTGGGTGCTCCTGTATTGGGTGCATATATATTTAGGATAGTTAGCTCTTCTTGTTGAATTGATCCCTTTACCATTATGTAGTGGTCTTCTTTGTCTCTTTTGATCTTTGTTGGTTTAAAGTCTGTTTTATCAGAGACTAGGATTGCAACCCCTGCCTTTTTTTGTTTTCCATTTGCTTGGTAGATCTTCCTCCATCCCTTTATTTTGAGCCTATGTGTGTCTCTGCACGTGAGATGGGTTTCCTGAATACAGCACACTGATGGGTCTTGACTCTTTATCCAATTTGCCAGTCTGTGTCTTTTAATTGGAGCATTTAGCCCATTTACATTATTGTTATGTGTGAATTTGATCCTGTCATTATGATGTTAGCTGGTTATTTTGCTCATTAGTTGATGCAGTTTCTTCCTAGCCTCAGTGGTCTTTACAGTTTGGCATGTTTTTGCAGTGGCTGGTACCAGTTGTTCCTTTCCATGTTTAGTGCTTCGTTCAGGAGCTCTTTTAGGGCAGGCCTGGTGGTGAGAAAATCTCTCAGCATTTGCTTGTCTGTAAAGTATTTCATTTCTCCTTCACTTATGAAGCTTAGTTTGGCTGGATATGAAATTCTGGGTTGAAAATTCTTTCCTTTAAGAATGTTGAATATCGGCCCCCACTCTCTTCTGGCTTGTAGAGTTTCTGCCGAGAGATCAGCTGTTAGTCTGATGGGCTTCCCTTTGTGGGTAACCCGACCTTTCTCTCTGGCTGCCTTTAACATTTTTTCCTTCATTTCAACTTTGGTGAATCTGACAATTATGTGTCTTGGAGTTGCTCTTCTCAAGGAGTATCTTTGTGGCATTCTCTGTATTTCCTGAATATGAATGTTGGCCTGCCTTGCTAGGTTGGGGAAGTTCTCCTGGGTAATATCCTGCAGAGTGTTTTCCAACTTGGTTCCATTCTCCCCGTCACTTTCAGGTACACCAATCAGATGTAGATTTGGTCTTTTCACATAGTCCCATATTTCTTGGAGGCTGTGTTCTTTTTATTATTTTTTCTCTAAACTTCTCGCTTCATTTCATTCATTTGATCTTCCATCACTGATACCCTTTCTTCCAGTTGATCGAATTGGCTACTGAGGCTTGTGCATTCGTCACGTAGTTCTCATGCCTTGGTTTTCAGCTCCATCAGGTCCTTTAAGGACTTCTCTGCATTGATTATTCTAGTTAGCCATTCGTCTAATTTTTTTTCAAGGTTTTTAACTTCTTTGCCATGGGTTTGGACTTCCTCCTTTAGCCTGGAGTAGTTTGATCATCTGAAGCCTTCTTCTCTCAACTCGTCAAAGTCATTCTCCGTCCAGCTTTGTTCTGTTGCTGGTGAGGAGCTGTGTTCCTTTGGAGGAGGAGAGGCACTCTGATTTTTAGAGTTTCCAGTTTTTCTGCTCTGTTTTTTCCCCATCTTTGTAGTTTTATCTACCTTTGGTCTTTGATGATGGTGACGTACAGATGGGGTTTTGGTGTGGATGTCCTTTCTGTTTGTTAGTTTTCCTTCTAACAGTCAGGACCCTCAGCTGCAGGTCTGTTGGAGTTTGCCGGAGGTCCACTCCAGACCCTGTTTGCCTGGGTATCAGCAGCAGAGGCTGTAGAACAGCGGATTTTGGTGAACAGCAAATGTTGCTGCCTGATCGTTCCTCTGGAAGTTTTGTCTCAGAGGAGTACCCAGCTGTGTGAGGTGTCAGTCTGCCCCTACTGGGGGATGCCTCCCAGTTAGGCTACTCAGGGGTCAGGGACCCACTTGAGGAGGCAGTCTGTCCATTCTCAGATCTCCAGCTGCATGCTGGGAGAACCACTACTCTCTTCAAAGCTGTCAGACAGGGACATTTAAGTCTGCAGAGGATTCTGCTGCCTTTTGTTTGGCTGTGCCCTGTCCCCAGAGGTGGAGTCTACAGAGGCAGGCAGGCCTCCTTGAGCTGCAGTGGGCTTCACCCAGTTCGAACTTCCTGGCTGCTTTGTTTACCTACTCAAGCCTTGGCAGTGGCGGGCGCCTCTCCACCAGCCTTGCTGCCACCTTGCAGTTTGATCTCAGACTGCTGTGCTAGCAATGAGCGAGGCTCCGTGGGCGTAGGACCCTCTGAGCCATGCGCGGGATATAATCTCCTGGTGTGCCATTTGCTAAGACCATTGGAAAAGCGCAGTATTAGGGTGGGAGTGACCCAATTTTCCAGGTGCCGTCTGTCACCCCTTTCTTTGACTAGGAAAGGGAATTCCCTGACCCCTTGCGCTTCCTGGGTGAGGCGATGCCTCACCCTGCTTTGGCTCATGCTTGGTGCGCTGCACCCACTGTCCTGCACCCACTTTCCAACACTCCCCAGTGAGATGAACCCGGTACCTCAGTTGGAAATGCAGAAATCACCCGTCTTCTGCGTCGCTCATGCTGGGAGCTGTAGACTGGAGCTGTTCCTATTCGGCCATCTTGGCTCCACCTCCTAATTTTTTTTTTTTAATAGAGACAAGGTCTTACTATGTTGTCCAGGCTGGTCTCAAACTCCTGGGCTCAAGTGATCCTCCCATCTTGGCCTCCCAAAGTGCTGGGATTATAGGTATGAGCCACCGCATCTGGCCTCACTTGTTTTTGATGTTCCTGATGGAGGCTTGTGGCTGGGGTGTGGCTCCCTCACTTTCCCGATAATGCTCCACACCCTGACAGCTCTCCAGCTTGGCTGTGGGCTGCCAGATGCTGTGCTAAGTGATTAGGATGGGTGGATGGATGGATGGTTGGATGGATGAATGGCTGGATGGATAGAAGGAAGGAAGGGAGGAAGGTGGGAGGTGGGGATGGATGGATGGAAGGATGGATGGATGGATGGATGGTTGGATGGAGGGAAGGAAGGAAAGAAGGACGGAAGGATCAAGGGCAGGAGGGAGGTGGGAGGCAGGGATGGATGGATGGTTGGATGGAGGGAAGGAAGGAAAGAAGGAAGGAAGGAAGGAAGGATCAAGGGCAGGAGGGAGGTGGGAGGCAGGGATGGATGGACGGTTGGATGGAGGGAAGGAAGGAAAGAAGGAAGGAAGGATCCAGGGTGGGAGGGAGGTGGGAGGCAGGGATGGATGGATGGTTGGATGGAGGGAAGGAAGGAAGGAAGGATCAAGGGAAGGAGGGAGGGTGGGAGGCAGGGAGGGATGGATGGTTGGATGGATGAGTGGGTGATAACCAGCGTGCCCTGTGCTGCCCAGTGCATACTGCTTCCTGATTTGTGTCTCAGAAAGCCTGTGTAGGGGCTGTTTTAGGACTGCTGTCTGACTTGGATGCAGGTGGAGCCAAAGCTTTTAAAATCCTTCCAGCCTGAGGCCCCCCCTTGGTCTTAAGGACTGAAAGTGGTGTGGTTATATGCTCAGTTTCAGGGAGAGCAAAGGCAGGTACCAACAATTATTAAACACCTGCTTTGCACCCTGAAGGGACCTTCACCTATTTAATTTTTCCCATTTCACAGATGGGAAGCCTAGAGGCCGTCCCTGGGTTAGTGACACCTGCCACCACATAGAGAAGCCCCTGGTTGGAGGAGGATGCCCTCTGTTGGGATCCCAATGAGGAATGACTAAGGGCATGTGTATGTGCATGTGCCATACCTGAATGTACCTATTTGTGTGCACATGTGCATGTATATGTGTACATAAAGGGGCAGGAGATGGCAGGTAGAGGGGGTGCCCCCGCTCCTGGATGGAGAGCAGGCATGAGAGTTGACCCTGAGCTCCCAACAAATTAGCCGAAAGAAAAGGGAGGCCAGTAGTGGATCCTAGATGGATTAAGGGTGTACTACACATCCAGTTGTCTACACATCTATGCCCTCTTTATTTGCACTGTGATAGGTGAAATGGGTCTGAAGGCTGCTGAGGGAAGCGGCTACTCAGAGCTGCAGGATGACCTACCCAGGGTCACACAACTGAACTGGGACATGAAGAGGACAGAAAACCTAAAGGGAGGGGCCCTTCTCTGGGTCGGTCTCTGATGGGCACTGAGCACACCTCACCTCACTAACTCTTCCCAGCCTCCTGGGAAGGAGGTCTGACCATAGTCACTTTACAGATGAGGAAAACGAGGCTCATAGAGGTGGAGTGAGTTGCCCAAGGTCACACAAGCCATCGATGGCAGGGCTGGAATTTGAGACCTTTTGGGGTTAGCAGATTGGCTCCTATGCCTCACAAGCAAGCCATAGGTTTGGCCACTCTTCCCCCGTGCCCTGCTTCTCCTCCTGTGCTGTGATCCCAGGTCTAGCACCTCTCCCAGCAGTCACCTCCTGGTGGACATCACAGTGAGAGCTATTTGCTTATTCAGGGTGCCTGCCCTGTACTAGCGAGAGATCACTCCCTCAGCTATTGCTGGGATGGTGTCTTTGGGTGGGTACTGGTGCCACCAGCCCCCACTGGGGGTATAGTGGGTGCTGGGGTGCTCTCATCCATGCAGGGGAGCCTGGGTAGACCTCCAGAATGGAGTGACTCCACTTTCTGGGCTGCCGTCATCACCAGTTGGCTCTGGCCCCACAAGAGGCCCTAGTTGTCCATCTTCCTCCACCTCAGGGCGTGGGATGCCTCTAGGATGGCCTGCAGGAGTTGAGGGACCAAGAAGGTGAGGGAGCACTCACAGAGCTCATTCCTCTCGGAAGAGGTGCTGGGAGGTGCGGCGTCTATTCTGGGGCTGGCCAGCTCCAGCTATGCTTCTGGCTTCCGGTCTAAGGGCTGCCCTGGAGATTGGGGACCTGGTGTCGGGCAGAGCTGGCTGAGAATGGTGACTTTTCTGCTCTCAGGAACTGCATCCGAGACCAGGGGCTGCCCCCTGCTGCACCCTGAGGCGGTGACCACCTCACCCGATGAAGGGCCAGGGGCCAGGGCTGGGCCTGGGAGTTGGTTTCCCTTCAGGCTTCTCAGGAAAATGTCCTTGGGAAACCAGGGCATCCAGTGTAAGACAGGGTCACTGAAGCAAGGCAGGACCTCCTCACTGTCCAGGCATGTGCTGCCATGGCACTGGGGGCCCTAGAGGACTGGAGAGCCACTGGGGAGGCTGTTGGGGGCTGTTGAGACCTCAGATGGGCTCAGAGCCATGGGCAGAGATCTCTGGCCAGCAGTGCCCTCTGCCAGGGCCGTCTCGGACCCCACCCCTTCTGAGGGACCTTGCTGTGGTCCCCCGGAACCTGGGCCTGGCTGAACCCCCTCGAGGCAGCTGCAGGGCTTCACCAGCCTTTTCTCTGAGCTGTGCCTGCTGTGGGTCCTAGCGAGTTTCTCTGTGCCCGGCTCAAGCATCCGTGTGCCCGCGGTTCTGAGAACGGCTTCACATGAGACCCTCACCAGGAAGATCTTGAACACCATCTGCTTGACATTCTCTTTGCTGATGGCCTGGACCAGTGAGAACTCAGACTCCAAGGTGGCCGTGTAGCCCAGCCTGCCCAGGATGGCGTCCAGTTTGTGTCTGGAAAGCATAGATCGCACCCAGTAGGTAAAGCTCCCAGTGTACATCTAGAACAGACAAGGGAGCTTGTTAGGAGTGGGACAGGCCTCAGCAGAGTGGCTGAGAGGGGCCAGGCCAGGCAGGACCAAGGGCTGGTGCCGAGGGACACCAGGGGCTCCTGAGAAGCACGTGGATGAGGGCATTTGGCCAAAGGAAAGCCTGGCCCATGATCAGGGGTACACTGAGGCTCAAAGACAAAGCAGGATCTGTCCAAAGACACTCAGAAAGTGGCTGGGTGTGGTGGCTCACACCTGTAATCCCAGCACTTTGGGAGGCCAAGGAGGGCGGATCACCTGAGGTCAGGAGTTCGAGACCAGCCTGGCCAACATGGTGAAACCCCTCTCTACTAAAAATACAAAAAAATTAGCCGGGCATGGTGGCAGGCGCCTGTAATCCCAGCTGTTTGGGAGGCTGAGGCAGGAGAATTGCTCGAACCCAGGAGGTGGAGGTTGCAGTGAGGACAGATTGCACCACTGCTCTCCAGCCTGGGCCACACAGCGAGACTCCATCTCAAAAAAACAAAAAAACGCAAAAAGAGAGTGACTGAGCTGGGGTAAGGCTCTAGGTATCCCAGCTCCCAGCCTAGCAGTCAGGGCCTGGAGCAGGAAGAAATTAAAACTCTGGTAGGGGCCGAGTGTGACTGCTCACATCTGTAAACCCAGCACTTTGGGAGGGCGAGGCAGGAAGATCACTTCAGGTCAGGAGTTTGAGACCAGCCTGGCCAACATGGTGAAACCCCGTCTCTACTAAAAATACAAAAATTAGCCAGGTGTGTTGGTGGACACCTGTAATCCCAGCTACTCAGGGGGCTGAGGCAGGAGAATCGCTTGATCCTGAGAGGCAGAAGTTGCAGTGAGCCAAGATCGCGCCACTGTACTCCAGCCTGGGTGACAGAGCAAGACTCTGTCTCAAGAACAAAACAAAATGAAAAACAACAAAAAAACAAAACCTCTCTGGTAGCTCTCTAAAGCCCAACTCCTCCCGTTGTTTATTATGAGCACCTTGGTTCATCTTTCCTCGGAGAGGCAGTAACAGTCCAGTGCAGGAGTCCCCAATCCCCAGGCCTTGGACCAGTACTGGTCTATGGTCTGTTAGGAACCTGGCCGCACAGCAGGAGGTGAGTGGCGGGCAAACAAGCATTATCACTTGAGCTCCGCCTCCTGTCACGATCAGCAGTGGCATTAGATTCTCATAGGAGTGGAACCCTATTGTGAACTGTGCATGAGAGGGATCTAGGTTGCGTGCTCCTTATGAAAATCTAATGCTTGATGGTCTGAGGTGGAAGAGTTTCATCCTGAAACTAACCCCCGCCCCCATCCCTCCACCCTGTCTGTGGAAAAATTGTCTTCTGTGAAACTGGCCCCTGGTGCCAAAAAGGTTGGGGACCGCTGGTCTCGTGGTTAGGAGCAGTTGTACCACTTGCTAGCTGTTGACCATGGATAAGTTGCATCTGTCTCTTTAGCCCTCAATTTCTTAAACTGAAATGGGACTGAAGTCAATGGATATGATGGGCATGCTGTTTCTCCCAGAGGCAGAGCCCCAACCCCTGGCTGAATCCCCCTTGCTCAGACATGTGGCAGTGCCTACCTTTAGGGACCTGATTTCCTTCCTCCAGGGAAACAGAAGCAGGTTGACAGAGATCAGCTCCAGGAACTCTAGTGCATGCACCAGCTCAGGGCTGACTTTTGGGACAGGGCTGGGATCCCCACAACAGCAGCCACCCAGAGCAAGGGCCACTTCCTCTGGCAGACAGAGCCATGGAGGGGCCCTCCTGCCCAGGAGCCACCTGGCCCTGTGGGTGAGGGCTGCTTGCCTGCAGACATCGAGCCGGCCCTCCCCTGCTCTCTCCTGGTAGTAGCTGATGATGTTGCCCAGGAGGGTCTCACCCAGAGCAGCTTCGCCTGGGCCTGGGGATTGGGACCTGCTCATGGTGGCTTCGGGGGGGCTGGATATGGAGGATAGAGTCCTGTCCCAGGCCAGGCTCAGGCTGGGCACTTGGAGGAATGGATGGGTCCTGCCTCTCCTGCTCCAAAGCCCAATCTGGAAGCAAAGGAGGAAGTTGTGCTAGCAAGAGATAAAGCTATGTGCAGCCAGGCCCTGCCACTGCTTGTCACTCTGAAAAGCTGAGATTGGAGGGTGACCGGGCCCCTCCCAGTGGAGCAGGGCCTAGGTCAGGATTTGTCCTTTCTTTGTCCCCCTGCCCCACAAAAAATGAAGACCAGGCACATCAGCATCTGCATCTTTCCACACTACCATCCCATCCAGATATCCCCAGTAATGCCTCATGCCTTGAGTGCTGCTGGCTGCAGAGGCATACTCTGCTAGTGTGCGGGACAGGCTGGAAGCGCCAGGAAGGTGGCGACCCTCAACCAACCAAGGGCCAGCGGGGTGAGAGTTACTGGATAGAAACCCCAGCTTCCTGCCCCTGGGTGGCCAATTCTTAGGTATGTTTTTGTAAATTGAAAAGTGTCGGAGGCAGATCTCAATCAATTTAGAGGTTTCTTTTTATTTTATTATTTTATTTTATTTTATTTTATTTTATTTTATTTTATTTTATTTTATTTTATTTTATTGAAACAGAGTCTTGTTTTGTTGCCCAGGCTGGAGTGCAGTGACGTGATCTTGGCCCACTGCAATTTCCACCTTCTGGGTTCAAGCGATTCTCCTGCCTCAGCCTCCCAAGTAGTTGGGACTACATGCATGTGCCACTATGCCTGGCTAATTTTTTTTTTTTTTTTTTTTTTTTTTTTTAGTAGAGATGGGATTTCACCATGTTGGCCAGGCTGATCTCAAACTCCTGACCTGAGGTGATCTGCCCACTTTGGCCTCCCAAAGTGCTGAGATTACAGGCATGAGCCACCGCATCTGGCTGAGGACCTGGGTCTTGATTGTCATTTGCTTTCTATGAGACTCTGCTGGGCTCCTGCCTCTCCAGTCGCCAGGAAGGACAGCCACCTGGGTGCTTGGTCTTGGAGCTGCCTCAGACCTGGGCTCGTCACAGCTGGGATCTCTGCTCCCTGCTCCCAACTCCCCTGCCCCCTACAATGTTCTCTGAATTCAGTGGCCAGGGCAGTTCATATCCCTTTGATTGAGAAACTGCATCCCAGTTGGAGTTCTACTCGAAAATAGATCCCCCTGGAGTAGCACCGTGATAGTTCAGCAGCACAACCCCTTTCTGTATGTAGCCCCCTCCAGCATGATCCTATAAAACTTCCCTCCAGCCTCTGCCTCTGTGCAGACAGCCCTGTCTCTGCTGTGCTGCCCGTTGCAACCTTGCAACATATTTTCTCTCTTTCCTACCTTCTCTAATAAATCTGCCTTTCTGTATCCACAACTGTCTTGGTAGATTCCTTTACCACCCACACTACTGGCTCCAGATAGTCACTACCCACAACACTGTGGGTGCTACTCATTCACACACATGGGCTCATCTGATCCTGAACATCAGAAATGTTAGGTCCAGGGTCAAACGTGGCCACCCCTTGGCTTCCCTGTCTACCTCCCTCTGAAATGAAGACACAGGTAAGGCCCAGGGCAGATTCATGTGAGAGAATGCTAAGAGTTGGCATGATCACAGCCTGGGGTCAAAGAGGGTTGGAGAGGCCTTTGCCCATCACTTGTCCAAATCTGCCTTCCTCTCATCTTATGAACCAAGAGATTGAGGCAGGGAGAGCAAGAGCTGGGATTGGAACCCAAGTGTATTCGTTTCCTATTGATGCTGCAGTGAATTTCTACGGGTTTAGTGGTTTAAAAGAAGAAGTATTTATTAACTTATACTTTTTTTTTTGTTTTTTTTTGAGATGGAGTTTCGCTCTTCTTGCCCAGGCTGAAGTACAACAGTGCAGTCTCGGCTCACTGCTACCTCCACCTCCTGGGTTCAAGTGATTCTCCTGTCTCAGACTCCCAAGTAGCTGGAATTACAGGTGCCCGCCACCACGCCCAGCTAATTTTTGTATTTTTAGTAGAGACAGGGTTTCACCATGTTGCCCAGGCTGGTCTCGAACTCCTGACCTCAGGCAATCCACCTGCCTCGGCCTCTCAAAGTGCTGGGCTTACAGGTGTGAGCCACCTTGCCTGGCCTATTTTATACTTTTAAAGGTCAGACCGAGGTCCAAAATCAGTCTCACTGGGCTTGTTCCTTTGGGGAGAATTCATTTCCTTGCTTTTTCCAGTTCCTAGAGGCCACCTACATTCCTTGGCTCAGGGCCCCTTCCTCCATCTTAAAAGCCAGCAGTGTAGTTTTCTGTTTGTTTGTTTTTGTTTTTTGTTTTTTGAGATATGATCTCACCCTGTTGCCCAGGCTGGAGTACAGTGGCACAGTCAGCTCACTGCAGCCTTGACCTCCTGGGCTCAAACAATCCTCCTGTCCCACCCTCCCCTGTAGCTGGGACTACAGGCACACCCCATAGCATCTGGCTAATTAAAACAGTTTTTTTTTTTTTTTTTTTTTTGGTAGTGATAAGGTCTCACTATGTTGCCCAGGCTGGTTTCCAACTCCTGAGCTCAAGCTAGCCTCCCACCTCTGCCTCCCAAAGTGCTGGGGTTATAGGTGTGAGCCACCACACCTGGCCTCCCTGAGTTGTGTTGAAGAGTATAGTCACCAGGCCAAGGTTCTCTCTTTTTCTCTCATTCTTCGACCCCAGGCAGTTTTGTTCCCTAGGGAGAGGCCTAGAATGGCCTTTGTTTTTTTCTTGTTAATAGCTAAAATTCCACATATTGGTACATTCCAAGGCCCCCACCCCCCTGCCCCACCACTGTGATTCTTCTATTGCTTTTGGTTGCTTACTAACTACATTCATTCTGGACATCTTAGTCCTCCATTCCCCTCATGGGGAACCTGTCATGCCTGTGAACTGCCAGCCACTCTCATCTTTCCCAGGGTGGCTGAGACAGTGAGGGTGAGAACGCTGGGCATGGTGCCTAAAATCACCCCTTCCCTGCCCTCTCATGCTGGAGTCAGCCTTGCTTCTCCCCATTGGCTCGCTGCAGCCTCCTTCAACAGTTGGATTTGGTGTTAATTGCATTGTTCACATTTTCTGGGTCCTTGGGGGAGTGACTGATTTCGTGAGAACCTGCTCTCTCTGCCCGTCAGTGTGACTGACTTTGGGAACAGTGCAGGCAGGGAGGGGAGGTGGAGGCATGGGAGATCTGCAGGGGCTGCTTTGGCCTAGGTGGGCTGATGGGGCATGGGGGTCCTGAGGCCTGGTTCAAGTTCACATAGTGAGCTGATGACAGAAGCAGAGAAGCCAGACCTCTGGGTCCCCATACTCAGCCTTCACTCACAGCAGCTCCCAGGTTCCTTGCAGAGCTTAGTTGCTCAGAGGCCACAGGGTCTCTGGCGGGCTGAGCCTGAGTCATGTGCCTACTCTGCAGAGGGTGAGGAGGAGGAGCTGGATGGGGATGCTGGCTGGGCAGAGGGTCCCAGGTCTGGAACTCAGCACTTACTGTCATCAAGTCTGTGTGACTGGCAGGAAGCACTGTTTCTCTCATAATTGAGCTGGGAGTTCCTGCTGATTACCCCATAAACCCTCCTGGGCTCTGTGCTGGGCCCACCACCTGGACAGGAGTCAGCTTGGGCCACAATTCCAGGCCCCTAGTCTGGGAGGCATAACTCAGGCCCTTGAGGACAGCCCAGGAAGGGAAGGGCTGTAAGGAGGAGAAGAGGCAGGAGCCCATGGTGCGATTGTCCTAGGGAGAAGTCAGTGCCTGGAGTGGAGTCTCAGGCCCAGTTGCATAGATTCATACCTTGGCCTTTTGCCCAAATTTATGTTCCTCTTCAGGAACAAAACTGTGTAACCATGCACTGTGGGTGAGTGTATTCCTTGGAAGAGTCTTGTAAGTCCACAAGTCACAGACTGCCCTCAGTGTGGAGCTCAGCTGGCTCCCTGCAGCTGGCTGGGGCCCCTCCCAGTGGGCAGTGGATCTGGGCCTCTCTGGTCCAAGCCCCCTCCCTGCTATGGCAACCATGAGAAAGAGCTGGCACAGATTCAAGATGGTGTCCAGTGAGCCTGGAGCCCTCAGGCCTGGCTGGAGGCTGTTGCTCTTTCCTCCTTTCTTTGCTATGGGCCCTGCTTAGCAACCACTCTCCGCCTGACCCTGCCCCAGCACCTGCCCTGACTCACTGCCCAGCTCATTGTCTATCTGTGGCTTGGGGTCATCGCTCAGACTGAGATCTGAGGGGTAGGGCCTGTCCCTGTCAAGGGAACATGGCAGAGGCTGCTCGTCTGTGTGTCTCCAGTCCTCCCAGCCTCCTCCCCTCTTTTCTTTGCAGAACCCATTCCAGGAGAGATGAATGTGGCTCCTCCTCTTCCACCCTCCACAGAGTGGCAGGCAGGGAGGGGAGATGGAGGCATGGGAGATGTGCAAGGGCTGCTTTGGCATGACCCAGGCTCAGTCAGCCAGAGACCGTAATCCTGGCTGGGTGCGGTGGCTCACACCTGTAATCCCAGGACTTTGGGTGGCCAAGGCAGGCAGATCACCTGAGGTCAGGAGTTCAAGACCAGCCTGGCCAACATGGTGAGACCCCGTCTCTACTAAAAATACAAAAATTTAGCTGGGCGCAGTGACATGTGCCCGTAATCCCAGCTACTCAGAATGCCCGTAATCCCAGCTACTCAGGAGGCTGAGGCAGGCTAATCGCTTGAACCTGGGAGACGGAGGTTGCAGTGAGCCGAGATCGTACCACTGCACTCCAGTGTGGGCGACAGGGTGAGACTTTGACTCAAAAACAAACAACAAACAAACAAACAAACAACAGAGACCCTAATCCCAGCCATTCAGAGAGTCAGGGATGAGGACATGTCTGGGCCAGTTTTCTCTGAGACTTGGTATTTGCTCTCTGGGAGAGAGAGGATCTCTTTGTTTTGGATTATGAACCAACCAAAGTAGACTTGGGGCTTCCATACTTTTGTTCTGATGGGAGAATGAAGGCACTGTGGTGGACAGCAGAATCCAGAGAGAGATGACATACCTGCCCATATTCCCGGACTTTCTGGATCCAGCCATGCCTGACTTGGACAATTCAGTAAGTATTCTTCCTTGCTCATGAAGATTCAAGTTGGGTTTCTGACTCTTGCAGTTGGATAATGAGGCTCAGAGTGGCAGGGAGTGGAGGGTCCTTTTCAAGGGATGCTCTTCTACTCCACCACACAGTTCAGATGGTGCCAGCCTTGGGGTGGGCTGTGGACCAGGCAGCCACTGGCAGTGGAAGAGAGACAGGCAGCCCCAGGCCCCCAGGAGTCATGCTGGTGAGATGGTCAGTGGTGGCATGGCTGAGGTGGGGACGGCAGGGCCTGAGGACCTGCAACCTTGGATTTCTTGGAGACATGTTGGGCTGGCACAACTGGGCTGCCACCCTGGGGGTAAAGATCTGCCCAGCCCCCAAGCCCAGAGATACCCGGCCTGATCTAGGCAACCAGTCCTGGGCTCCAGAGAGTTCCTCTGGCCCCGAGGACGTGCAATGTGGGGTGAAGCAAAGCAGAGACCAGGACAGAAGATTCACTTCCTCAGACGATGAAGCTTACTGTCTCTCCACCGCTCATGCCAAGAGCCTGGACATGCAGGTGGGCATGGATAGGAACAGCTGAGTGGGAGTGTCAGTGGCACTGGAGTATGCAACACCAAGTGTGTACGTGCACAAGCTCTAAGTGAGAAGGGCACTAGTGTGTGTGCACCAAAGCTGTCTGAGCAAATGTCCACGAAACCACAGGAGGTGGAGCTGAGGGATGCTACATGTGAGTGTGTGCCAGGGGTATCTCTAGGAACTTGGGAGGGGCCCCAGTGTGTGTATGTGCATGTGGGCTTGGCCAGTGTGACAATGGATGTTCCTCGTGGTGGCTGTGAACAGCCTTACTCTGTATCAACCCTCCTTCCGCCCTCTTCTGGGCGATGCCTGTTGCTTGTGTGTGGCAGCAGCTGCTGGAGCCCTTTGCAGAGACCTGGGACCTCACCACACCCATACACGGGGACCCAATGATGGCTCTTGTGGACTATCACGATGGCGTCATCGCCAGCACGGTGACTCCCCTGAAGACTTTTTTCTGGCCAGAGGAGCCCATTTGGCCTCCACAAGGGGCAGGAATGAACATTCTCCAAAGGGCAGCCTCCAAAAATGTCTGCTGAGCATCAGGGTACAAACAACCCGTCTCTCCCACCTGAGGGCGGGCGTCACTTTGAGGTGCGTTCTACTCTGTGTCTCAGAGTCACCAGTGGGACTGCGCTCAGTGGCCTGCAGTGGTGACCTGCTTGGTGACCCCCTCACTGGCTTCCTTGCCTTTCTTGTTTCCTGCCTCACTCCATCTGGTACTCCTGGGAACACTTCCCTAACCAAACTCTCACCCACATCCTCATCCCAGGGTCTGGCCCTGGGGCCCCTGTCTCCATCGTCCTGTGATGCAGCTTCACCTTCCATCTCCTTGGGCCTCTGATGAGCCCAGGTACCTGGGGTGTTCTCCTTGGCCCCTGGCACAGACAGGCGGCATCTCCTTAGGAATGTGCAAAGGACCTTGAATGTGGTGCCATATGTGACACACCACAGCATAGGGCATGTCGTGGATGGAGGAGCAGGAAAAGCCAAGAGCGTGACAGTCCCAAAGGCCTGTGGGATCCTAAGTCTTTGTGGTGGGAGCTGGGTGTCGGTGTGGGGTGGTTTCGGTTGGGGGCAGCACATGGCTGGACACCATCACTGTGGAAGTTTCTGCATTCATTCCCAGGAGGTGGAGCCCCAGAGCACTGAGGTGGCACCAGAGCCATGCCTAGTGATGTTCAGAACAGAGGGCATGCAAAATGATTATTTTGCTTACAGAGAGGGGGACATAAGTGTCAGGCTTTGTCCAGAGAGTGATGCTGGCGGGGCGGGGGTGAGCCCCAAAAATGGAATACTTGAATGGGTTCAACCTCATAGAACATCTCAAGGGTGGAAGAAAAGCCCAGGGTTAAAATGACGGGTTTTGTCTGCAATTATGAGTGCTGGTGGGTATTGTGTTTCAAGGTGAGAGGAGGGGCTTCCTCATTCTTCAGGGCCTGACTTGTTCACTTTGAGCAGTGGCAGCAGCGAGCCGGCAGGTGGCAGTGTGGGCTCAGGGTGGGGGTGATAGGCGCAGCAGAGCCAGCCTTGGCCTGTCCAGCAGGGACGTGGGCTGGAGAACCAGAAGGATGAGCCTATCTCGTGGTCTTTCCCCCCGCTGCACCCTCCTTCAGGATTGCACCCCACTTTCAAGGCACTTGGGGTCTAAGACTATATTAATGGACTATTCGAATTTTGGATTGCACCCCACTTTCAAGGCACTTGGGGGCATCTAGGACTATGTTAGTGGGCTCTATTGGAGTTCTGGTGGGAGGGAAATGTGACAGAGGAAGGGGCCCAGGCTCTGTCCGCTAAGAGATCAATAGCCCAAGCCATGGTGTTGTGGAGGGCATGGAAAGGAAGAGGGGAATTCCTGCAGAGGGTGAGACAACAGCTCATTTCAGTTTCATTGCCACTTTCCTCTCTTTCCTGGTGGTACAAGCCATCAGGGTGCTACAAGCCAACTCCTGTTAGAGTAAAACGTGTAGTCTCTGAAGTTCCTAGAGTCAGGTCCTGAAGTTGATGGCCCATCCTCATGACGTTACACCAGCCATGTCTCAGAGAAATGATGCCAAGTTTCAGTGAGGTTAAAAAAAAAAAAGCAACTCCTGTAAGGCACTGACTATCCAAATATCCACATCAACAGGAAAATGACAAGGCTTCAATGGTGCTTAATCTTGAGAGGTAATGAATGGGTAGAGATTGCTAGCCGGAGGTGTATTTTCATTTTGTTGCTATTTAGTGTTTCCTTTTCTTACAAGTTTCAGAAGGTATAAACCCTACTCGGGAGGCTGAGGTGAGAGGATCGCTTGAGACCAGGAGTTTCAACTAGCCTGGGCAACATAGTGAGACCCTGTGTTTACAAAAATTCAAAATCAAAAATTAGCTGGGTATGGTGGTGCATGCCTGTAGTCCCAGCTGCTTAGGAGGCTGAGGTGGGAGGATCACTTGAGCCCAGGAGTTCAAGGCTACAGTGAGCTATGTTCATACCATTGCACTCCAGCGTAGGCGACTGAGTGAGACCCTGTCTGAAGAAAAAAAGAAAAGAAAAAAAGGAACCTTATGCACTCTCTGAAAGTGTTACTTCTTGCTACATTTTATTGATATTATGTATTTATTTTGAACACAGAAAAGATACATTGTTGCTTATTCATTGCCTAGTCCAGGAACAAGAAAAGCTATTCAGCTCCATCTTTCAAACACTGATGAGTAGGTAGGAATTTTTATCCCTTTTTTTCCCCCAGCACTCTCTGGAATTGCAGAAGCAGGATGTGTTTCTTAAAAGAGTCTCATTCCTGGACTGCATTTTAAAGGCTATACAGTACAACAGACAGATATTTTTTGCCTAGAAAACAGTACACCACTAAGGTGGTCAGAACTGCTTGTAAACAAGTCCCTCCCCCAGATGGAGTCTGGGGCTCCAGGAGGCTGCACGCAGGATGCTACAGAACTTCTGGGTGGATTCCTTTCAGCTCCGCACCAGAAGAAATGCTATCTCTACAGAAAATAAAATTCAAGATTGCCATCCTTGCCACTCCTCTGCTTAAGAAAGAGATTACTAAATAGTCTTAGCCCTTCATTGGAGGAACAGAAATGTGGGGAAGCAGGATAGGGTGCTGTTTTTTAACGACGAGGGACAAGAGGTGGGAGGGAGGCAGAGTGATGGCCGCTGGCGATGCTAGCAGGGACACTGCTCAGAGATGCTTGGCTGCCACCCTCTGTGGGCTGGGTCTTCAGGAATCACCTCTGTTACCTGCGTGGTCTTTGATGGAAATCGCTGGGGTTTCTTGGTCAAGATCTGAGCCAGCCTTTCTGCAGCCAGGCTGACCCTACAAATCCCCTTCTGTGGCAGCAAGGCTGAGTAGCCTTCTGGTCCTCTTGTGGTGGCAAGGTGGTATTTATGGGGAGCATATCCCCTTCATTTTGTCTCTGCAAACACCCACGTGGGCAAGGCCAGAACACAGCCACTCACCATCCCCAGCTATGAGCAGCCACCTAGAAGGACAGCACCAGCTCCGGGGTCTGGCTCTGACCCATTCGCGTGCAGGCCACAGTGGTCGGCCAGGCAGGGACTGAGGGAGGGGCCACTTCTCTGCCTCAGAGAGGTGCCCAGGCAGCACTGTGGTGAAGCCACCTGGAGAAGGGCAATGGCCTCATCTTCCTTGAAGACCCTTAGTCCTGGGCAGTGGCTGGACTGATGAGGGAACCGCCGCTGCACACCCACGGAGGGCCCTGCCCATCTACCTGGGGCCTGCAGCGTCAGAGATAGCTCTACTAGCACCACCTGACTGAGGGACTGAGGGTACTGGGGTTGGGAGGGGGCCTAGTGGGCTGTGAGGGCCTCCAGTTTGCGCCTGAGACCCCAGACCCAGGTCCCCCACCTTGTAAGTGGCAGGGTGGTGATGTTGTGGCTCATCTGCCCTGGAATCGAGAGATAGGCACAGCGCACAACGGAACCTCACTGGGGCCTGTCCCGCCTCCCAGGAGGACAAGCTGGCCCTGGGGTAGGGGTCAGGGCAGGCAGCTGACCTTGGATGGTCCAGCAGTTTCCAGAGGCAGAATAGAATTTGGGCGCAGCTTGCTGGGCGAGGGTAGGGGCAAACGGGCCCAGGAGAGGGAAGAGAAAATCCCACTTCCTACTTCGCCTCTCTCTCCGAAGCGCTCTCTACAGAGGCACAACAAACAGGCCGGGAGGAGGGACGGGAGGCCAGGAGAGCTCCACGTTCCGTGAAACCTTTGCAGGTGGGTTTTGTGTTTGTGGTAGGCCTGTATGTGCGCATATTCACACATATGTGGAGCACGTCTAGATCTGTGTGTGTACATGGGGTATGTCAGTGTAGATGTCTGTGTGTATACAAGTTTGGTCTATGTGTGTGTTATGAGTCACGTGTGCATCTCTGTGTGTGTGTGCACGCCTTTGTGTGCCTAAAGAATGTGGTTCAGCCTGTAGGGACCAGCAGGACCCGGCTGGCTGGGTCCCTCACACAATCCTCTCTGGGCCAGAGGCTGGGGCCCGGGTTGGGGTGGGTGAGCCCTGGGAGCCCCTTGGCCCTGGGTCTGGGCCCGGCAGTGGCAGCAGGCCTGATGGGGGGCCAGCCCCGCACACAGCCTCGTAGGGGGGAAGGGTGTCCATGGAGACCGTGTGAAGGCCACCTTGGGCCGGGGTCCTCTGCTCCTGCTGGTGTCGGCCAGGGCTGTGGCCGCTGCCTGAGTCGGAGGTGCCATCCAGCGTGGGGCAGGAATCAGTCAGCGAGTAGGGTGGTGGTGCGTCCGTGGGGACATACAGCTGAGTGGCCCCTGGCCCCACACACTCCTCGTAGCTACGAGAGAAGAGGCTCCCTCAGTGCCCCACCTAGGCCTTAGGGCTGGGTCTCTCCCAAAGGCCTGGGGGTCTATCTGCAGTGACAAGCTGTCCTGGCTGTGGACCAGGGTGGGCCTTGTCCACGCTGGCTCCAATGAAACCCTGCTACTTCCCTCCATCTCCAGAGGGGGACCTCAGAACCCTGGGACCTGGATTTGGGACCTGACTCAGCCCTCATATGCGGTGTGAGCTCAACGCATGAACACTGAGCTGCCTGGGTCTGCGGTGCCTCGAAACAGCAGTGGCCACTGTCTAGGGAGCATCTCCCCGCAGCGCACTGGGTGTGCAGAGGCTGGGTAGGACCAACCTCAGGCTACCAGACACCCTGGTCTCCAGCCACTCCAAAGTTCCCCTTCTCAGTTTAGGAAAGAGTCCCCTGGGCCCCTCTGAACCCACAGATGCAGAGCAAAAGAGCACCCATTGCCCCGAAAGGACTGGCAGCACCACCCCTGCTCGAGCCCCTGGGGCAGGGGTGAAGGTGGAAGGCCAAGGAGGAGGACACGGGCCATTCATCCAGGGCTGGAGGGGTCTCCTAGCAGGGAATGGTGGAGGCCCTGACCCCTTTCCCTCTTCGAGTACTGATGGGTGATCTGCCTGAGGGGGGCTGGCAGGAGAGGAACAAAAGCCCTCCAGAGAAGAGCTCCCCATGGGGAGGGGGCTGCTTGAGGGCCCTGAGGGCAGTTTGGACACAGCCACTCCTGTGGGCATGATCACAGGCACAGGGCCCTCCTGGCCACAAGCTCCACCTGTCCTTTCTCTTCCCACTGCCACTGTCTCTGGGGTCCTCAGGAGCTGAGGGCATAACTCCCTCCTTCTGGCTCCATGACCCCCCACTTCTCTGAGAGGAACCCGTCTTGATCCCTAAGGCCAGTCTCTGCCTCAGTGGCTACAGGTGAGGCCACAGAGACCCCAGGCTCAGCCAGACCCTTGTTGCCTGGGAGGTCTCGGAAGGTGTGTGCGTGTATGTGTTCGTGTGTGCATGTATGTGTGTGTGTGTGTTTGGAGGGGGAATCACCTCTGTCTTCGTAGTCGTGCCCCCACCTTCCCCACCCCTCTCCACCCCTGCCTCATGCCTACCCAGCCCTGTCCAGGCACTGGACCCAACCAGCCTTGGGGGTGCCTGACCACAATGGAGGCCTGCAGCTGGGGCATCCCCTCGTGCCTGAGGCCAACCCAACCCTCTGCTCTGACTCAGGGAGAAGTTGGCTCCCAGGCACCCCCAGGGCATCTGTGCACCTCCACCTCCATCAGAAGCAGCCCCACCTGTTCCTGTCCTTTAGATGAGCTGCACCGGGCAGAGGCAGCTGGGGATGGGGGAGGTGCCTGTGTCCTCAGGCTATGGCCTCAGGAACCAAGGGCTCAGGTCTAACCCTGAGCCACATCCCCAGATACCCACAGTATCTTCCTTCCCAGGAAAACCCAGGAAGCAGGGTTATTTGTCCTTATTTCATAAACAAAGAAATGGAGCCCCTGAGAGCCACAGTGACATGCCTGAGAGCATCAACCTGGGCGGCGTCCAGGATGGGCTCAAACCCAGGTGGGTATGACTGGAAAGCCAGGGCAGGGGAAGGGGAGAGGAGGTCAAACCCCACTGTGCCCTCTGTAGCGTGGCACACGCGTGCTCGCCTGCCTCTGGGCCTTTGCTCATCTGTGCCCTCTGCTGGTCACACCCTCCTCTGTATCTCTGAAGGTCCCAGTTCCTCCCAACCCAAGCACCACACACCCTTGACAAAGGCCGATTTCCTGTGTCAGCCCATCCTCCCTGATCCCCTCCCCTCGTCCTCCTCAGCATGATAGTTATCACCTGTGGCCTCGAAATAGTAACGACACCACTGGTGGGAAGAGCCAGTGCCTTGCTGAGCATTTTACTGGCACTTCTGTGTCATTTTCATGAGTATCCTGTGGGGCAGATATTATTATTATTATTTTATTATTATTTTTTTGAGACGAAGTCTCACTCTGTCGCTAAGGCTGGAGTGCAGTGGTGCGATCTCAGCTCACTACAACCTCCGCCTCCCGGGTTCAAGCGATTCTCCTGCCTCAGCCTCCCAAGTAGCTGGGACTACAGGCGCCCGCCACCACGCCCGGCGAATTTTTTGTATTTTTAGTAGAGATGGGGTTTCACCGTGTTAGCCAGGATGGTCTCGATCTCCTGACCTCGTGATCCCCCACCTCAGCCTCCCAAAGTGCTGGGATTACAGGCGTGAGCCCCCACGCCCGGCTGGGGCAGGTATTATTACATGGACATTTCCACAATGGAGAAGCAGGCACAGCGGGATTAAGTAACTTGCTCATGATCATACAAGAAACAATTTCCAGAGCGAGTGCACCTGGGGCCATCAGATGTCAGCATATGGGCTTGTCCCCTCTTTACCCCCCAGTCCCTGGTGTTATTTATAGAAACACAATACAGTTTTTTTTCCCTAGGGGGAAGTTGATCCCACAGCCACGGAAATAGCCAGATACTCCTCTGGCCTTCCCTCCCACCCTGAGGGAGACACCCGGAGGAGCAGATCCCCAGGGAATTCAGAACAGCTGCCACGGAACCTCCCCTGAAACTGCAGGGGCATTCCCGGCATGCCTACTCAACAGCCTGAGGAGGTGGGCTTGTCTCTTCCTTTCCTAGCACTTCCAGGTGATATCTGCTAAGTCACACTGCCTCAGTGGGACCTACTTGGTCAGGAGTGGGGAGGAGGTGGCCATGCCCACTGAGCAGATGTTTTCTGCATTTATACGACATGCAGAGGTGCCACTCTTTCCCATGATGGAGTTGGGGGGTCTTTGTGTCCAGGGCCCCATCCTCTGATGCCCCCTTCCCCATGAGGCCTCCTTACCCTGGTGGAGAATCTGGGTACAGCTCCCTGAGCACCGTGGCATCCACGTCCCCGTCAGAGCTGATGTCCAAGGGTGGGGGCCAGTCCTCTGAGGAGCTGCAGGCATAGCGCATCCTGCGGCTTGAGCGGCTGTATGTGTGCTCGTCCGACACTGCAGGGAACAGACCACCGGCCTGGGCCTCAGACCAGGATCCAGGGATGGTCCTTATGGGTCTGTAGGTCTACCTGGGGCCATGGAGGCTCTGATTCCCCACCTGACCACTCCTCTCCTCACCAAGCACAGCTGCCTTCATCCATCAGTGACAGCTCCAGAATGTGGGTGCCATTGTCGTGTTGGGCATGGGGATACAGAGAGGAAGCAGAGCTGGCCCTGTCCTGGCCAGCTCCCAAGGTGGTGGCAGCCTGCTTTGGGGATAACCTGGCACTAGGCAGTGTGTCATGAGCTTTGGTAGAGGTCCTACTGGGACTGTGGGAGTAAAGGCAGGCCTGACCAGTCTGGAAGTCAGGGAGGGCTTCCTGGAGGAGGGGCTGCTACAGCTGAGTCTTGTCTAGGATTTAACCAGGGGAAGAGGGGAAGGCCGGGAGGAGGGAACTGAATAGCTTTCCAAGGAGGGAGATAAGAAAGAAGAGTGTGGTGTGAACAGGGAGCTTTGAGCTGTGGAGTTGGGCTGGGCATGGAAAATGCGGTGGAGAGTAGCAAGGAATGAGGGCTTCAGAGAACTCTGGGATCAGCCCTCCCACACTCACTGCCCTTTAGGTATCTTGGGGAAAAAAAGGGGCTTCTATGATGAGTCTGGCAGCTCCCCACACTGCATTCTCCTCTGCATTTTTTACCATGCACCAGGACATCAAAGGCTCTGAAAAGTCCTGCAGCTAAAAAACACATTTAACTGTGCCTGTCCAGCATTCGACCTCAGAATCTTCCTTTCTTAGACCTAGTAACACTGTTTAGGAAATGCTGCTGGAGCACAATCCTCTCATTCCACAGCTGAGGTTCTGGGAGGCCCGGTGACTTGCTGGAGGACAACACACAGTGAGTGGTTGGGCCAGAGGGCAGCTGGATGTCTTGGCTCCTCCTTGCTAAGCTCTCTACAGCCCAGTTTCTGACATGTATCGTCCTGGATGGGAACAGTGGGAGCTGCAAAGGTGGCTGAGACACGAGGTCTCCTCAGTCCAGGGCTCCCAGGTGCCTCCTCCCCTCTGGGGGTGGGGCTTGGCATCAGGGGCGGAGCTATAACCTTTCTCTGCTGTGAGTGGCGCAGTTGCCATCCCCATTCTACAGACAAGGAAGCTGATACTCAGGGTCACATACGTGGTGAAGCATGGAGTTGTAATTTATGCACTCTGTATAACCCCAAAGACTGCTCTTCCCACTCCCCTAAACTCTTTTTCCCACTCTTCATATAATAGTGAGTGGAAGAATCTGGATATGAAACTCTATCTGCAGGTACAATTCCAATCCCAGGGTTATATACCGACACCGAGAAAGCTCTCAGAAGAAAATATTCCAAACACGTTGATGGTGGCCCTGTCCAGATGACAGAGGATCATGACCCTTATTTCTTTTTCTTTTTTTCTTTTCTTTCTTTTTTTTTTTTTTTGAGACGGAGTCTCTCACTGTCGCCCAGGCTGGAGTGCAGTGGCGCGATCTCAGCTCACTGCAAGCTCCGCCTCCGGGGTCCACGCCATTCTCCTGCCTCAGCCTCCCGAGTAGCTGGGACTACAGGCACCCGCCACCACGCCCGGCTCATTTTTTGTATTTTTAGTAGAGACCGGGTTTCACCGTGTTAGCCAGGATGGCCTCAATCTCCTGACCTCGTGATCTGCCCGCCTCGGCCTCCCAAAGTGCTGGGATTACAGGCGTGAGCCACCGCGCCTGGCCTATTTATTTCTTTATATTTCTTTTCTTATATTGTCTATATTTTTAAGGTTTTCTATAATGAACACACATTACTTTTCTACTAGGAGAAATGAAGTCAATAACATATGCTGTAAAAAAGGAGCTGAAATGCCATTTGTTTCTCCTGTTCAGGGCACCAGCTGAGAGACAGAATTTTTGGAAGAACTTAGGAAAGAAACTAAGAAAAGACAACAGCACACAGCAACAAGGTGAGACTGGAAGTTGAACCAGGGCTGCTGGGCTTGGGTGCCAGGTACCCCTTCGCCCCACCAGCCAGCATTGCCAGGGAAGGGTTTTTGGGTTCAGGGAGGGTTCCACCTGCAGGGCAGCAGGTGTGCCTGTCACACAGGGATCCCTGGGGAAAGTCAGGGCTGCTTCCTGGACCTGAGAGGAGTGACTGGGTGGGCAGCGCTGAGGGCTGTTAGAGCTGGAGCAAACTGCTATCTACCCTTTCTTCTTGGGCTGCTTTTTCTTGGACTTCCCAGAGGGGAGCATCTTGGGAAAACTGAGGCTGCCCTAAGGTGCTCAGACCCCAAACCTGAGACATCCAGCTGGGCAGAGCTCCTGAGAGACAGCTGGAAAGAAACCTGCACCCGCCACTCCCATTTGAACTTCCCAAATCCCTTCTTTTCCCTTCTCTCCTGACTTCCCTGTCGGCACAGATCCAAATAGTCCAGGACTCCGGAAGCCCTGCTTCCCACTTCACATAAGCTGAAACCTCCTGTTTACCCCGATACCTTGGTTCATTATTTAACATCACTCCAAGTTCACTGCCCCTTGACAGGCTCTGGGAGAGGGAGGAAGAGGAACTGGCACTCATGAGCACCTGCTGTGCTCAATCTCTATGATCTCATCTACCTCACACCCCACTGTGGGAGGAGAGCAGTGGTTACCCCTTCCACCAGATGAAGAGACCGAGAGTGAAGTCACTTGCTCTAAACCTGCAGAAGTGACAGGAGACAGAGTCAGCCACCAGATCTCTCTTAAAGCTCAAGATGGAACAGAATGACAGAATTTTCTTTTCTTTCCTTCTCTCTCCTTTCTTTCTTCTTTCTTTCTTTCTTTCTCTTTCCTTTCTTTTTCCTTTTTCTTTCTCTCCTTTTTTTCTCTCTCTTCTTTCTTCTCTTCTCTTTCTTCTTTCTTTCTCTCTTCTCTATTTCCCCTCCCTCCCTCCCTCCCTCCCTCCCTCCCTTCCTCCCTCCCTCTCTCCCTCCCTCCCTCCCTCCCTCTCTCCCTCCCTCTCTCCCTCCCTCTCTCCCTCCCTCTTTCTTCTTCCTCCCCCACCCCCATCTCATTCTCAAAGATTTGTGGCTCCTCTCTGTGTCTGGCTAGACTACAGAAAGGCTCTGTGGGCAGGCAGAGGGCCAACTCTGTCCTGAGGGTGATGGGGAGCCATTGGGAAGTGGTCACAGTCCTGTCACTTTGGTTGCCTTGTGGAGAATGCCTTGGAGGTGCCAGGCTGGTGGCTGGCAGGCAGGGACAGCTGACATTAGTGCAGTGGCCTGGGAGCAGGTTTTCTTGGAGAAAGAGATGATGAAAATAGCTCACATTTATTGAGCATGTATTTACCCATTAGCCAGGTGCTGTGCTAATTTAGTCCTCACAATAACTGTTTGAGGTGGATCCTCTTGCACCAGTTTTATAGATGACTCGCCTGAGGCAAAGAGAGTTTTGGCAGCTTTCCTGAGGATGCGCATAGGAAGTAGGAAATCAGGCCTCTGTGGACACCTGGAGCCTGAGGTGCCTGTGGGGCTTCACAGGGTGATGTCCAGGGGACTTCTGGGCATGCAGTTCTGGAGCTGACCTGCGGGCTGGAGCTAGGTAAGGGAGGATGATGGATGGTGTATGAGATGGAGCAGGGAGTGGGTGTAGAGAGAGGACCAGGACCAAGGTGTGGGATCTGAGGGACCTTGACTTATAAAGGGACAGAGGAGAGGAATCCGCAGCCAGAGGGGTGGGAGAGAGGCCAGGAGGGCTTGAGTCACCAGAGCTGGGGGGCTGTGAGTGTGTCTGACAGGTGGAAGGGGCCCAGTGCCAAAGGTTGGGGTTCACTGGTACACTGCCCCTCCCTCTTTATTTATTATTTATTATTTATTTATTTATTTATTTATTTAGAGACAGGGTCTTGCTCTGTTGCTCAGGCTGGAGTGCAATGGTGTGATCGTAGCTCACTGCAGCCTGAAACCCCTGAGCTCAAGCTATCCTCCCACCTTGGCCTCCCAAAGTGCTGGGATTATAGGTGTGAGGCACCGCGCCTGGTGGTGCCGCTTTCATGTTCTCCCACAGCTGCTCACAGTGCGTTTCCCTCTTCCCTGGCACCCTCCCAAGGCTCCCGGCAGCCCCTGCGCATCCTCCAGAAGGCTGGGGGAAGATATGGGGCAACAGCACCTCTGGGTTCCCTGCCGAGGCCCCAGGAGGTGTCAAAGCTGTAGCCGAGTGCAGAAGTGGGGCAGGGAGGCCGGAACCCCACAGGGGTCACCACCACCACAGGCTGCAGTGGGGAAGCCAAGGCCTGACCCCGCTTGGCAGAGCTGTGACCTCAGTCATCCCACCCACCCCAGGGACAGAGCCGAGGCCTCATTCATTGGCACCAGTCCCGAGGCCACCACAGGCTACAGAGGGGCTGGCCTGCCCCTAAGCCCATCTCTTTCCTCTGCGCCAAGGCCAACCCCTCAGCCCTCTCAGCTTGGGAACTACTGTGGGCGCCTAGCGTGCACTCCAAGATAAGTCATTGAACAAGTTGCTTCTTTGTGCCTCAGTTTCCCAGTCTTAATTTTTTTATTTTTTTAGAGACAGGGTCTCTCTCTGCTGTCACCCAGGCTGGCATGCAGTGGTGAGATCATAGCTCACTGAAGCCTTGACCTGGGCTCAAGGGACCCTCCCGACTCAGCCTCCTGAATAGCTGGGACTACAGGCATGTGCCATCACACCTGGATAATTTTTACATTTTTTTTGTAGAGATGGGGTCTTGCTGTGTTGCCCAGGCTGGTCTCAAACTCCTGGTCTGAAGTGATCCTCCCACCTTGGCCTCCCAAAGTGTTGAAATTACAGGTGTGAGCCATGGCACCCAGCCCAGTTTCCTATTCTTTATTTACTTTTTATTTTTTGAGACAGAGTCTCGTTCTGCCACCCAGGCTGGAGTGCAGTGGCATGATCTTGGCTCACTGTAACCTATGCCTCCCAGGTTCAAGCGATTCTTGTACCTCAGCCTCCTGAGTAGCTGGGATGAGAGGCATGTGCCACCATGCCCAGCTAATTTTTGTATTTTTAGTAGAGACAAGGTTTTGCCATGTTGGCCAGGCTGGTCTTGAACTCCTGACTTCAGATGATCCGTCCGCCTCAGCCTCCCAAAGTGCTAGGATTACAGGCATGAGCCACCGCACCTGACTAGTTTCCTAGTCTTTAAAGGGGGCAACTACATCTTTTGCCTTGAGGATAAAATACAGTGGCTCCTACCTTGCCCATGGAGCGCTTCCTCCAGGCCTGAGCCTGTCTGGGGACGAGTCACCTGTGGGCCCTGCTCTCATGGATGCAGCACAATCACCCCATGACCAAGACACTGAGGGAGGCATGGGTGCAATGCCGAGGAGGTACAGAGGAGGGGGACACCTATCCAGCTCTGCCTGGTAGGTGTGAGGAGAGGCCAGACAAGCTCCCATAAGGAGGCAGCCTTTGAGCGGGGCCTGGAAGGCTTTTTTTCGGTTCGAGAAGGCCAGGGAATGGCAGTCAGGGCAGAGGGAAGAGCCCAGGCAAAGGGCAGAGGCTGGAAGGAGCATGGACAGGGGACTGGAAAAGAGTGGGAGGAGCTGGGCAAGGGCCAGGCTGTGCGAGGGGCAGGCGGCAGACTGACCATCCTGGGTCTACCCGGCATCCTCCAGGGCTTGGGGACCTGGGTTTCTCTTGCAGGGGATGGGCATGCTCTGGGCAGGAGCCCTGGACTCTGCAGCCTCAGGTTGGTGATGCAGGGGTGGGACAGGCCCGTCCTGGCCTGGGAGTGCTTCTGGCTTGTCTCCTTGGGGAGTCCCTGGCTTCTGGGGAGACTTGCAGAGACTGGGTGGGCTGAGCTTTCCACATCTGTTTTATTCATGCTGAACTTTCTCTTTGATCCTCATTGTTGGACAGTGAGAACAGTCCACTAGCCTGCTGTGTCTTTCCTCAACTGTGGCCACTTGTCCGACTCATCCCGGGATGTCCCTCTGTGTCTTACACAAGGTCCAGCCTCCTGCTCTTCTGATTCTCCTAACAGCTTTCCCAGGGGAGCAACATCCAGGTCTGAGTGACACCCACTGTGGCCATGTACGTGTCTGCCGGACACTGCCTTGAGCCCACGGGGCGGCTCCCAGGGGCGTCTCCCCGACACCTCCAGCTCCCTTCCTGGGCAGTGCTGTGCAGCGGGGCAGCCTGTGGGTGCCAGGTCAGGCTGCCTGGGCTCAAGTGAGTTATCATCTCACTAGGACCATGGTGAGGATTTTGCAGTGAGATTATGTGCACAGACAGCGCCAGGCACCCAGCAAGCACTCCTTACTCACTGGCCATTACTACCCAGGCTCCTGTTCACCAGCTCCAGCTACCCATCAGTCCCCTCCTTAACCAGTTAACTCTGAAAAAGGACAGGAAATACCCCAAACCTGGCTAATCAGGGTGTGTCTGGGAGGGGGAGGAGGGGCCCCAAAGGCCAGGGCTGATCGGATCCAATTCAATCTATTTTAAAAATTTTTCCTATCTTTCTTTTCCCCAAGCTTTTCCTGCCTTGGAGAGGGAAACGCCTCAGGTCTGGCCATGGCTCTGGCTCCTAGGAGGTTGGCATCACTTCACCCTGCAGTGTGAAGGGTGCCTACTGCTGTTAAGCACCTCCAAGGTCCTGCTTTTCTTTTCCCTATCTGGTGGTGGCCTTGGACCTAGGCAGAGGCCCCTGAAGGCCTGTGGATGGTGATTTGGGAAGGAAGAGTCTGGCTTTTTCCTGCCATTGAAAATCGTCTGAGAATGGAATGCAATTGAATTTTTTCCTGCTGCCTTAGACAGCTGGCCCCTTCCAGGAGTGACACAGTCAGGTGGCTGCGTTCTGTAAAAAGTTCAGGCATTCTAGCCACATGCACAGATTTGGGACTGGTCACCCAAGAATTAGCCACCAACTCTGTTTAAGGGTGATCCCAACAACTGGGAGACCCTCAGATCAGTTCTATTTGCACTCTGCTGACTCTCACCAGGGATAGTTTTATTCACTCATCATTCATTCCATAAATTCACCCATTCACTTATTCATATATTCACCCCCATCAACCCATCCCACTGCCCACCTATTTATCTTTCCATTCCTCCACTCAACCCTCCCTTCCATCTCTCCACTCAGGCATAACACTCAATCCACCCATCTATCCATCCCTCCATTTTCTCATTCATCCATCCTTTCATCTACCCATTTATCCATTCATACTCTCCACCCATCCATCTCTCCACCCATCCACTGACTCTTCCACTCAACCTCCATCTATCCATCACCTCACTCCTCACCCATCCATTTTCCTACGAGTCCTTCTCCCTTCTCACCCATCCATTCCTCTCTTCATTCATCCACTCATCTCTCCACCCAACCATCCATCCATCCATCCATCCATCCATCCATCCATCCATCCATCCATCGAGACACCAGATGGACCAGCCCTTGGTGCAGCCTGGACCAACAGTGGCAGGGGAGGAGTGACACACTCTCCCTCTGACCTTCAGCCTCACTCTGAGTTTCTCTCTTAGCAGTCATCCGGGCCTCTCATGTCACCGAGAACATTATGGTGGGCGCCTGTGAGCTCTTCCTGACCACCCAAGACTTCTAGGATGCTTTCCCGACCACCCTGCTCCACCCAGGGCAGAGTTGCCAACTCCTTGATGCCTCCTGTGTTGCAATCCCAGTCAGATGAGGTCCCAGGGCCCCAGGGTGGGCGGCGGCTCACCGTAGCCGTGCTCGTACTCTCGGTGTCGACGCCGGCGGTGGTGATGATGGTGGTGGTGGTGGCGGTGGTGGCGGTGGCGGTGCCGCTGAAGCCGGGCCTGCCTGTCCCTGCGGATGCTGCCCACAATGATGGTGATGCAGGAGAGGATGATGACCACACCTATGACGGCACTCGCCACCAGCACGGGGGACACGAGCAGATGGCTGTGCTCCGAGCTCTCTGAGAATGTGGGGTAGAAGTAGCTGGTGCGGTTGTATCGTGCTACTGTGGACAGAGAGAGAGGACACTGAGCTGGAGCCCAGGCCTGCCACACCCCTTCCTTCTCTGCCCGTGCTGCCCTGTGAGCTGTTGCTCCCTAAATAAATGGAGGAGGGTCTGGGCTCAGGCCCACGGACTCTATCCTGGCTGCTCCTGGGGGAGAAGGAGAGCAGCACCTCACTCCGCTGCCTGCAGGAGCCTCTGGTAGTGAGGGCTGACTGTCCCTCCTCTCCTCTGAAGCCTCTGCCCACAAGCTGAACTACCTCACAGATAGGAAACAGGAAGCTCAGAGAGGGCAGTGGACTTGCCCAAGGTTACCCAGCAAATTAGTGGTAGAGCTGAGGCTTGAATCCAAGACTCTTAGAGCTAGACAAGTTGAAAGGTCAACATGATTTTACCAATGTCTTAGGAAGCAGTGGGGGATGCACAGGGGGACAGAGTATGAGTAACGATTCTGCCGGCTTCAGGCAGGCCTGGGGCTGTGGGCTGAAATTGACCCAGATGCGTCAGGGGCTTGGATCAGATGAGAGAAGGTTTCCCAGAAGAGGTAAGGCCAAGGTGATCTTGGAGGGTGAGGATGAGTTAGCTCAGGGAAGGCAGGGAGAGGCATTCCAGGAGGGACAAAGGCACAGAAGGGTAGAGGGGACTTCCAGGGAGGATGTGGTGTGGTGGGAGCAAGGGGAGAGTGCAGGAACCTCCTCCAGGACTAACAGCTGGATCCTTGAGAGTCCTACGGAAAGAAGCTCCTGGGGACGGGTGACTTAGTCCTCTCACCGGAAAAGATGCTGGGGCCTTGGGAGCTGGGGTCCTGGGGAGGGGTCTGAGTCAGCTAGGGGCAGCCATGGGCACCCACTGCCTCACGTGGACAGTCAGCTCCGCATTAGTGAGTGTCTTGGAGTGTCACTGAATTCCCTCCAACTCAGCCCTGCAACTTAGGATGCAACTTTCTCCTTTCACAGATGGGTGGACTGAGACTCAGCGCTGGTAAGTGACTGGCCCATGGTTGCTCAGTTACTCCACGGCAGAGCTAAGCTAGAACCCAGATCTGGCTTCAAAGTCCAGTGCTTGCTCTCTTGCCCTCAGTGCCTCTCCTGCTCTCAGTGCAAACCCTTCCTGAGGCTGCCAGCCGGATCTCTGAACAGCAGTAGGGAGCCAGCTTCAGACATTCAATGAACCACAGGGTCACGGGCAAGCACCAGGAAGGTCAGATCTTTCGTAGGCTCTGTTCTGAGAGGGGTCCCCTTGCACGTTCTCCCAGAGCCCATGTTCAAGCCCCAGCTTTGCATTTGTTACATATGATCATGTCTGGTTTCCAGGGCTTGTGTTTGATCACTCTCTGTGTCCTCAAACTCAACAATGGGGCTAGGCACTCCAAAGTTTCCTAATGCATGTATTGAGTGAGTAGCTCCAGTCTTGAGACCAGATGGGGAAATGGCAGGGAGGCCTTGCGATGCCTCAGGAGAGTGAGGCCTCTGTCTTGGGTGGTAATCAAGGAGAGCGTGGGTGGCCACCTGCCTGAGTAGCTGTAGGAGGGCTTTTTTCCCAGGTGAGGGCCTGGCCATCTACCAATCAGAGGCTTGACACTCAGCTGTGATCGTTTCTCCTTCCCATACCTTTCTAGCACTGACCCCAAAAGCCTCAATCACACTCAACCTAGGACAGGAACAGGTGGTAAAGCACAAACTCGGGACCTTAGCTGGGGCTAGAAACATGCCCTTGGGGCAGGTGTGGCCCATGCTGGTGGCTCTTGCAGCCTACTAGCCTTCATCAGGAGGGAGTGAGATGGAGGCTCTAGTGTCTGGGCCAGTGTGTCATCTCACTCTTGAGAGCCAAGCCTTTGCTGAAGTTCACTGTAAGACGCTCCCCTGGAGAGGCACGCACTGGAGTGAGGGAGCGCCCTAAGGCTTTGGTTGGACATGCATGCTTCCTGACCCTCCGATGTGAGAATGTGGGGTGTGGAGACAAGAGTGACTCCATCTTGGATGCTGATATAGTTTGGCTCTGTGTCCCCATCCAAATCTCACCTTTAATTGTAATCCCTATAATCCCCACGTGTTAAGGGCAGGACCAGGTGGAGGTAATTGAATCTTGGGGGCAGTTTCTCCCATGCTGTTCTCGTGATAATGAGTGAGTCTCATGAGATCTGATGGTTTTGTAAGTGTCTGGCATTTCCCCTGCTTGTACTCATTCTCTCTCCTACTGCCCCGTGAAGAGGTGCCTTCCGCCATGATTGTCTGTTTCTTGAGGCCTCTCCAGCCATCTGGAACCGTGAGTCAATTAAACCTCTTTTCTTTATAAATTATCCGGCCTCAGGTATTTCTTCATAGCAATGTGAGAATGAACTAATACAGATGCTAATCTGCCCTGTTGACTTCTGATTAGCCCTGGTCCTGTGAAAACCTCCTGATTCTCACTTTATTTACTGTCTTTAGCGTAAGAACATGTCAGCCTTGATGTTATTGCACAAATTATAGGTTATGATGCATGTAGCATTCTTGCCTGTTCTGGAGGGCTGCCTTTAATTGTCTTGCATAGAGCATGTATACCCTTTCCCTGTGATATATAAGCCCTGGGTCTGGGGAGCAACAGTGTGGAGATCTACCTGTTTTGCTGCTCTCCAAGACTACACTTCCATCCTTAAGTTCCCCAAATAAATCACTCTGTACTGACAAATTGGATTTGTCTGCCTCACTTTGGTGATAAGTTAAAATGACATCACACTAAAACTTGTGAGATGCAGGCTGGGCGCAGTGGCTCATGCCTGTAATGCCAGCACTTTGGGAGGGTGAGGTGGGTGGATCACTTGAGGTCAGGAGGTTGAGACCCGCCTGACCAAGATGGTGAAATTCCGTCTCTACTAAAAATACAAAAAAATTTACCCGGGCGTGGTGGTGGGTGCTTGTAATCCCAGCTACTTGGGAGCCTGAGGCAGGAGAATCACTTGAACCTGGGAGGCGGAGGTTGCAGTGAGCAAAGATCGTGCCACTGCACTCCAGCCTGGGCAACAAGAGCAAAACTCCATCTCAAAACAAAAACAAAAACAAAACAAAAAACTTGCAGGATGCAGCTAATGCAGTGTTTAGAGGGAAATTTATGTATGTAAATGTCTACATTAAAAATGAGAAAAGATCTCAAATCAACAACCTAACCTTCTACCTTAAGATACTGGGAAGAGAAGAGCAAACTAAAATCTGAAGTGGGCAGAGAGAAGGAAATAATAAAGATTAGAGTGGAAATTAGTGAAATAAAGAATAGAAAAACAATAGAGAAAGCCAATAAAACCAGAAGTGTGTTTTTTGTTGTTGTTGTTGTTTTTTTGTTTGTTTTTTTTGAGACAGAGTCTCGCATTGTCTCCCAGGCTGGAGTGCAGCTGCAACCTCTGCCTCCCAGGTTCAAGTGATTCTCCTGCCTCAGCCTCCTGAGTAATTGGGACCATAGGTGTGAGCCACCACGCCCGGCCCAGAAGTTGGTTCTTTAAAAAGATTAACAAATTTGGCCGGCTGCGGTGGCTCACACCTATAATCCCAGCACTTTGGGAGGCCGAGGTGGGTGGATCACTTGAGGCCAGG
Organism: Homo sapiens; assembly: GCF_000001405.40. NCBI lineage: Eukaryota > Metazoa > Chordata > Mammalia > Primates > Hominidae > Homo > Homo sapiens. The sequence continues at coordinate 66,466,038 of NC_000016.10, read as the reverse complement.
AGTTCAAGTCCAGCCTGGCCAACATGGTGACACTCCATCTCTACTAAAAATACAAAAAGTTAGCCAGGTGTGGTGGCACACACCTGTGGTCCCAGTTACAGGTGTTACTACAGACCTTACAGAAATAAGAATTTTCAGGGAATACTATGAACAACTGTATGCCAACAAATTGGATAACTTGGATAAAATGTGCAAATTCCAAGAAATACACAAAAGTAAGGAAAAAGACTTAAAAAGAAACAGAAACTCTGGCGAGGCCTATCACAAGCAAAGAGATTGAATTATTAACACGAGAAAGTTCTCAGCTTCTTTTTCCGGAAAGAAAATCCCAGGACCAGATAGCTTCATTGGAGAATTCTACCAAAAATTTACAGAAGAAATAATAACTTTAATGCATATAGGATTTCAGTTTGGGATGATGAGAAGAGTTCTGGAGATGGATAGTGTTGATGGCTGCATAGCAATGTGAATGTACTTAATACCAGCAAACTGTATACTTAAAAATGGTTAAAGTGATAAATTTTATGTTACATATATTTTATCACAACAGAAAAAGCTAAAAAGGAAATAATACCAATTTCCATAAACTTTTCTAAAACATAGAAGAGGAGGGAACACTTATCAACTCATTCTATAAGGCCAGCATTACCCTGATACCAAAACTAGACAAAGACATTACAAGAAAAGAAAATTACAGAACAATATCTCCTAGGAATATAGGTGCAAAAATCCCCAACAAAATACTAGCAAATTGGATCCAGTAATACATAAAAAGGATTATACACTAGGACTAGATACGATTTATCCCGGGAATGAAAGATTGGTTTAACATCCAAAAAATCAATTAATGTAATATACCATATCAATAGACTTTAGGACAAAAACCACATGATCAAAACAGATACAGAAAAATATGACAAAATTGAATTCTCCTTCTTGATAAAATCACTCAACAAACTAAAAATAGAAGGGAACTTCTTCAACCTGATAAAGGGCATTTATGAAAGACTCACAGATAACATGGTGCTTCATGGTGAAATACTAAAACCTTCTCCCTATGATCAGGGTCTAGACAAGAATGTCCACTTTTGGTACTTCTATTCAACATTATATCGGAGATTCTAGCCAGGGCAATTTAGGCAAGAAAATGAAATAAAAGGCATCCACATTGTAAAGGAAGAAGTAAAACTACATTTGCAGATGACATAATCTTGTATATAAAAAATCCTAAGGAATTCATTAAAAAACTATTAGAACTAATAAATTCAGCAAGGTTGCAAGATACAAGACTGATAGATAAAAATCAATAATATATTTATATGGTAGCAATGACCAAACCTAAAATGAAATTAAGAATGAAATAGAAGTAAATTTAACTAAAGAAGTACAAAACTTAGGCTGGGCACAGTGGCGCACACCTGTAATCCTAGCACTTTGGGAGGCTGAGGCGGGTGGATCACCTGAGGTCAGGAGTTTGAAACCAGCCTAGCCAACATGGTAAAATCCGTCTCTACTAAAAATACAAATAAAATTAGCCAGGCGTGGTGCCAGGCACCTGTAATTCCAGCTACTCAGGAGGCTGTGGCAGGGGAATCGTTTGAGCCTGGAAGACGGAGTTTGCAGTGAGCCGAGATGCGCCACTGCACTCCATTCTGGGTGACAGAGCGAGACTCTGTCTCAAGAAAGAAAAAAAAAAATACAAAACTTATATTCTGAAAACTCCAAAACATTTTCAAAAGAAATTAAAGATCCAAATAAATAGAAAGACATCCCATGTTCATGTTTCAGAAGACTAAATATTGTTAAGATGACAATACTCCCCAAATTCATCTGAAGATTCAACACAATGCTGATCAAAGTCCCAGCCTTCCTTGCAGAAACCGAAATGATCTTAAGCTGATCTTAAAATTCATGTGAAAATTCAAAGGACCAAACGTAGCTAAAATAACCTCAAAAGAAGAACAAAGTTGGAGGGGACGCATTTCCTGATTTCTAAACTTACTACAGAGCTACTATGATCAAGATAGTGTGGTACTAGCATGGAGATAGACATATAAATAAATGGACTAGAATTGAGAGTTGAGAAACAGACCCTCATATTTATGGTCAGTGGATTTTCAGCAAGGGTGCCAAGACAATTAAATGGAAGAAAGAATAGTCTTTTCAACAAATGGTGTTAGGACAACTGAATGCTTACATTCAAAAGAATGAAGTTGGATTCCCTACATAATATACAAAAATTAACTGAAAATGGATTAAAGACCTAAATGTATGACCTAAAACTATAAAACTCTTAGATAAAAACATAGGGGTAAGTTGTCATGATTTTGGATTTGGCAAATGATTCTTAGATACGACACCAGAAGCACAAGAAGCAAAAGAAAAATAGATAAACATCAAAATTAAAAACTAGTGCAGCAAAGGACACCTTCAAGAAAGTGAAGAGACAGTCGGTAGAATCGGAGAAGATATTTGTGTATCACTTATCTCATAAGGGACTTTTACCTAGAATATGTAAAGAGCTCTTACAACTCAATAATAAAAAGACAACCCAATTAAAAAAATTGTCAAAAGATCTGAACAGACATTTCTCCAAAGAAGATACAATTGGCCAGTAAGCACATGAAAAGTTGCCCAACATCATTAACCATCAGAGAAATGCAAATCAAAGCCACAATGAGATACCATTTCACACCCAGTAGGATGGCTATAATCAAAAAGACAGATAATGCCAAGTGTTGGTGAGGATGTGGAGAAATGGAAACCCTTATAAACTGCTGGTGGGAATGTAGAATGGTACAGCTGCTTTGTGAACACAGACTGGCAGTTCTCAAATGGTTAAACATAATTATCACATGATCCAGCACTTGCACTCCTAGGCATATACCCAAGAAAAATGGAAACATAAGTCCACACAAAAATGTGTACATGAATATTCATGAGTATTACTCATGGTAGTCCCGCAAAGTACATGGTGCACAGCTGCCTCTTTCTCATCCTTTAGAGCTTTCCTTAAAAGTCAGCTCCTCAGACAGGTTGCTCCTGACTGACCTCTACCCCACTATATATCATGCCATGTGTTTTCTTTGAACAGCAGTCATCACAATCCCTAAACATCCTGCTTATTTATTTGTTTACTTGTTTATTAAATTGTGATGTCTTTGGATTCCCTGTCCACCTCATTTGATTGTTAGATCTTTGAAGGCAGATATCCCATCTGTCCTGACTTTTTTTTTTTTGAGACAGTTTTGCTTTTGTTGCCTAGGCTGGAGTGCAATGGCGCGATCTCAGCTCACCGCAACATCTGCCTCCTGGGTTCAAGCAATTCTCCCGCCTCAGCCTCCCAAGTAGCTGGGATTATAGGCATGTACCACCATGCCCAGCTAATTTTGTATTTTTAGCAGAGACAGGGCTTCACCATGCTGGCCAGGCTGGTCTCGAACTCCTGACCTCAGGTGATCCACCCGCCTCGGCCTCCCAAAGTGCTGGGATTACAGGTGTGAGCCACTGCCCCTGGCCTTGTCCTGACTCTTTTATTGCATGAATCTGCAGCGCCCAGCCAGGTGCTGGGCACATAATAGGTGCTCATTAAATATTTGTTGGGTGACTGAGTGAACTGCAGAAAACTTAGTTGGCTCTGTGTCTGTCTCTTCATTAGTCTAGAATTCAGTTTCTTCTCTATTTTTTGACTGATTGTGACAGCTTGAGTTTTGGATGAAGTGCCAACCTCTAATTTTTATTCCCTTGGCTACTGTAAACTAAAGCTTGTAATTTTTCTTCAAGACTCACAGAGAAAAGGTGGCAAGGTGAGGCTCTCCTCCATCTTTTTCTTGTAGGCAAATGGAGTCAGTTTAATTTGGCTTGTTTGACCTCAACTTAGGAGAAATCTAGTCCTTGTCTGGTGAATCTATAGCATACCTGCCACCACTTTCTAAGTCTATGCCAATGGCAGACATTACTAATTGACCATGGTTCTCTTTCCAGTTCAGTTCAGAAGGCAGACTCAGCATCCTTCTCAACACAGCACTCCATGCTGTGACTACAACTGGCTAGAGCTGGTTATGAAATGGAGCTTTTGGCTACCACTCATCTAGCATGATCCCGGTTCTCCCTGCTACCACTCCTGAGCCAATGGCCACTCTGATTGCTCTCTGTCATGCGTCCTCTCACCTTCAGAGCCCAGGGCAGGACTTGGGAGTGTTAGGGACACCAGCCCTCCTTAGGGAGGGTAGTGTGAGGGGTTCACACTCTGTAGAATAGTGGGCTGGCTCCAAGAGTCTTGTCCCCGATGGGGCTCTGGAATGTCTTCTGACCCCAGATGTGGGTTGGGACACACTGGTCACCCCATGATCCCCCATGACCCCTGGCCATGGCAGGGTTGCAGGTGCTTAGATTGCAAACCTAGAGTTGGATGTGCGTGCGTTTGTGTGTGTGTGTGTGTGTGTGTGTGTGTGTGTGTGTGTGTGTGTCTGCGCCTGCCTGCCCTGCACAGCACGCAGAACCTGCCTCTGGGACCAGCCCCATGGGGTCACCTTGAAGATGCCTCTCCCTTCACCTGCGTCAGCAGCAGATGAGAGCCTTGCCCTTGTCTAGCAGCACCAGGCTCATTACCAGATGGGCGGGAGATGGCATCACCCATGCCTGCAAGATGGAGCCAGCTGGTGCAGGCATCCGCCTGCTTGGACAGCTAGGAAATTAATCTCCCAGTCACCACAACCGGCAGAGGTAGGCGCTGCTTTAAATTATGAGGGAAATTCTTCCAATTTCCAAAACAAGGGCCTATTTTATCAAAAAGATAAATATGACTGCAGAGAAATAACATGATGACAATCCCCCTTCCCACCCCCGGTCTCCCTGTCCCCCTGTACCAGCTGCAGCAAGGATAGAAGATGAAACAAGCTTTGCCTCCTTCCTGGACTTTCTTCCCAAGCAGTTTCTATAAAGGTGCTCATGATCCAGTGGAAACCTCAAAAAAATAGGCTCTTCTCTGAGATACCACCTCCCCCCCAATGCCAGCATGAGTAATTACCATCTCCTGAGCACCTACTGTATTGTATGCCTTACACCATACGTGGTACTTGTCATGCACCACATTATCTCATTTAATCCTCATGATGGTCTATAATGGGATTCCCCAGTTAACAGGTAAGGAAACAGCCTCAGAGAGGTTAAGTAACTTTCCCAAGGTCACACAGCCCCACAGATAGAGACCTGGGTCAGTGAAAAACTGAAGCCCTGTGCTCTTAGCCAATATGCTATTCTGTGGCTACCAGGCACCATGCACTGGGAGTTCTGGTTTCTTAACTCTTGTGAAGGGAGAATGCTCTTCTCCCCAAAATGATGTTTTGCTTCTTCTGAGCCACTTGATATATAGCCAGAGCCAGCCATGACCTGGGGCTATTCAGGATGAAGGTGTATCAACAGCTGAACATTGCCATAAGATACCAGGATTCCAGAGATGGGAGCCTGTGTGTCTCAGAAAGAGATGGGCCACAGCAGGCAGGTGCCTGGGGAGAAGCAAATCATCCAGGGATGTGCGAGGACCTCCTGTTCTGTATCTGTTCTATCTCTGGGTATGTCCTAGAGATGTTCTAGATTGCAGGTAGGGACCCTTGGGTGATTTTACTGAGGAAGAACAATGATAAAGATAAGATAGCTCTCACTGACAGCACTTACTGTACATCCATCAGGCTCTAAACTCTTTTCATGCATGCTTCTCTCATTTAATCTTCACAGCAGCCCTGAGAGGTGGAGAGTGTCTTTCCTCCATCTTACAGAGAGGGAAGCTGAGCACAGAGCTGGTTAAAGTGGTGAGCCTGGAATGCTCTTTGCAATTCCTGAACTGGCACTCTCCAGCGCTCTGGTTCCACAGGGACTGAGAACACCAGGAGGGTGGGGCCTGTGTCTCTCTCTCTTGTCACCCCATCTGCCTAGGATACTGGGCAGGGCCAGTGCAGAGAGGAAGCTCAGGAGCCATTTGAATTGGACCAGGGGCAGTCTGTGACTGGTTGCTTGGTGTGCACGGTGTGCCTGAGTGCATCCCAGGGGAGCTGCTCCCAGTCACCCATTGGCCCATCCTTCCGTCCATCACCCACCCAACCCCCACAGCCCAATCGTGGGATCCACAGACATTTACAAGGAGTGGCAGAGTGTCGGAACAGAGTAGGTGCTTTCAGCCAGAAGAGCAAGTCAGGACTTAAAGAGTCCTGGTCTGGAATGGGCTGCCCATCAGTGATAAATCCGTCTGGCAAATTCCATTATAGGAGAATCTTGGGGCCCTGCTGAGGACTTGATGCATTTGAGGAATCACAAGAGAGGAGGAGGCTGGAGAGAAGCCTGCTGGGGGCTAAGTTTGGAGGGGCTTGCAGGGACCATACCGTGAGGGGTCTTCAAGGTCACATCAAGAGACTGTCCTTTGGGACAGGTGCAGTGGCTCATGCCTGTAATCTCAGCACTTTGGGAGGCTGAGGTGGGTGGACCACCTGAGGTCAGGAGTTTGAGATCAGCCTGGTCAACATGGTGAAAACCTGTCTCTACTAAAAATACAAAAAATTAGCCTTGCATGGTGGCAGGTGCTTGTAATCCCAGCTACTCGGGAAGCTGAGGCAGGAGAATCGCTTGAACCCAGGAGGCAGAGGTTGCAATGAGCTGAGATTGTGCCACTGCACTCCAGCCTGGGTGACAGAGTGAAACACCACCTCAAAAGAGAAAAAGAAAAAAAAAGAGAAAGAGATTGTCCTTTTCCCCAAGGGCAAAGAGGGGCGTGGTCAGAGTGTTTTAGGAGAGCCTCGGGTTGCAGATGGAGGACAGAATGGGCAGAGGCAGGGTTCGGGGCAGGAGACCAGGGAGGAGGCTGCTGCAAGGGTCCCCATGAGCTTGGAACTCAGGCTAGAGGAAGCTGAGCCCACGGCCTCTGCCCTGAACAGAGGTGAGCACAGAGCTGAGCACGGCTTGGATGAGCACACTTGATGCCACAGAATGACACTGCAGGGAGTTCCTTAGCCTCTCCAATTAGTTGTCTTCTGAGCAGCCTTCAGAGACAGCCGTGGTATTATTCCCATTCCACAGATGGGACCCCAAGTCCCCTGACGAGGCAGGAGCGGTGCCTGGGTCCATGGGCCTCTGCTGTGCAAGGCAGAAGCCAGCTCTGGCTCCTCCAGCTTCTAGTCCAGGGCTGGGACTGGGAACTCCATGGAATCAGAAGGTCCTAAGTGCAAAAAGGTCCTTTTGCAGACCTGGATGTGGGAGTGAGTCTGGGGCTTGCTTCCTCTCTGTGTGGATACCACTGTCACTCTCATTTACAGATGAGGACATTTTGTCTTGGTGAGCTAAAGTTATGTGTTCAAGATTGCCCACCTGGTTTTGTGGCAGAGCTGGGGTTTGAACTCAGGTTTATCTGATAATTTATCAAATAGTAGCACAGAGCAGAAGGAGAGAGCAGGATTTTGTGGGGCTGAGGGGTTTGGGGGTGGGGGCCGGAGAACTGGGCTCTGTTCCTCGTTCTGTCACTCATTCACTGTGTGACCTTCGGCATGCCGCTTGCCCTCTCTGAACCTGCTGGCTGTTTGAAGAGGCACTGATTATTCAACTCCCTCCAGGGTGGGAGGGGAGGGGGCCAAAAACTATGAGGGGAGGGAATGAGATCCAGGCCTGTATCAGGTGGCTTAGGTCAGGGCTGGCTCCGGTGTGGGGAACCTGGGGAACATTAAGGGCAGGGAAACTGAGGCAGACCATCACTCCCAAGTCCTTGCTGAGTGTAGCATGGAGGCAGCTCCACAGTCATTCTGTCTGGGTTCAGGGAAGTGCTCTTTGCAGCCTGAAGCTACCTGAGCTGCAGTGACAAAGGGAAGGAACAGAGACGCAAAAGTGCTGACTCAGCACCTTCAGGCTGCCAATCCTGCCCACTCTCTCAGAGATGCTGGTTAGAGGGAGAAGGGGGGCCAAGGACTCAGAACTAATGGATGGCTCCTGTCACAAAAATTCCAAAGACATTTGTCACAGGTCCACTTCCCGGGCAAGTCTGGCCTCATCAGTACACTCTTCCTCCACTGCTGAAATGGACAGGGTGAGGCGTGGAGTCATTGGAAGGAGTGTAGGGAACACGACTCAGGCACCATTTTCCCTCTGTTCACCATTGGCTGATCCCATCCTCTAAGCAGGGACTTCAAGAAGGGCTGGGGGAGGGGACATGGCAGGGCAGGGCTCATTGGTTTGGATACTTCTGAGTCTCCTCTGCTGCTGTTTTTTTTTTTTGGGCAACTTTTTAGCTCACTTGCTGATATCTGTCCTCTGGTCACCAGGAGACTGATAGAGGGATGTTGGAGGTCTGGGGACAGGCCAGGGACATCTCAGAGAGGAGGACACAGAAGGGCTGGGTCTCGAAAGATGAACTAAGCATATCAGGATCAGTAAAGGGAGAGAAGAGCATGGGCAGGAACACAGAGGGGTGAGTCTGTAGGATGTCACCTTGATGGCAGCTGAACATTTGGATCATGGGGTGAGGAAAAGGATACTTGGTGTTCAGACTACTTTTTACAATGAGGATGCATCTCTACAAGAAGTCAACTAATGTCTTGTCATGGTCCATGCCACCTGACATTTGTGGCATTGGGAGCGGGGCAGATTACAGTGGACAGGAGACATGGAAGGTGAAGTCATATACCTATTCATCAGTCCCTATTCAACAATCCTCCATCAATTCACCCAGCCAGCAAATCATCCATCCTCTCAGGCATTTACCTATCTATGCATCTACTCAACATCCACTCAATCGTTCACTTATCCATCCATCCATTAATCATCCATCCATCCGTCATTCATCCATCCATCCACCCATCCCCTCACCAATACTCACCAAACACTTAATTCATGCCTGGATATATGCTAGACACTGGGAACACAAATATGAATCAGACTAAAATGGACCTCTCAAACTGGGGAAAGCAAGAGGTCCCACACAGCTGCCCTGGCACTGTTCCCTGCTCCCACCTCTGCTTCCATCTGTTTAATGTGTCAGAGTGAACAGGAGAGCACTTTACTGCCAAATAGAAGCTTTTCAACCATTGTGTTAAAACGTAACTGGAAAAATACAAGTGACCACCCACAAACCCTTAATGGTTCTATAAATGTAAGATGAAAGCAATTCATTCCACTATTAAGATACATTCTGCCACTTAAGTTTATTTAAATAAACTCACTAAGAGTAACGCACATATTCCTCTGCGTATCTAACTTCCTTAAGTTTACCACCTTGTCATCATTCACTAAGGTTTTAACTCCGGCTTAAAGAAGAACTTATTTATTGGCTGAAAAACTCACTGAAACAATTTCACAAATTACTTTTCCCTATTTCTGCAGAGCAAATGGCAAACTGGTTGACATCACAGAACCAAGCCACATTAGAATTAAACATTCCACTTGAACCCACACCAAGCTCTCATTTTCTTGCTAGAATAATGACTGGACTCAACCTGCTCATATTCTCTTCTCTTCCATCACCATCTAGAGTTGGCTCTTGGGCCATTTTCCACAAAGAGCCCAGAGGCTTTTATATATATAATATAATGCCAGTGGAGTTACTGTGCATGCCTGATAAGTAGGAGACAGTGGAATTGGGTTGAGAAGCAGATTCTGGGGGGCTGGCTGGGCCCACCTACCGGCTAGGGGATTTGCTCCCACACCCCAGCTTGCATTTTGCTACTCAAAATCATGGCTCAGAAAAATGACCTTTGACTATAATATGGACTTTCCAGGAAGCTAGTGAATAATTGACATGTAAAATGTTAAATTCATGAATGCTGCGAATTTTCATCAGCTATCCCACCCAGGGGAGAGAGAATATTTACAAAGGATTGTGTGAAGGCCATGTCATCCACAGGCTGCTCTGCACAGTAAAGGTTTTAGTCCTTGGAACAAGTTCAACCAGCCTAGAGCTGTGTTCCTAGGCCACAGTGACTGAGCCTCCTTCCCAAGAATGAGCTTCCTGGAGTTGGGCTTTGCCTTATGCTCAGAGCCTGTGTTGAGGGGACTAGCTTAAGAAGTAGCTTTATCACAGCCAGGAGCAGTGGCTCACACCTGTAATCCCGGCACATCGGGAGCCTGAGGTGGGCGGATTGCTTGAGCGCAGGAGCTCAAGACCACCCTGGGCAATATGGTGAAATCCTGACTCTTAAAAAAATACCAAAATTAGTTGGGCATGGTGGCGTGTGCCTGTAGTCCCAGCTAATTGGGAGGCTGAGGTGGGAGGATCACTTGAACTTGGGAGGTCAAGGCTGTGGTAAACTGTGATTGCACTACTGCACTTCAGCTTGGGCAATAGAATAAGACTCTGTTTCAAAAAAAAAAAAAAAAGTAGCTTTATTATAAGCGTGTTGCTGCAGGTATTGTCCACTATACCTCTCAGTATCCCTAGGTAAGGCTCATGTAATAAATTTCTCCAAGATATGAGGGCCAGGGAAAGCTTTTCTTTCTCCAAAAGAGCTACTTTCTCCTCATAGACCATGAGAATCATGTAACTGATCCACTTTGCTGTTTTGCTTTGGCCTCCAGGAAGCTCAGGGACACTCTGTAGCTCAACTTCAAAAGGAAAGGAAATCATTCCTTCTTTGGCTCTCTGGTGCTAGTTAGCATCATTCAACACAGCCAATTTACAAATTCCCTCTGTGATTCAGATTTGGGAGAATGAGCCAACTTATGGTATGTGCAGGTCACCATTACATTACTTGCTGTTGTAGCTGTGAATAATCATCCTGATTTGGGGGTGTTACTTGCATTGCTCTAAAAGCTACTGGGAGAGGATGTACCCAGAAGTGGTAAATGCAGTGTTTAAGAGCCTGGCTTAGTGACACTGACCAGGGTATTTAATACTTACGTACCTTAGCTTCCTCATCTGTAAAAGAGTAATGACCACTCAGAGTGTTTCTGTGAGGATTAAGGGAGATAATTTAGCAGTCCATACATGCAACTATAAAGCTAGACAAAACTGTCAAAGTACCATTGCAGTTCCTGGAAATTGATCAAAGGCATACAACGAACTGAGAAGCACTTAGTATGAAAAAGACTGAATGTCAGGTAAGCACAGTGTGAACCTGTAATGTTCTTGCCTATGACTGCCTCCATACCCCTCCCCACCAGCTCTGCTCCCCAGTCTGTGAAAACCAGCAGCTTCCCTGCTACTGTTGGAAAGAGCCCATCCAAATGGATCACACTTTCTTGTTTCTTTGTCTTATAAAGTATGATCCATATTCAGGAAAAAATAAAAATAACAAAATAAAAAACCAAACCCAAAGCAAAAAAAAAAAAAAAAAAAAGAAAGAAAGAAAAGGAAGATGTATGCATGGATTAATAACTCCACTTAAAGGGCAGAGATTGTCAGAGTAAATAAAAAGACAAGACCTACCTGTATGCTGACTGCAAGAAACACACCTGATTCAAAGACACAAATAGTTTGAAAATAAAAGGATGGAAGGAGATATAGCATACAAACAGCTTGAGTGGTTATGCTGATATCAGGCAAAATAGACTTTAAGGCAAGATATATATTTCTAGAGACAAAGACATTTCATAATGACAAAAAAGTCAACATATTAGGAAGATATAAAAACTATATATGTATTATATATGCACTTAACAAGTCCCCCAAAACATGAAGTAAAAACTGGGAGAATTGAAAGAAGATATAGATAATTCAACAATAATAGTGGAGATTTTAATGTCCCAATCTCAATAACTGACAAAGCAATTAGAAACTCAGCCAGGATACAGAAGACTTGAATGACGCTATCAACCAGTGTGACATTCATAGAAGCCTTCACCAACTGAAGATTACGCATTCTTTTCAAGTGCACATGAGACATTCTCCAGGATAGACCACATATGGGCCATAAAACAAGTCTCAATAGATTTAAAAAGATTTAAATCATACAAAATATGTTCTCTGACCACAATGGAATTAGAGATCCAAAATAGAAAACTATCCGGGAAAACCCCAACTACTTAGAAATTAGGCCGGGCGTGGTGGGCTCACGCCTGGAATCCCAGCACTTTGGGAGGCTGAGGCAGGAGGATCATTTGAGGTCAGGAGTTTGAGACCACCCTGGCCAACATGGCAAAACCCTGTCTCTACTAAAAATACAAAAATTAGCCAGGTGTGGTGGCATGTGCTTGTAATCCCAGCTACTTGGGAGGTTGAGGCAGGAGAATCATTTGAACCTGGAAGACAGAGGTTGCAATGAGCTGAGATTGTGCCACTGCACTCCAGCCTGGGCAACAGAGCAAGACTCTGTCCCCCTGACCCAAAAAAAAAAAATTAAACTACATGCTTCTAAATAATCTATAGGTCAAAGAAGAAATCACAATAAAAATAAAAATATATTTTAGGCTAGGCACTGTGGCTCATGCCTGTAATCCCAACACTTTGGGAGGTCAAGGTGGGAGGATTGCCTTAGCCCAGGAGTTTGACACCAGCTTGGGCAACATAGTGAGATCCTGTATATACAAAAAAATAATAAAAAGTTAGCCGGGTATGGTGGTGCATGCCTATAGTCCCAGCTACTTGGGAGGCTGAAGTGGGAGGACTGCTTGAGCCCAGGAGTTCAAGGTTACAGTGAGCTATGATTGCACCACTGCACTCCAGCCTTTTGAAGCCTTTGTCTTCAGAAAACAAAACAATGTGTGTGTGTGTGTGTGTGTGTGTGTATAACAGAATGAAAAAAAACACAACATAGTATCAAAATTTATGGAATTCAGCTAAAGCAATGCTTAGTGGGAAATTCATAGCTTTAAATACTTATATTAGAAAAGAAGAAAGGAAAAGAAGAAAGGCCTCGACTTGAAAACCTAAGCTTTCATGTTAAGAAACTAGAAAAAGAGTAAACAAAACCCAAAGCAAGTAGAGGAAGGAAATAATAAAGATGAGAGCAGAAATCAACGAACTAGAAAACAGAAAAGCAACACAGAATATCAATGAAACCAAAAGTTGTTTTTTTGAAAAGATAAAATTTACAAATCTTAGCAGCTTTATGAGGTAGGTGCTAGTAATCTGATTTAATAGATGAGGGTACTGAGGCTCAGGAAGGTGAAGTGACTTGCCCAAGATCGCAAAGACAATTTTTAGTTGGGGGGAGGGAGACAGGATTTGAACCTGGTTCTGACTCCATAGACCAGGGAATAATATGATATCCTCTCTCCATCCTGGGGAGCTGTGTGTCCCTTCGTTACTCTGGGGCCGTACAGTTGGGCATTGGGGTAAGTGAGTCTGCCACGTGAGGTGCCATGAGGATTGGGAAACCCAGCTATGAAGCAAACCATCTCTAAACCCCATCCTCCTTTTCTCTACACTCTGGAATGTCTGTCCTGCAAAAAGCGTCTAGAAATTTCCCCAATAAACACTCACCTGACAACGCACTCAGATTCCTGGTCTCCCCACAGATCCCTTCGCCAAACACCCATGAGGGATTCTGGTGCCACCTGACCTCTGTAAATGTCACACTGGATGGGCATGCTTTTGCCAACTCCTTTAGGCCTTTCTGGTGGGACAGCAATTATGGCTCCTTCACTGTTCACCATGCTGCCCAGGCCCAAAGCCAGAGGCCTACAAAAGGCATGGCCCTGTGGTTTTCGATTCTGGAGCACATTAAAGGTGATAGGATTTTGTCCTCTGATCCTCAGAGATTCCTTCATTTCCCAGAATTTACAAGGGCATTTGGAAAACCAGCATCAGGGTAGCAGTGTATTAAAATTAGTATACTAGGGCTTATTCCAGAAATGCAAGGATGATTTAAGATCAGGAAATCTATTAGCATAGTATGTTACTTCAGTAGGCAGGACGAGAGAAACCAGTAGAATAGGAAAAGACAGTTACCTCTTTGCCATGATAGATCCTGATGATCTCAACTGACTGCCAACATCACACTAAACCATGGAGCTTTGGAGTAGTTTCCCAGCATGAGGTTCATGGCATGTGGATTCCAAAAAACATTATGGGGCATTTGGGGAGAAGTTCTTTATCCCCCACTCCCCATCAGATTGCTTTGCAGGCCTGAGCTATTTTGAGAATCAAACCAGTCCCAGTCCCAGGCCTTGTGTTCACCAACGTTTAGTATCCTGAGAAGGTAAGCAGCTCTAGGGTCTCTGGAAAAGGATCATCCTTCAGCCACCTTCCTTGGGCAGCCAAAGTCCCGAGTTCCTTTGCTGGAGCTGACCTGCTTCTTGGACTAGGACAGAACTCTGGTTAAATAAGACACAGACAATCCTGGGTTCAAGTCCTGGCACTGCCTCTTGCTGGCAGTGCCCACTGAGCAAGTCAGATCTCTAAGCCTCTATTGCCTCATCTGTAAAATGGGAGCAGCAATTTCGGCTATGAGCTAATCAAAGCAAACTGCCTAGCAGGATGCCTGGCTCATAATAGGTGCCCAATACATGACAATCAAATATTCAAAATTTAAAGACATTCCCTAGACTCAGAACTAAATGTGAAAGACAAAAGAGTAAAGCTTGAAGTGGAAAACATCAGAGAACATCTTCATGACCTTGCATTTCTTAAACAGGACACAGAAGATACTAACCATTTAAAAATGGATACATTGGACTATATTAAAATAAAAAAACTTTGGTTGGAGTTTGGGTTGCAAAGTGGTGGAGGGCTGAGGGCCTGCACAGGGACTGAGGCATCCAGGGTCAAGGTCAAGGTCATGGCTGGAACAAGTGAAAGATTTTGAAAGAAGATTCTCTAAATATATTCATCATTTGCAACCTGCCCCAGGACACTGGAGAATGTTTCTCATGGAGGGATCTGTCTGTACTGGTGCCTGGGAGTGGTTAATAGATCCCGAGACAAAAGAGTTCCTTCTTCACGTCTTTATGGAATCATCCATTTTTTCATGATTAGCTTTTCACTCTAATAGGTTTGTTCTTTGCTGGATGCACAAGAGGTAGTTGCACCATCAATTACAGCAGTTCAGTGTCAAACAGTATTAACAGAGTATAATATGTCTGGTGATGATACTGGAAAACTAATTTTGAAACCTAGGCCTTGTGTTCAATGAGGGGGCCTAAAACAGCCTTTCTTCAAATAAGTGATAAGTGAAAAGCCCCCACAGGATTCCTTTTCAGTTCAAAATATGCAAGCCACAGCAGCTGCTGAATGGAAATGTGTGATATTTACCTAGACTGTCTTTTAATGATGACTCATATTATCAGTGCTTTTGATACCTCTGCTCACCTATGCTTCAGTGTAGGTGTCCCTTGAATACTTCTCATCCTGCAAAGATTTTTTCTTTTTCTTTTCTTTCTTTCTTTCTTTTTTGATTTTTGAGACAGGGTCTTCTTGCTCTGTCACCCAGGCTGGAGCCTGGAGTACAGTGGCACAATCATAGCTCACTGCCGCCTTGAACTCCTATGCTCAAGCGATCCTCCTGCCTTTGCCTTCCAAGTAGCTGGGACTATAGGTGTGTACCACCACACCTGGCTAATCTTAAAATTTTGTTTGTATACACAGGGTCTTGCTATGTTGCCCAAGCTGGTCTCAAACTCCTGGCCTCAAGCGATCCTCCCGTTTCGGCCTCCCAAAGTGCTGGGATTACAGGTATGAGCCACCCCATCCAGACCCATCCTGCAAAGATTTTTGCAGTAGTAGAAGTATAGGTCTTGGTTATTGCAGTACACTTAGAAACAGACCCTCATTCAGCCTTTGTATGTTTTTTTCAGTCTGTTCTAAATCAAAGCCAATCAAAGCCAATGTCAGACAAAGGGAAAGTGCTGTGAGCACCTATGTTCTCCTGCATGTGTTTCATCAGCTTGCCATCCCCACGGCTCTCGTAATAAGACAATCGTGTAGAGCTGGGGCTTTCATTCTTGCACAGTGAAAAATAAGCCCCACTGCAGGAGAAACCCTGGATGTGCTAAGATTGAGCTAAAATTGATATTGAAATGATATGTAAACATTTGTTAAGTCAGATACTGAACTTCAGCCACTCTTGTGGTTACACTATTTAGTTCAGTGTTTTTATTTAATGCTTAGGATAATTTCTAGTTTGAAGGAATTTAAAGAGCACTTCCCAGGTTTCTGAATATACAAATTCAGTAATAAATTACATAATGTCTGGGAATTTGATCATCATATTATTTTAGATAATTGGATCTTACACTTGGTAGACACGCCAGCACACTAGTATTGCAGGTGTAATTGATCATCCTACTCCCTCACAAGAATAATATGGGAGCAATGCCACAGTGCTCTATTCTCACTGTTTAGAGTGTGTTGGTGACATATTGCGTGTGTATAATAGCCACACATACTCATAATAGTCCTTGAACTATTGGGATCACTGCTGATATTTTAAAGCATTGGAGGTACCTTTTATCTTGAAAAAATATAATCTTTTTGAAAAACTTTAAATTGTTTCATTAGTGATTTTTTTTTTTTTTTTTTTTTGAGATGGAGTCTCACTCTGCCACCCAGACTGGAGTGCAGTGGTGCGATACCGGCTCACTGCAACATCTGCCTCCTGGGTTCAAGAGATTCTCCTGCCTCAGCCTCCTGAGTAGCTGGGATTACAGGCATGCACCACCATGCCCACCTAATTTTGTATATTTAGTAGAGACGGGGTTTCTCCATGTTAGCCAGGCTGATCTCGAACTCCCGATCTCAGGTGATCTGCCCGCATTGGTCTCCCAAAGTGCTGGGATTACAGGTGTGAGCCACTGCACCCGGCCCATGAATGATCTTTTAAATTTTAGTTAACTTAAAATCTGAATTGTTTTTTTGAGACAAGGTCTTGCTCTGTTGCCCAGGCTGGAGCGCAGTGGTGCACTCACATGGGTGAATCTCACAACATAATACTGAGCAAAAGTAGCCAGACCTGAAAGAAAACATACAACTCCATATATATAAAATTCAAAAATAAGCAAAACTAATTTACGGTGACAAAAGTCAAGTTAATGTTTACCCTTGACATGGGATAGTGACTGGGAGGACACATCAGGGGAGTTCTAAGATGCAAGTAAGGATGTGTTTATCTTCTTCTTTTTTGAGACAGGGTCTCACTCTGTTACCCAGGCTGGAGTACAGTGGCAAGATTGTAGCTCACTGAAGCCTTGAACTCCTGGACACTAGCAATCCTCCTGCCTTAGCCTCCCAAAGTGTTGGGATTACAGGCAGTGAGCCACTGTGCCTGGCCAAGGATGTGTTTCTTTTCTTTCTTTCTTTTTCTTTTCTTTTTTTTGAGACAGAGTCTCGTTCTGTTGCCCGAGTGCAGTGGCACGATCTCGGCTCACCGCAACCTCTGCCTCCTGGGTTCAAGAGATTCTCCTGCCTCTGCCTCCCAAGTAGCTGGGACTACAGGCATCCGCCACCACACCCAGCTACTTTTTGTATTTTTTAGTAGAGACGAGGTTTTGCCATGTTGGCCAGGCTGGTCTTGAACTCCTGACCTCAGATGATCTGCCTGCCTCAGCCTCCCAAAGTGCTGGGATTACAGGTGTGAGCCACCGCACCCAGCCGTGTTTTTTGATATGAATGTGTTCAGTTTGTGAACATTCCTTGAGCTTGCACTGATGGTTGGTGCACCTTTCTGTATGTATGCTATATTTAGTGGTATGCTGGCAAACCAGCTTTCAGGAAAAAAAGAAAAAGAAAGGAAGAAAGAAAAAAAGAATCCCTGATTTGTACCGTTTGTCATTTTCCACAGTGTAAACACTCTCACTGTGGTGAATTTCAAGTTACCAGTGGTTTAGCAACTGGCTCATGAAACTCCTGCTTATTTAGCTATTGGCTCTTGTGAGCTGGTATTTCTACTAAAAACAACAACAAACAACAACAACAACAACAGCAAACCCTAGAGCATCTCTCTAGGAAAGGAATTCTCGGTTCTTGCTGTAGATGTTCAGAGATTCTCCTAGTGTCTTGGGGCCTACAGGGGAGGGATTGCAACAGGCAGGAGGGGAAAGTTTTGCTGGTCTGACTGTCCACTGCCTCCTAAGTGGCAGGTGGGGACAGGGTTGTGACATCTGTCTTTTTAAAGATGTGCCTTGGGTCACAGTTTTACTTTCCAAAGAGGGCTTCTCCTCTGCATCTTCACTGAGAACAGAGCAGCAGGCTCCCTCCTGGGGCATTTTCCACATTTATGTAGAAAGAGCACCTTATGTGGACTCAGGATGGGAGGTTGAAGTTTCAGCCACTAACATACTGTGTGACCTGGTCCCATTCCTTTCTGGACTAAGTTTCCACATCTGTAGTGTGAGACAGTTAGGGTAGAGCCCCAGGGTAAGACTCACAGGCTTGGCAGATGACCTCTTGCAACCAACCTATGAGGTAGGGAGAATCTATTTGCCTGAGTTACTCCATCAGGTGTTGGTGATGGGGTCAGGCACAAGGCTGGCACCTGGCTGGTCCCTGCTGGAACTTGGCAAATGCAGGTGGGCCACCTTGCCAAGCTGCCTCTCAATGCCAACCTGGGGCTGGTAGGGAAGGGAGAGAGAAGATGTGTTCTCTCCCTGGGCAGTCTGGGGAGAATCCTGCAGGGAAGACTGAGTTAGTTCTGCAACAGTCACTGTAGGATAAACACTCTGAAAAAGAAAGAAAAGAACACATGCTCACTGAGCACCCCTGTGTTCACCAAACCCTCATAGTCACATTGGAAACTAGGTCTAATGATCCCATTTTACAGGTGAAAAAACAAAGGCTCAAAAGATTGAAATACGTTTGCTCCAGCGGTTTTCAAACCTGGGTCTCTTAGCTCTTGCTGTTGTTACTGCATGAGGCCACATTCACCTCCAATCCTCTTCCTTAGGCCCATTCCTAGGGGACACAAGTGCCACCCAGGTATGAAGGCACCCGCAAACTCCTGGGCTCAAGTCATCCTCCTACCTCAGCCTCCCGGGTAGCTGGGTCTACAGGCATGTGCCACCATGCTCAGCTAATCTTTAAATTTTTTGTAGAGACAGGGTCTTGGTATGCTGCCCAGGCTGATCTCAAACTCTTGAGCTCAAGTGATCCTCCTGCCTTGGCCTCCCAGAGTGCTGAGACTACAGGTGTGAGCCACCACAGCTGGCTGGGTTCCTCTCTCTTGTCTTTGAAGCATGCAGGCTGCATGCTTCTGCAGTGACACCTGCAGAGGACAACCAGGCTTTCCCAATCACCTGGGCACAGGTCCAGATGCAGAGCTGAGAATCAGGGTAGCTAATTTAGGGTAGCCCTTGGCAGAGAAACAGAAATGTCCTTACTCATTCCTGTTAGTAGGAAAATCCCTCCCCCAATGCACTTGGCTGGCTTTGGGGTGCCATGGGTGACGACCCCAGGGGATCTTGCTTTCCCTGGCAAGACTTCTAGATACAGAAATCATTTTGCCCTTCACCAGCCCAAGACTCAGTCTTTTGACCCTTCCCTTCCCCACATTCCCACACTTGCTCCCTGGGTGATCTCATCCCACTTCACAGCACTGAGCGGCATTCACACACTGACAGTCCTCAAATTTACATCCCCAGCTCCAGACTCTTCTCTGAACCCCACATTCACGTACCCAACTGTCTGCCCTGTATCTCCACTCCAACGCCTGCAAAGCGTCTCAGACAAAACATGTCAAAACTCTGCATCTTGACTCACAGCCCCCCACCAAACCTGCCCATAATATTCCCCATCTCAGCAAATGGCAGCTCAGTCCTTCACGTTTCAAGCCCCAAACGCTGTCCTTTTTGACCCCTTCCTTATCCACCCCAAATCCAATGAATTTGGAAATCCTAACAGTTTCACCTTCAAATCTGATCCCATATTGACACTTCCACTATGAACCTCCTGGTCCAAGGTACCATTGTCATCACCTAGACCACTGTCCCCCCTTTTTTTTTTAGACAGAGTCTCACTCTAAGAGTCTCGCTCTATCACCCAGGCTGGAGATCAGTGGCATGATCTTGGCTCACTGCAGCCTCTGCCTCCCAGGTTCAAGCGATTCTCATGCCTCAGCCTCCCGAGTAGCTGGGATTACAGGCGTGCCCCACCACACCTGGCTAATTTTTGTATTTTTAGTAGAGACGGGGTTTCACTATGTTGGCCAGGCTGGTCTTGAACTCCTGACCTCAGGTGATCCATCGTCCTCGGCCTCCCAAAGTGCTGGGATTACAGGTATGAGCCACCTGGCCTGGACCATTGTCTTAACCTCCTAATTGGTCTACTTGCTTCCAACTGGGTCCTCCTCTAGCCTCTTCTACTACAACCAGGATGATCAGGTCCCTTCTCAGCTCAAACCCCTCCAATGACTACTTGATTAGATGCCAAAGTCCTCCCACGGCTTCCAAGACCCTACATCATCTGGTCCCTACTGCCTCTGGTACCTTTCCTCTCCTCCTCTTCAGGCACCCTGGCCTTCATGCTGTTGATGGATCAAGCCAAACCTGCTCCTGATTCAGAATCCTCTGCCTGGACCCTCTTCATCTAGACACCTGTATGGCTCCCTCTCTTCCCTCTAGCAACTTCTGTTCCAGTGTTACCTTCTTGGTGAGCCTATGCCCTGACCCATCACCTCACTCTGCTTTTTTTTTTTTTTTTTTTTTTTTTTTTTTTTTTTTTTTTGAGACGGAGTCTCACTCTCTTGCCCAGGCTGGAGTGCAGTGGTGTGATCTCGGCTCATTGCAAGCTCCACCTCCCAGGTTCACGCCATTCTCTTGCCTCAGCCTCCTGAGTAGCTGGGACTACAGGCGCCCACCACCACGCCCGGCTAATTTTTTGTATTTTTAGTAGAGACAGGGTTTCATCGTGTTAGCCAGGATGGTCTCAATCTCCTGACCTTGTGATCTGCCTGCCTCGGCCTCCAAAAGTGCTGGGATTACAGGTGTGAGCCACCACGCCCGGCCACCTCACTGTGCTTTTTTTGTCTTTGTAGCTCCTCCCCCAATTTGACATATTAGATATTCATTTGTCTGTTTGTGTCTGTCTCTTCTGGCTATGTTGGCACCATAAGAGCTGGGACTTTGCTTTGTTCAAGGCTGTAACCCTGGCACCCAGAAAGATTTCAGCATGTAGCAAATGCTCAATAAATATTTGTTGAACGAATGAATAAATGAATGGAAGAGGATGCCTGATATCAGGGATGACTGTCCACAGTTTACAATAGGAACCATGATGGAGCGGTGCTGCAGATAACCCAGCCTCAGGCTTCATTCTGGCTTGTGGAACCCATGGCCAGCTTGAACTGGAGGGCGGCAATGCTCCCGCCACAGTGCCGGGCATTTGGCACATATTAGCTCAAGCCCCCACCTCCCGCTCATGGCAGGTAATCCTCATGGTAACTCTCACAGCACTGGGATACCCCCATTTTACACCTGGGGGAACTGAGGCTCAGGGAGGTCAGGTAGTACACAAATGATGTGAGCAAGATTCAAACTCAGGTCTGTGTGCTCCAAAACACAGCTCCAGTTACCCTCTCCTGGGCTGTTGGCGAGAAAGACACAGATCAAGTCAGTGTCCTCAAGCCCCAGTTCCCAGAAAGACCTGCCAACAATTGCAAATTTCACAGATGGGTTAGGTCTTTGCCACCCACTCTCTCTGTCTTCCTCCCCTCCATCCTCCCCCTGCACTGTGACCAGCAGGGACCACCGAGGGGACCTGCCTCCAGCCACCTGTCATTGGCTGGCTCCACCTGCAGCCTCAAAGCCCCGCTACAAGCCATGGAGGCTGATGTTCCTCTGGCCTGCAGCCCTCACTTGCCCTTTGTCCTGGAGGGAGGTCAGGAAGGAGGGGCTTGAGACCTCTCTATGAGGAAAGGGAAGGATCAGATTGGGGAAAATCTAAGTTCAGAGAACAAAGGGAGCTCTGGGGAAGAGCTCAGGAAGCCCTTCCTTGGGGCATGGTGGACACAGGGGAAGAGCCACCCAGCCGCTATCAGGCAGGGCTGCCACCAGGGACAGTGAGCTCACCACCAGGGGACAGTGAAATGCAAGCACTTTGCCAGCATAGAGTGCTCTGCAACAGTTGGGGCTATTAAGACTGCATTTAGTCCTCCAGCCAGGTTGAATGCCCTCTTGCCAGAGACCTGAATATGATATGATTGTGCACTGAAAATTAAGATGAGCGGGCTGGGTGCAGTGGCTCATGCCTGTAATCCCAGCACTTTGGGAGGCCGAGGCAGGTGGATCACTTGACGCCAGGAGTTTAAGACCAGCCTGGTCAACATGGTGAAACCCCATCTCTACTAAAAATACGAAAAATTAGCTGGGGGTGGTGATGGGCACCTGTAATCCCAGCTGCTCGGGAGGCTGAGGCAGGAGAATCACTTGAACTGGGGAGGTGGAGGTTGCAGTGAGCTGAGATTGTGCCGCTGCACTCCAGCCTGGGTGACAGAGCAAGAGGAGTTTGTATTAAAAAAAAATTAAGATGAGCTAGCAATAAAATTAAGATGAGCTATCAAATGCCGAGTACTCACTAGGGTCAGACTTTGTGCTAGACCAGAGAACTGTGAGGAGGGGCAGCTAGGATGTTCAGGGGCCATGAAGTCCTGTGGCAGAGTGGATTCCTCACCCCTGCTGTGGCAATGAAGGAGTAGATTTGGCTCCACCCTTGTCCTTTTTCCAGCTGTGGTTTGGCTAAGATTGAGCCCTGGACAAACTCACTTGGGGCGTAGCCCTGACCGCACCATTTTCTAGCTGTGCCATCTAGACTAATTTCTTCATCTCCTTTAGCCTCAGCTTCCTCATGTGTGGAATGGGCACACTGACCCCTCCCTTGCAGGACTTCTTCAAGGAAGCAAGGAGGCCACATAAAGAAATGATCATAAGGCCTTGTAAATCCTTCACCTGTGATATCTTATTTGATCCTCACAGCAACCCTCAGAGACAGAGCACTGGCTGAAGTCACTCCCTCCATCCCCTTGCTCACTCCAAAGTCACACTTCAGCAAAGGATGGATAATGGTTTCATTTCACAGGCTAGAGATCATTGGGCAGTGTCTGCATGTGTTCCAGCTCAGTGGGAAAGAGTGCTACAATTGATTAGTGATGTCTGCTCTGAGCGCAGAAGTGGTGAATTTTGCAGTGTGTGCCATCGTTTGCCCTCCTTGCCCTCAAGTCCTTTCTTCTATTGGTAGCTAGGTCTCTGCAGAGATAACTGTCACAATGAGCAGAGCGAAAAACACCAACATCTGGTCTGAACCCCAAATTCATCTCCAAGAGTCCCTATCTCTCTCTATTTCCCCCTCTCCCTCAATACAGACCTGTGTAGGGAGAAGGTAGCCAAAAGGACAAGACTTTCAAATTTCTTGAGCATCTTCTCAGTGCCAGGCACCAAGCTAGACTCTCCGTGTAGCATGTCAATTTCGAGCACCAAACCAAAAGGGTGCTATTGTTATTCCCATTTTATAGATGAGCAAATTGAGGTTTTTAGAAATTAGGCTGCTTGCCCCAGCTGATAAGAAGCAGGGCCAGGTTGCACTGGAACCCACACACTGTATATCATACCATCTCTGAGGGAGATCCAAGCCCACCCAGAGGCCTTGCCTGGCTGCGATTCCTGCCAGCCTGCAGGCAGCCACCATGAGCCCAGCAGAGACAAGCCCCACTTGACTTCTCTGTGGATGATCAGATGCTACCTCCCACCCTTCTTCTTCCTGCTTTACTACAGACTTAGTCTCTTCTGGGGCCCCCAAACCCCTCCTTCCTTAGATCTGTTCCCAAAGGCCAGAGGGAGGCGGGCTGCCCCATCTTTCAGGGAGCTCCACGGAGCTGCCATCAGCTGGTGGCAGAAAGAGGTTGTGAAGCATCTGCTCTTGGAGCCTGCATCCTGGGGGAGTCCTGGGCCACCTTTCCCAGCTGGGGCCTGATGGAGAAGGCTCCTCCACCTCCAGCCTTCCTGAAGAGCCAGGCTGGTTCTCCTACTCACTCAAGGCTTGAGGCAGGTCCTCTGAAGGCTGGGAAATGGCTCACAGGCTTGGTATTTGCTGGCAGAGAAACTGATCTCCCTCTTGCAGCCACTTGGCCAAAACCCCTCTGGGCTGCCCTGGGTCAGGGTTTGACTGCCTCCCCCTTTCTTGTTTTTGCCTCCTTCCTCTGCCTTGGTCTTCTCATCTGCCAAATTGAAAGGAGGGAGTTAATAAGAGCTGCTGGCACTATCTCCATGAGGGGCAGGGATGAGCTGAAATGCCTGAAAGTAAGACGGTGTTGAGGGGTGGGGAAGTTGGGGTGTGAGCAGTGCCTAGGAGGGGTCAGCCCAGCCTGGCCGATTAATGCCTGCTGGACTCCTGAGGGGCTGATGGACAAGCCTGCTCCCCCAGGGCCTGCAGCCATGGAAGCTGGCAGACCTGGGTTACAGGTGGGCTGGTGCCGCTCACCTTGCCACCTTGCACTTGGTGGGCATAGCTGTTCACTTTCTCCAGACCTCACGTGCACTGACTCCTAGGGGCAGGGTCTTGCTTGGGAAACGTTTGGGCTTGTTTTACCTTCTGCAGACTTTTCTGGCTACTCTTCTAACCTGGCAGGGAGTAGGGGTGGAGAAGCCCAAATGGGAACAGGGTGGGGCTCCTACTCTAATTTTCCCATTTTGTGGGGGCTTCAGTATCTTCACATGTACCTGGCAAGCTTATTTTGGGGGCTAAGGAAGTTAAAGGAATTCTGTATGTATCTAAGTGCACAACAGCTCCAGATCTGGAATGAGGAATTAAAAACAGGGGTGTGTGTCCATGTGAGTGCCCTCCTGGGATTTCCGGGTTTCCTTCCTGAGTGTTCCTATGTCTGTTTTGGGGGGTCTGGAGCGCTCAGGGTCCAGCATCCCTCCCAGAACCTGTGTGAGGGCCTCTGGTCTGTGAGCCATGGAGGCTGTCCACAAAGCATTTGCTTCATCTTGACTCATTCGCTTGTTCAGTTGCTCAATAAACACTGAGCACCTCCTATGTGCCAGGCACTGAGCACGGTGGTGCGGGCGAACTGGGAACCCAGCAGGCATGGCCCCTGCTTTCTGGATGTTCACCGTCCACTGGCGGCACGAACAAGTGAACACGCAGAAGAGACTTAATGAATGAGCAATTTCTAGATTGATCTGAAGTGGGGGCCGAGATGGGGGCCAGGTCAGAATGATGATCTGTTGAGCCAATTCAGAACCCCAAGGGTCTCCTTGGGCAGCTGGCAGTGATGGATGTATGATAGGAGGGGAACTGAGGTTCATTTCCAGATTTCTGACTTGAGCGCCCCAAACCAATACAGCAAAATCAAGCAAAGCTGGCCTAGAGAGGAAGACAAAGAATTCAGTTTGGGTCAGGTTGAAACTCAGGTTAGGGGTAGGGGCTGCCCAAGGCAGACAGACAGCAGGAGGAAGAAGGAATAGAAAGCCCAGGAAGAAACTAGGGTGGGAGAGACTGTTGGAAGCTACTGGCCTAGAGGCTGCCGCTGAAAGCGGTGAGGCTGAGAAGGTCTGGGGCATGCACAGCGAGAAGGGCGGGGGCTGCACTGGAGCCCTGGGGGCCCAGCATCCCAGGGCAGGTGCAGGGAGAATCCCTGCTCTTCCACCACTGCCAAAGGAGACCACGAATGGAAGGTCAGATGGTCTGAGAGGCTGGCTGGAGGACACAGGGAGGACTCTGAGTCAGGGAACCCAAAGCAGGAGAAGTCATCACAAACAGAAGCACCCAGCAGGGGCCAGGCACTGTGGCTCACGCCTGTAATCCCAGCTCTTTGGGAGGCCAACGCAGGCAGATCACCTGAAGTCAGGAGTTCGAGACGAGCCTGGTCAAATGATGAAACCCTATCTCTATTAAAAACAAAAAAAACTTAGCCAGGTGTGGTGGTGGGCGCCTGTAGTCCCAGCTACTTGGGAGGCTGAGTCAGGAGAATCGCTTGAACCTGGGAGGCGGAGCCTGCAGTGAGCTGAGATCGTGCCACTGCACTCCAGCCTGGGTGGCAGCGTGAAACTCCATCTCAAAAAAAAAAAAAAAAAAAAAAAAGAAGTACCCAACAGGGTGAGACGCAGCTGAGAAATGGAAACCATGGAATGGTTTTAACTTCACAGAAGTTGATGGGATGTTGGGGTGCGGGTGCACAAGCCAGACTGGACCCAGACTGAAGCTGATTGTGGGTGCTGGAAGGGGACACCAGGTGCTTCTTGGACAAGTTCAGACTGGACAATGTGAGAAGAATTTGGCAGAGACAATGACAGAGTCTCCATGGAGCCTCGCAGCAGTCCTGAGCTCCTGGAATCCACTGGGCTTGGTGGACCCCTTTGTCTCAGAGATATGTCTGGGTCAAAGTCATGGAGGGATCTGGTGGCAGAGTCAGGGGCTTCAGCTTCTCCCTGACAATGGCCTCTAGCTCCTCCTCCAGGGTGTTTAATTATGTGTTTATTCACTCAACAAACATTGAGTGCCTACTGCATGCTAGGTATTGGGTCTTTGGGGAAGGGGGAATTTCAGAGATGTGCAGGAGCCACTTCTAAATGGCCTCGAATGTCAGTGACCACACCCTGGAGTCCTCAGGAGGTGGATATGCAGAGGGCTGCCCTGCAGGGATGGCCTCTGTTAGTGAGATGGACCCAGCTTCCAATGGCCTGGGGTTCAGCCCAAAAGGTTCTGGAAAGCCCTCCGCACTCAGCATCCCCAGCCTTGACTTTTCCCAGGCTTCTCCATGCTGGGCTGCTCCTGCCTGGCCAGAAGATAGGGCCAAGAACATGACCATCCCAGTGCTCTGCAGGGCAGGTGTCCCTGGGCTCTGGGGTGCCCTGAATAGCAGTCTCCTCTCCTGGCCTGGGACTCAGGCTTTCCTTTCCTGATCATGCCACAGCAACAGTGACAACAGCAACAATTTGTTGAGCCTGTGCTATCCATCACTACCCCTCCTCGGGTACCCAGAGCAGCCAGGCCGAGCTCCACCACCCTCTGGACACTACTCTTTGAACAATGAACCCCACAGCCAGCTCATCCCCCTGGCGTGCCTGGTGATGATCTCACCCAGGTGGGACATGCCAGTGTCCCCTACCTCCCACTGCAGCTGTCCCTTGATATCCAAATGATTTAACAATAAGGCTTCGACTTTTGGAAGAGAGGCCCCCACCCCCATGATCCACGTAAACAATGGCACAGATTGGAACAGACAATGGCGAGTTGGGGAGGCATTACCCACAGTGAGCAGGGGAGAGGGGAAAGTGTCCCCCTCTGAGGTTAGGGTCTCTGATTTCACAGACTCACAGTCCTGACTTATCAAGGAGAAGGGACAGGGCAGTCCTGCATGTCTCCCCAAATTATAGCGAGTGGTGGTGGTTTGGGGGGGGCTCAGGGAACATCATGGAAGAAAGCAGGTGGCTGCTGTGGGAGAAGTGAAAGGGGCCCTGGGGCAAGGGTGGTGGCATGAGTCAAGCGGGTGGAGACTAGGGGAGAAGTCGAGGGGGCTGCAGTCTTGGACATCAGGGGTACCCCTGGCTGATTCCATCACTTGGACTCAGGGGCCTCAGGGAGCCATGAGAAGACTGCCGACGGGCAAGATCATCTACAGGCTTCCGCGAATGAGGAACTTCATGGTGGGGATGCTCGGGATGGGTTTCCTTAGGAGAGTAAACCCCGAGAAGTGTGTTCTGGGGAACACCAATCCCATGAAACATTCTTTGTGGTTAATGTTTGAGAGGAGCAGTGGGTTTTCTCTTACCTATGGGAGCCTCACAACACACATCACCATGTTATTATTATTTGTTTTCTGAGACAGAGTTTCGCTCTGTCGCCCAGGCTGGAGTGCAATGGTGTGATCTCGGCTCACTGCAACCTCCGCCTCCCGGATTCAAGCAATTCTCCTGCCTCAGCTTCCTGAGTAGCTGGGATTACAGGCGCCCACCACCATGCCCAGCTAATGTTTGTATTTTTAGTAGAGACGGGGTTTCACCATGTTGGCCAGGCTGGTCTCGAACTCCTGACCTGAGGTATTCCATCTGTCTCGGCTTCCCAAAGGGCTGGGATTACAGGCATGAGCCACCACGCCGGCCACACATCACCATATTAAAAGCTCAGGAAAGTCTTGCAGGAGCAAAACTTTCTTAACATGACTCCCCCAGCATTTTTCCCACTTACTTGGCCATGTAGTCTTTTATTTGTGTGTGGGTGTGTGTCATCCCATTAACATCCCTCAGAGGAACTCCGATCCACACTTCGGGAAGGGCTGATACAGAAGAATGGGCCAAAGTGCGATTTTCAGTTCTCAGGGAGCATCTTGCAGACGTCAGGGGTCTTCCGTGTTGCCCTCTCCCCACCCAGCATGCCACATTAGCCTCTGGTTGGACCCCTGCAGTTCTTTGGCCAAACACCTCAAGCCGTTCTCTGCAGCTCGACTCCAAGCTCTGCCCTTGCCTGGCCCCAAGTGGTGGAAGGATGTGGGGAGGAAACTTACAGGGGCAGGGACGTTTGAAGGACATGTAATCCTTGGAGCAGAACAGCGGAGCCAGCCTGCCCACGGGCACAGCTCTGACTTCTCGCAGGGAAGGCCCCTCCACTCACCTGCGGAGACACAAACAGGCAGGTGTTGGGGGGCCCATGGCGCACCCACAGCCCCTGCAGGCTGGGCGCTCACATCTCCTGAGCTGTCAACCTCTGCGGGAGAGGATGGTCACTTCTTTGAGAGCACGTGCCTAGTCTGGGCAAGGGGCTGGGGGACCTCTGGGCTGTAGAATGGGGAGAGGGACACAGGGGTAGGGCAAGTGTGTGTTGGGGTCCCAGTGGTGGGGGGTGGTGGGGAGGAGATATCTCTCTTGGGTGGATCTTTGGGAATTAGGATCCCAGAGTTCTTCTGTCTCATGATGAAAATGTGAGATCCCACTGCTTCGGACAACTTCAACAGACCATGGCATCATGAGCCACTTGGAACTATCAGGGCTGGGAACACTGAGACCTGGAGAGGTGAGGGGCTAGTTCAAGCTCTCACAGCTGGCTTTTGAAGGGTGTTCATTGACACCTAGCCCAAACCATATTATTATTATTATTATTATTACCCCAACATAAATAAGAGGAGGATGCTCTTTTCATCCCCATTTTATAAACAAGGAAGTTGAGGCTCAGTGGTTATGCAGCTTGCCCAAGGGCACACAGCTTCTAACTACTGGCTGAGACTTGAGTCCAGATCAGTTTGACTCCAGAGCCCACACTGTCAGCCAGCACAATTCTTTAGAAGGCATCTGTATATTAAATTACCGATTCAGAAACAAAGGCCTACAGAATGAAAATGCTTCTTTCCCTCTCTCCCCGCCCCCCAGTATGAACCTGATGAACAAGTGGATGTCTAGAGCAGTGAGGGAGGGCCAGGTCACTTTGACTCCAATTTGCAATGGAGAAAACATTTTAAAAAGGTAACTCATGGCTGGGTGCAATGGCTCACACCTGTAATCCCAGTATTTCGGGAGGCTGTGATGGGAGGATTGCTTGAGTCCAGGAGGTCAAGGCTGCAGTGGGCCATGTTCACACCACTGCACTCCAGCTTGGGTGACAGAGTGAGACCCTCTCTTTAAAAAAAAAAAAAGGGGCTGGATGCAGTGGCTCACACCTGTAATCCCAGCACTTTGGGAGGCCGAGGCGGGCAGATCATAAGGTCAGGAGATCGAGACCATCCTGGCTAACACGGTGAAACCCCGTCTCTACTAAAAAAAAAAAAAAAATACAAAAAATTAGCCGGGCATGGTGGCAGGCGCCTGTAGTCCCAGCTACTCAGGAGGCTGAGGCAGGAGAATGGCGTCAACCTGGGAGGCGGAGCTTGCAGTGAGCCGAGATCATGCCACTGCACTCCAGCCTGGGTGACAGAGCGAGACTCTGTCTCAAAAAAAAAAAAAAAAAAAGAAAAGAAAAAAAGTAGCCCATTCTCCCATGTTGCTGAAGATCTGAATTGGTTCATGTCTCCCAAGGGACATGAGGCTGTAGGAACAGGAGAGAGATAAGGTTTTTATTTCTAGGGAGTGTGGTCACTTGCCTTGCAGAAGCGAAACTGCACCTGTGGGCATTGGTGAGCAGAGATCATGAGTGCCAAGCCCTGTGGGCTTTTGCAGGGCATAGCTGGCAGCCCTAAAGCCAATGGGAAAAGAGTTTGCCCCTGCAGGGGTCATGAGGGGGTATATATCCCTCATCCCTAAAGCAAATTGAGGCTTGCCATCCCTGCTTGGGAGGGGCTAAGAAGAATATGAGGACACCAAGGCTCAGAGAGGCAAAACACTGCCAAGAATTGGCAGAGCTGGTATTAGCACTGAAGGATTAGACTTTTGAGCACAGACTCTCCAAAGACAGTTCTCTGATTCACGTTAAATAGAAAAACCAGTTATTTTGGCCAGGCGTGGTGGCTCATGCTTGTAATCCCAGCACTTTGGGAGGCCGAGGCAGGCGGATCATGAGGTCAGGAGATCGAGACCATCCTGGCTAACACAGTGAAACCCCATCTCTACTAAAAATACAAAAAATTATCCAGGTGTGGTGGCATGTGCCTGTGATCCCAGCTACTCGGGAGGCTGAGGCAGGAGAATCGCTTGAACCTGGGAGGTGGAGGTTGCAGTGAGCCGAGATCATGCCACTGCACTCCAGCCTGGGTGACAGAGTGAGACTTTATCTCAAAAAACAAAAACAAACCAGTTATTTCTCAGTGCACTTTGGCTGCATTTCCCTACAAGGAAGCCTTCTGGGCACTGGGGCCTCCAGCTGTGGCTCACATTCACCAAATACCTGCATGTGCCTAATGTCACCAATGGTATTGCAACAGACTTTTGAGGTGGGGGACATCATTTCCATTGTGCAGATGAGAGAACAGGCTCAGGGAAATAACCCATCCAAGGTCACAGAGAAGAGATGGAGGAAGAGCTGTGTGCAGAGGGACTCTCTCACCCCCAGTGCCTCTCAGTTACTGCCAGGGACACCCCCAGAGACCGGCTGCCCTGATGCTCTGGCTGGCCTGCTTCCTAGACACCCTGGGCTGATCATCCTTCTGGGCTGTTCCCTCTCCCTAGCATGCCATTCCTTCCACTTGGCAAACTCCTATGTAGCTGTCAATACCCAGATCAAGACACCTCTTCAGTGAGGTCCTCCTTGACTGGTGGAGACAGAATGATCACTCTGGCTGTGTTTCTGTCACACCTGGGTGCCCTTCCAGGACAACTCCGGATCTAAATTATTCTAGACCAGTAGCTCCTCGAGGGCATGGAGGGTCAGTGTGGCCTCTGCAAACTAGCTCAGGGTTGGGAACGGAGGGGAAGTTCAAAAGTGCATGGAAACACTAGAGCAAGCCAACCTCAGCCTGATGCAAGCGCACGACTGAGGGGTGGAGGCTGCCTTTCAAAGGTGCTTGGCTTGCTGAAGAGGAGGATCTCTATGCAAAAAGCTGAGATGCTTCCCAGGCATCTTGTCACCATTGGTGACCACGATGCCAACAGTAACCCGGGCTGCCACTCCCTGCCTCCTGCAATGCCATCAGCACTTTAAACACAGCCTCCCGCTGCAACCTCCTAGCACCCCAGGCTTGCATCCATTGATTCATTTCCCAAGCACCTACGCGGTGTCCCACAAAACCCTTGGAAAACACATGGAGGGACTTTGGGGGGTCCTAAAATAGGAGCTGGACTTTCAGCCTGGCTGCCTGTTTCCTTCTCCCTTCCCCCACTCCAGGATTTCTGCCGGAGGACCCAGAAGAAAACCACTCCCTGGTGGCATCAGACCCTCTGCTAGGGTAGAGCTTTGTCGGGGTCATCAAGACAAAGGAGCTGGGTGTGGGGGCTCCAGGTAAGCAAGTGCCCATCCTGGTGTCCCGCACGCATGTGACTGAAGTTGCTGAGAGGAGACAGCCATGAGGGGCACAGATGGGCTGGGACTGTGGTTCCTTTGCCAGGGGTCGGGGTCGGGGTTGGGGTCGGGGTCGGGGGCAGGCCCACCCCAGCTGCTAGGCCAAGCGTGGTCACCTCTTCCCCTGCCCGCCTCTCTTTGAGCCCAGCATGCGAGGCTCGCTCCTGCCAGTGACTCATCTCCTACTGGATTGTCTGGCTGGGAACTCGAGGGCGGGCTGGTGGCACTCCAGGCTTTGAAGTGGCTGAATGGTGTGTGGCAAGTCCACGTCATTCCCACTCCCCTTCATGTCCCCGCTCCGGGAATATCTCCACTCTGGGCTCTGCTGTGACACTCAGAGTTGGGCAGGGGAGCATGTGGCTAAGGGGAGAGAGCCTGGGTCTGCTGACGCGCCAGTGTCTGGGGATCCTCATGGCAGAGGCTTACAGAGCTGGAAGGCCCCAGGAGCGGCCAGCCTCACACCATGGGCGGCAGACAGAGATAGGCTGTGGGGGTGGGCTGGCCTTGTGAAAGAGGCCACAGGATGGCCACCTGTTTACACAGCCTCTGCTCAGTTGCTGCCACATGCTGTCAGCTTACTGGATCCTCAAAACAAATCCCCAATTCACAGATGACAACACTGTGACTCAGAAGAATAAGGGGCCCGATGAGGTGGTGAGCCCCTGCCCCAAGAGGGTTCCTAGGAGGATTTGAAGCAGGATTGCTCAGCTATTCTCTCTTTAGGAAGGTGGAGGGGGCGCCAGGTGAGGGAAACAGGAGGCAGGGAGCTTGGGAGGCCGTGGCCAGAGGTGATGGGGCCTAAACAAAGGCAACGGTGACTGCAGAGGAGGGGCAGAGGCTGCCATCACTGGTTCAAGTGTTTATTGAAAGTCTCGGCTGAGTGCAGTGGCTCACGCCTGTAATCCCAGCACTTTGAGAGGCCAAAGAGGGCGGATTACTTGGAGTTAGGAGTTAGGAGACCAGCCTGGCCAACATGGTGAAATCCTATCTCTACTAAAAATACAAAAAAATTAGCTGAGTGTGGTGGTGTGCGCCTGTAGTCCCAGCTACTCAGGAAGCTGAGGCAGGAGAATCACTTGAACCCGGGAGGTGGGGGTTGCAGTGAGCCAAGATTGCACTACTGCACTCCAGCCTGGGCAACAGAGGGAGACTCCATCTCAAAAATAATAAAAATAATAAAAATAAATAAATAAATAAAATAAAGTCCCTGATGCAGCAGGTTTTAGGTGCTGGGGACAGACTGGTGAGCCACACTTTGACAGTCCCTTTCTGACTAGGACTGGAGATGCAATGGTAATGGTGAAGTCTGCAAGCTAACAGTACAGGAAAAACAGAAGCAGTGTGTGCAGGTGGGAATTGCACTGTTAGATGGTTAGATACAGCGGCTGCAGAAAGCCTTGGTGAGAGGGTGCAGGTAAGCAGAGACTGGAGGAAGCAAGCTAGGTGGGCAGATACCTGGGGAGAGAGGATTCTGGGTACAGGTAGCAGAGAGGGCAAAAGACCCTGGGCGGGAACACCCTTGGTGGGTTTTAGGGACAGATGGATCTGATAGAGAGGGTGAGGAAGAAGGAGGAGTGTAAGGTGATTCCCTGTCTGCCTGGGTGACCGGCAGATGGTGGAGATGGGAGAGATGGTGACTCCAGGTCTTGATAGCTCAGACAATCACTGTGTCCCTGGCACTCAGCATGGTGCCTGGCACATAGGAAGTGCCCCGTGACTGCTGAGTGAAGGCATGATGCCATGTCACAGGGGTTTCATGGATCTGCGGGTGTGCATGTGATTGTCTAGAGCCAGAAGGAAGTCAGAAATCCCAGGGACTTCGGTCAGTTGCACTGATCTTGAAAAGACTGCATCTGCCTCACCAAGGCAGGGGCTCACTTGTGAAGCTGCAGTTGGGGGTCCTCAGGCAGCAGGCAACACCTTTCTCCTGTCCCAGGAAGGTCTTCATGTGAGGTGAAACCCAGCTAGTAACTTCCCTAATAGAGAACATACCTTGGCCAGCGTGGATACCCTCATGTTTGTCATATGATTGAATAAAGGAATCTATGAATTTAGGAGTGGGGGAGAAAAGTAATGAGAAGCCAGTGGCAGAAAGCACTGAGGTGGGCAGAGGTGGGCAGAAGGCACTGAGGTTTGCAAACAGGTAACTTGGTCTTGATACTAGAAAAGGGATCCAGGTGTTTGGCAGCCTTCAAACTGAGGAGGCCTTCTTTGTTTGTTTGTTTTTTCAGAAAAAGTTTCAGTCTGTCACCCAGGCTGGAGTGCAGTGGTGCGATAACAATGAAACCTCGTCTCTACAAAACATACAAAAATTAGCTGGGCATGGTGGTGCGAGCCTGTGATCCCAGCTACTCGGGAGACTGAGGCAGGAGAATCGCTTAAACCCAGGAGGCGGAGGTTCCAGTGAGCCGAGATCGTGTCACTGCACTCCAGCCTGGGACAGAGTGAAGCTCTGTCTCAAACAAACAAACAACAAAAAAAATTAATAACATAAAGACTTTCAGTCCAGTCTAAAGATGACTTTCTGGGGAAAAAAAGAAAAAAAAAAGTAAAAAAGACTTTCAGTATAATGTTAAGGGGGGGAAAACCCTGTTATTTTTTAAAACACACACACACAATAGTTTGTAGAATTGTGCATATACCATATACCGTGATCCTTATTTTGTAAAAGAAAAAAAAAAACTAGGGAATATATTAATACATAGCAAAAGATTAGAAAGGACAGAACACAGACAGAAAGAACACGAATGTGTTCACAGTCATTGTGCTCTCTGGGCGATGGTGGGATTAAGGAGGATTTTTATGCGTTTTACATTTTTAATGATTTTACAATTGTATTTCTTACAATGAACATGTATGACTTTAATAACAATCCGAAAAATCATTAAAATGAAGACTCAAAAAAACATTTTGTGCTAACAAAATGAAAAGCAATTAAGTGAATAAGTCAGTGATCGTTAATTCATTAGAAGTTGTGGGGTTTTTGTTTGTTTGTTGTCAAGAGCCAGGGTTGCCTAGGCTGGTCTTGAACTCCTGGGCTCAAGAGATCCTGCCTCAGCCTCTGGAGCAGCTGACTACAGGCATGTGCCACCATGCCGGGGTGTTCTCAAGGAAAAATTTTAAGGCTAATCTAATTGCCTTTGAACATGTCATTTGTTATTGAAAAAAATTTTTTTAATTTACTTGTCATTGAACTCACTGATAAGCTTTATTATAATACTAGAAAAATAATATCCATTGTTTTTAACCTTTATCAAATTATCCTTGGCACTTGAGCAAGTCCTATTTGCCAAATATTTGAGGGAATGGTTTCTGCTATTAACTTAATGTTTTATTTTCAATCAACCTATACACTTGGCAAAAATAATAACAATAATAGACCATATGTTTGTAAAACACTTTATAATTTTGGAAGGCACAATAAGTGCTGGGTACTAGTCTAGGCTCTGAGGATATAGTGAACAAAACAGTCAAAAGTCCTTGTTCTTGCAGTGCTCACATTATATTGACGTGGGCATACAATAGACAAATGAATAAGATATATAGATGTTGGAGGTAATAAGTGCTCTAGAGAAAAATGGAGAGAAGAAGGATAGGTAATGAACAGGGAACTGCTCTTTTAAATCAGTTTGATTACTGTTCAAACAGGAAAACAAAATACGAAGGTGTCTAAAAATTCTATAGCCTGTGGACAATTAACATATTCTTTTTCAGTTCTCAGACATAAAATGATTGAAGATGTACATGAAAGAATCATTCTAATAACTGATTACATATCATCTAAATTACAATGTGGTAATTATCAGTTTTACAAACTCATACAATTAGGATGAGTCATAGTGATGTTTTAACTATTCTATACCTGGCAGAATTAGATAGTCCTTAAACGTTTCAAGCCTCAGTGTTCTCATCAATAAAATGGGAACAAGTATAGTTCCTAAATCAGAGAGCTGGTTATCAGAATTCAAAGAGAAAATGCATACGTTTAGGAAACAGCGTGTGTGCAATGCATGTTCACAATGTTGACACTGCAGGCCACTGGCAGAGGTCCACTGGACATGGCTATGTGCTATCTGTATATGATTTCTTCATCCTCACACTATTCTGGGAGGTGTGTAACATTTATTCCCATTTTCAAGAGGGAACTGAGGCTTTGAAAAATAAGTCACCTTCCCAGAACCACATGCTATAAACCCAGGCGGTCCAGCTCCAAAAAACTGCTCTCAGCCGTGACTCTTGTTTGTGCCTGCTTGCTAATGGACTGCAGAAGCCCTCCTGGCCTCAGTTTCTCCCTTTAGGAGGCTGACAGCAGATGCCCCTCACCCTATCCTCTGAGTACTTCCAGGGCAAGAGTTTCAGACAATGGTCCTCTGAGGGTGTCCGGCTGATTATTCCTAAAGCCTGACAGTAATGCCTGCATCCCCGTCACATTCCCCACTGGCTGTGTTCCAAATCCTGAGCGAAGCAGGAGACTCAAGCCTAATTAGTTCCTGATTAACTCCTTTGGGAAGATGAGGAGTGAGGATTTTGGAAGACACAGCGACGTGACCCCTAGTGGGTGAATGGGGAAGGGGAGGGGGAAGCTACAGAGGAAGAAGAGGAGAGAGGGAGATTCCGTGTAGGAGGCCCCAGGTGGCAGCTCATCTTGCCTGTCTTACCAGGTGTACCCTGGCACCATGTGGACATGTTTCCTCATCTGAGATTCCTCCCCCATCCCTGTTCTGGGCAGCTGGGCCAGAACACCCACACAGCACAGGTGGCCAGGGACCAACATGGGTGTGAACTGGACCACTGCTTTCTTCCCATCACTCCTGCCCGCCCACCCGCTCCTTGCCACCTCCAGGATCCCAGCATCCTCCCCTATCCCCTGGGCCTATGCCCTGCTCTGCTCTGGGTCTAAGGTCCCAGCCACACAGACTGGAGCAAATCCCTTCCTGGGGACACCCTGCTCTGAAGTTTGAACCTCTCAATCACTGGCTCCATTTCCTCCCCGACATCCTTCATTTCTGGTGCCTCATGGCCCAGTTGCCTGGACGAATACATCATAGTCTGCGAAGAATCAAGGCTGGGACCCCTCAGACCTCTAGGCTGTCTCCCTGGTGCTTCTTGCTGCCTGTCTGAACCGTCACCATCGGTGTGTCCAAGCCACCTGACAGCCTGATGGCTCCTCAGGGAAAGCAATCCTCCACCCGGGAGTGGAGGGAGGTGTTAAATTCCCTTGTACGGAGCTCGAGCAATGGGTGGGTGCCCCTCTCTGGGGCAGCGGACATCAGCTAAGGGCAAGGAGGAAAAGGGTGCACCTTACAGTCAGATGCAGCCTTTTCACCCTGGAGAGAGATGGGAGGTAGCAGGGGAGAACTGGGCTGGGCGGTAGAGAGCCTTGGAGGAGGGAGCGTCTGAGAAAGGGTGGGCCCTAAGGAGAAAGTTTTGCTTTGCAATTAAATGTCAACAGCTTGGGGAATTCAAAGGCCTCCTTGGAGGGGGCTGGGAGCACCACTTCAGATTCAGAGGCACTGAATCTCAGCATCTACTGGTGCTGGACACCTCAGGACACCTGTAGCCCACCACAATTGGCCACTGGCTGCGTGCCAGGCACCAGGCTACATACCCTCACCAGCATCATCTCATTTAATCCTCCCAACTCACCTTCCCCATGTTCCAGATGGGGAAACTAAGGCTCAGAGAGGTTTGTGTCTTGCTTAAGGTTGTACAGCCAGGAAGTCAGCCAAGCCCACCTTCTGGTTCCAAATCCCTTAAACATCCCGCTCACAACAGACTCCTGCTTACTTTCAGATGAGGAAACTGAGGCACAGGGTGGTGAAGTCTCTCGTTCCAGCAGAGCAGTTATGTTTGAGGAGTGAGTCCAGAGCGGCATGCTCTCGGCAGGGGCTCATCGGAAATCGTGGCTCAAGAGCAAGGATCCCTGAACCCCTGCCTCTCACACCAGTTACTTGCGCCCTCCCTTTCCCAGCCTGCGCCCCGCCACCCACGCCGGCACCCGCCCGAGATGGACAGGGCAGTCCCTGGTCCTCACCGCTCTCCAGCCTCCAGACCGCAGAGCCCGATAGGGAAGGAGGAAGGGCAGCGAGAGTCAGCCGGGTGTGGGGTGGGCCCTGCCCCTGGGGAGCGGCGGCGGTGCCACTCAGCGCTGCGCAGCCAGCCTGAGCTGCCTGCCGCCTCGCCTCGTACTCAGCCTCGGGTCCCTCTGACAGCGCAAGGGAAAGTCTGTCCCAAAGTGGGAGAAGGTGCGGAGGGCGCGCTCTCTCTCCGACGCTCGGTGCTGAGACAGAGGCACGGAGACAGGGGCATACCCCAGGCGACCTGCTCGTCGAAGGGTCAAACTTCCTAGCTCAAAGGGGTGCGGGTGGGTTCAAACTCCAAACTCCGTGAAGCCCCAGCCCCTTTCCTCTCCCACCCCGACCGAGAGTGCGCCCTAGTTTTCCCTTCTTGGTTGGGTTGTTCAGGGGTCCCCGAAACCGAGGGCAAGCTGCTGGGGAGGCTGTCTTGGGTTCCCCAAATGCGGTTGATGCTCGTCGGGGACTCGAGTCAGGCAGAAAACCTGGATACCTCCCCTTCCCCGAGGCCCGAGGGCGCGATCAGGGTCAGCCTCGGCTCGCGCAGATCCCAGTGGCCAGCCCGGGGTCGAGGGTCCGCGGGAGACCCGGGATCCCGCTCCGTTCCGAGCGCGCTGCGGTTCCGTTCCGGACCGCGCATCCGCCCGCCCCGCGCACCGAGGCTCCGCGCGGCGCGCCCCCGGGTGTGTCGTTCGCCGGTACCACCGCAGAGCGCGGGGGAATGGGGCCGGGACCCCCCGCCCGCCCCTCCCCCGCGCCGCCCAGCCCCACGCCCCTTACTCGGCTTGGCTGCAGCGCTCCGCTCCGTGCGCCGCAGTGCCGGCTCCAGCTTCGGCTCCAGCTCCGGTTCCCGCCCCGGCTCCGGCTCCCAGTCCGGTTCCCGCTCGGAGGCCACTGCGCTCGGGCTCGGGCGTCGCGGGGGGCGCGCCGCTACGCTTCGGCCTGCTGGGCGCGCAGGGGCGGGGCGGGGCGGGCCAGGCGGGGCCAGGCGAGCCGGGCCGACCAGCCGCCCGCGATCCCGGGCCGAGGCAGCGGCGGCGGCGGCTTCCCAGGCCCCGGCCCTGGCCCTGGCCCTGCCCTGCCGCAGCCCCGCCCGGCCGCCCGTCGTCCCCGCGCCGCCGCCCACGCCACCGTCACCGGCCCCGGCCCCCCTCGGCGGCGGCGCGGCTCCCGGGCCTCAGCACCGCGGCGCCGCGGCCCGGGTCACTCCGAGATGCGGGGCGGGGGGCGCGGGTGCGGGGGAGGGCCGAGCCGCGCCCCTTTGCGCACAGCCAGCCCGACACCCACACAGCAGCAGGCGGGGCAGGGCGGCGAGGAGGCCGGGAAATGCGGGAGGCCGACGCTCCAGTCAGACGTGTGAAGAGGACACACAGGCGTGTGTAGGGAATGACACACGGACGCGAGCGGGGAGCCACTGACACGTGCAGAGAAGGGTAGACAAACGAGGTGTCAGGGAAGGACAGCCAGACAGGTTGGACCGAGGCTAGGCTGGGCATTTGAGCAGGGGACCCCTGTCGCGGGCAAAGAGCAAAGTGCGGGATGGAGAGGGGGACCCAGCGTGGCTGGGCCGCTGGCAGGGGCAGGCGAGCCTGGCAGGGCTTCCCGCTCGCGGTTGCTGGCAGGTGAGTTTTGGGATTCCAGCTAGGCCTGGCCCAAACCTTCCTTCGGAGCCACCAGCAGGCCTGTTTCCTTCACCCCGTCACCCTCCCTGTGCC
This sequence comes from Homo sapiens, assembly GCF_000001405.40. Lineage (NCBI taxonomy): Eukaryota > Metazoa > Chordata > Mammalia > Primates > Hominidae > Homo > Homo sapiens. Next base: position 66,426,496 of record NC_000016.10, on the reverse strand, counting down.
CCCGTTCCCCGCTGCCCAAACGTCAGGGCATAGGGCTCAGCCCTGGCAGGTGGAAGCCGGCCCCGAGGGGATGCCTGGCTCAGGCCGGGGTTCCAGGCTTCCAGGACCTGCTCTGTCCCCACCCTGCTTTGGGGCCTTGGACGAATCCCAGCCCATCTCTCAGGCCTCCCTGTCCTCATTAGGATATTGCTCCCAATGATTGCACCCCTACTGTGTTGGGGTGCTCGCCAGCGTGGAGGAGTTATTTATTTAACCTCCGCCACTTGCCTGGGAGCGCCAGGAGGGCAGCGTCTGGGTAGGGCTGCAGGGGTCTGCACAGAGTGGGCACTCAGTGAATTTGCTGCAGGAATTGATGAAATGTGTTGTTGCTAACACTCTCTGAACCACTACTGTTGATGAGGAAACTGGGGCTTAGGAGGCAAGGGGAGTCAAAAGCTGGGTTCGTTTCAAAACCCAAAGGCTTGTCACTGGCGGGAAAGTGGTTCTCAAAAATAAAGCATGGTGACAAAGGGCTGAACATGTTGATGCTAAACCTTGGGGAAGCAGTGAAGCCATGGGGATGTTGTGGAAGGGAAAGTTGGCCAGGGACTGGCCTTGCAGGGAGGATGGGGCAGAGCAGGCTCCGGTGGAGAAAACAAACCCCAGCCCTGCCAGTCATCACGTCTTGGGCTTCCCTGGGGCCAGGCAGGGGAAGCTGCGTGGTCTAGGGCTTGGGTGCTTGAGGACATCTCCCAGCCTCCTCTGGTAACTGTTCATTCTGGGCTCTGCTCCCTGCACTATTTACCGCCCCCCCCCCGCCCCCACTCCCCGCCCTCCTGCAGGCTGGGGCTGTCACGGGGACATCAGCTCTGAGTAAGGGATGAGGCTAGAATAAAGGGAAACAATTCTCAGAGAACCGAGGAAGGGGACCTGAGAGACCCTTTGTCCAACCTCATGCATTTATTTTATGAATGAATAAATGAAGGATCAGAGAAAGGAGGGGATAGGCTAGGGTCAAAGAGGTAGGATTGGAGGCTCTACAACTCCCAAGCTAGGGCTGTGCCCACGGTATAACCTTGATCTCTCTGAGGACACCTGCTGACCCTTCCAGGATGGATATTCTAGTTGTTGAGTGGTTTTGCCTGTAAGCTGCCCCCTTTGGCAAGACTCTGTGTGTTTGTGTGTGTGTGTGTTGTGGTGGGGGTGGGGGGACCAGGGATAAGTGTGTGTGGCACACTTTGAGTGAGTCCTTGCGGAAGGTCCTAGCCCTAAAGAGTTAATTCCCGTCCACTCCCCTATTTGTGCATCACTGGCCTGGCAAATCTGGCTTGCTCCTCAGACTGGAACCAGGACTGTTTTCCAGTGGTGTTGGGTGTAGTTTCAGGGAGCTGGCTTATGACGGCGTGCCTACCAATCTCTGTGTGTCTATGTATCCATCCACAAATATATATTAGTGTAGGGCACTTGGAAAATACAAAAGGAAAAAGAAGAAAAGAAAATCCAGTCATTGTGAATATTGAGCTTTCCTGTTTTCCTTTCTTTTTACCTGTGTAACTCTACAAGAGTCCTTAAATGGAGTGAGCTTGCTGACTGATATCTCCTCTCCTATGTCACACTTTTAGTGGCTACCTAGCATAGGATCAGATGGTTGTATTGCACATATTTTTTTAACCAGTCCCCTATTTCTGAGCATTTAGTTTGTTTCCATTTTTCATACTTCTAAACAACACTGCAACGGACATCTTCATGGGGAGGCTTGTGCATGCCCATGACTATCCTTTATGTCTCTAGGTATGTCATAGTTTTGAGGCTTTCTTCGTGTAGGGTCAGATTTGCAGAAGGGGCATCTACTGGGTACCAGGGAGGCACAGTGGTGTTTAGTGTTTGCTTGGCCTAGGGATAGGTAGGGATGCTGGAGGGAAGAGTCTGAGGGAAATCAGGAAGTGAGATCTCAGGACAGTGAGATGCCCAAAGAGTCCCCAAGTGCTGGGCTTTGGGGCTTGCCCTAGAGTGTGCTTCATGTCACCCCAGCCGCTCACAGGGAATCCCAAAAAACGTCTTTTCTGTTTGCAAAGAACAGGATCCATGATGTCATTCATCCCAAACAGAGCCCATGGCATGGAGATGTTGGAAGGGTCTCTTGGGCCTGATCAGCTTGTACCTCCCTACCATCCTTCCTTCTTTGAAATGTCTTTGCTTTACCCCCTTACAAATTACCCAGTCTCATATATTCCTTTATAGCAATGTAAGAACGGCTTAACACAGCCAGGCTGCCCCTTCTGTCTTCCTTTAGGAGGGAAACCTCTCTTCTAGGACCCTGGACTAGGTCTCCAGGAGCTGAAGTATAAAAGACAGCCTCTCCTCTCCTATCTCCAGCGGCCTTTCTGGGGAAACTTATTTCTGGGGCTTCTTGAAGATCTGTATTCAAGGTAGAGTTTATTTCAGGGTAAGTGGCTGAGCGCTGAGCAGGGACTGGGTATAGAACTTTCTGCTCCTGCCCCCAGCCCAGTCCTGACATCTCCTTAGAGAGGCCTGACAATGTGTTAGTTATGCTACATGCAGCATTTAATTCCATCCTCCCAACATCCTGAGGAGGTGGGTAATATTTTCTTTATATTTCACATGCAGCAGTGAGGTTTATGGCACTCAAGTAACTTGCTCAAGGACACATAGCTAATTAGGAGCAGAACCCAGATTTCTACCTAAACCTGCCCCAAACAAGTTAGGCCAACCTGGTGCAGGCAGGTGGGTGGTGTTGCCAGTCACCAAGGAACAGAACACTAGAAGGGAATCAAATGTGAGAAAGGAGAATATGAGTTTGATTATACACATGTTCAATTTCAGGAGTCATCGGCAGGCAGCAGAACTCTGAGAGGAGTCCAGGTCACAAAGACAATCTAAGGACTGAACCCTAAGCCTAGGCAGAACTGATTGATCCATCCATCTACCCACCTACCCATCCACTCATCTATCCTCCTATGGGTCCACTTATCCTTTCTCCATCCTCCTATGATCTATCCGTTTATCCACCCATTCACCCATCTGTCCTCCCACTTATCCACCTAGGCCTCCTCCCATCTTTCAATCCTTCCTTCCTTCCTGCCTTCCTTCCTCCCTTCCTCTCATCTAACCACCTCCCCATCCTCCTACACATGCATTTATTCTTCCTCCCATTCACCCACTCCTCATCTATCCATTCAAACTCCCATCACCCATCCACTTACCCCATCTGCATCTATCCACCCATATGTCCCATGCATACTTACTGATGCTCACTACAGGCCAAGAACTCTGCTATGAACTGATGAAAAAAAAAAGGATGTGGAAAACAAGGTCCCTGCCCTCTAGGAGCTGGCAATGTGTTAAAAGAAGCAGATTATAAACAAATGATCCCAGAACAATATATTTTCTGTGCCAGATGTGTGCTCAAAGAAAAAACACTTAACTCAATCTGTGGAGGTCAGAAAAGGCCTCTTTGAGGGTGTGTTTCTTGAGTTGAGCTTAAAGTTCAATCAAGATTTCATCAGATGAATGGGATGCAGTGAGTGAGATGTTCCAGGAGAGGGAATAGCTTATGTGTACAATGATGGAATAGGTGTCAAGAGACCAAGGTGATTCCAGGGACACAGGTAACTCGGAACATTGGGAGCAAAGTTGAGTGTGAATGAATGGTGTGTTATGAGGAAAGACAGGAAAGGCAGGTCGTAAAGGCCTTGAATGATAGGGTGAAGGCCTTGGGAACCATATAAGGGCTTTAAGAGGGGTGGCTTGGTCAGGTTGTTATTTTAGAAAGATCTCTCTGCTGCATGGAGGATGAGTTGGGGTATGTGGGTGCAAGGGGGATCAAATGGTCCAGACTCTGCAGAGTGAGGACTTAGGATTCTCTGGGTCCAGCCTCTTGGGTCAGCCCAGGCCCCCACATTTGGCCTGGACCCAAAACCACTTCCTTTGCCAAGGCCGAAGTCAGGACAGCTGGGCTGAGACTGTGGGCATGAGGAAGTTTCCGGGGCTCTCCATTTTCAGTGACATGCAGTACTCCCAGCAAGGGCTTTAGTCTATGGTTGTCTCTCTTCTGATCTGGGATCTAAAGTCCATTGCCACAGACTTTAATCAATTTCTCACTGGATTCTCTGTCAAGGTCACCACAGAGTGTCTCAGTTCCATGCTCCGCTTTTCTGCCTCTACAATTTGCAGCCACCAAAACCCATTAATTTCCCATCAGTCATGCCATGATGTTTCTTCTAACCCTATGAAATCTCCACCCTGGTGGTTTGCAAGTGACACCTGATGGTGTATAGCCTAGGGGGAGCTGCTACAGTGAGTCAGACATGACCCCAGCCCTCAAAAAGCTAGCGGCGGGGTTGGGGTGGGGGTGCGGCAGGGAAAGACAGATGTCCTGTTGGCTTGGACAGATGTCCCAAGGAGCACTGGTGTGGGGAAGGGGAGGCTGCTCAGGCTGCAGAGAGTTGGGTGAGTTTGGGCTCAAGTCTTTGCTCTGCCACACCGAACGTGTGACCTTGGGCAAGTCACTTTACCTCTTCAGAGCCTCCATTTTTTTCATCTGTGGAATGGGAAAAATAATATTGACCTATCTTCGTTTAGATTTATTTATTTTTTAGAGACAGGGTCTTGCGATGTCTTGAACTCCTTGTCTGGTCTTGAACTCCTTGTCTCAAGCAATCCTCCTGCCTCAGCCTCCCAAGTTGCTGGGATTATAGGTGTGAGCCACTGTCCCTGGCTTAGATTTTTATTTTTTGGTAGTAACTAGTAGGAACCAACTTGGGCCATTTTAACAAAACCTGGAGAATTTACTAGAACTCACGTCTGGGCTCTCTGAGGCCTTGGAGTGAGAACCAGAGAAACAGACAGGAACCTAGGTAAGACTCTGCCTCTTGTCTCTGTGCCTCTCTGCTTAATCACTTAATTTTTTTCTCCCTGCAGACCTTCTTTTTCCATTATTTTGTAAAAAAAGCCCTCACTGCAGCTTGAGAATGAGTTTACAGCTCCTCAATTCTAGCCACAGGCAGGACTAACTGGCCATCTTTCAACCACACGTCCAAATTCCCAAGAAAGAATCTAATTGGTGGAACTGCACCCCTGGTCCAATCAACTGTGACCAAAGGGTGGGATCATGTAGCACAAATATGGCAGCTTGTTTTCATGTGCATTCATTATTCTCAGAGAAGGTAGAACTCATGAGCCTGGCAAAAACCCTGAAGATGTTCCCTATGTCCTCACAGGTCTGTTGGTAAGATTAAACAGGATAACGGATGTAAACATTTGGCACAGTGCCTTGTATATACTAAGGGCTCAATAAATGGTAGCTGCTGTTATTCATTCATTGCTCTATTTAATAAGCATTTATTGAATGCCTGGTTATACTGGATCCTACAGTAAGTCCTGAGGATGAGAAAGATGGGATGACACAGACAGAGCTTGAAAAATGGGAGTAATTCAAGTAAAGCTATTTCAGAGGGTTGTTGTCAGGATCGAATGTAACAATACATGCAAAGTGTTTAGTACAGTTCCTGACACACAATAACGTCTCAATAAATGTTGCCTACACATGTTGAATGTCTATTTGTACAAGAGCAAAGAAAAAACATTTCTTATGCCTTTTCTATTTGTTTGTTGCTCCCCTGGCCACAGGACTAAGACATCTTTGGTTACAAAAATAGATTTCAGTGTTCAGAATAATGTCAGCTGCCAGACTGACAGTTTTTGGATGTTGCATTTGAGTCTAATTTAAAAGTTTAGAAAAATAATGTTGGCATCTCCTGAACTCAAGCACTTACATGAATTATTAACAAGAGTTAATGCAGATAAAAATACCCACGTGCAACCTGTGATCATCTTTATTTTCCTGACCAAGAATGAATGAACCTGAACATCTACTGGAGAGTAAATTGTGGTACAGTCACAGGATGAGAACATTCCACAGCAATGAAAGTGAACACATTACAACTACAAGCAAACATATGAATAAGTTACAGGGTTGAGCTAAAGAAGCCAAATGCTGTATGATTCCATTTATATAAAGTTCCAAAGCAGGAAAAGCAGATCCATGGTATTGGAGCCCAAGCAGTATTTACCTTTGGGGCAAGGTAGTGACTAGAAGTGGGGGACTTGCTGGTAATGCTGTTTCTTGAGCTGGGTGCTGGGTACACAGGTGTATTTTATTTGTGAAAATTGACAGAACAGTACACTTCTGTGCATTTTAATGTAAGTATGTTATACTTTAATTTTCTAAAAAGAGTGTCTTATCTTTATGCATTTGCCCAGCCGAGGCAAGAGAGTTAGGCTTCCGGCTTGAAGATGGAGGAGGAATTTGGGGTTCCAGGCAGAAGGGGCAAAGGGAAAGGAACTAATATTTATTCAGCCTATGGGAGAACTTTCTTTCCAGGCTTAGTAACAAAAATAGTTTCATTTCTTCCAAAAACAGTTTTTATTCTTTTTGTTTATTTTAAACCATTGCTTGAATCACTCCCTGATTAAAAAAAAAAAAAAGGAGACGAATGTATGTTTCCTTTGCCTCTGTTTACTCACTTGTTAAAGAAAACATTATACTATGTATGCATTTTTGGAAGAAGATGGTGTATAAATGAACAAAAATGGTGCAAAAAGCATTTGTAGAAAACCTGTGTGTGTGAGAGACGTTTCCACAGTTCATTTCAGAGGACAAAGGGGAAAAGGCCATGGTTCAGGAGGGGTAGTGACTGGCCTGGCCCCTAGTAGATACCCAATACTCTTGTGAAGCATTGGCCAGCAGGGGGATAGGGAGGGAACGCAGGGAGTCATGTGAGGCCTCTGCCTCCTTTAAGTTCCAGAAAGCATGGAGATGTTCTGGACTGGCTTGGGCTCTGGGTCTAGAGGATTTGAAGACCTGAGTTCAAATCCCCCTTCTGCCACTTACTTGCTGTGTGTTCTGGAACAAATCATTTGTCCTTCCAGAATGTCATTCCAGCAGACGAGGTCACCCTCATGCATTTCCTGGTACCTGGGTTTTCTTGACAGCATCTCCAGCCTGCGGTCCCTGCTGCTGAAGTGGCCAGTGCAGTGTAACTGGGGACTTTCAACCATGCCTGCCTCCCTCCCTCCCTCCCTCCCTCCCTCCCTCACCTTCCCTCCCCTCCCTTTCTTCCTTCCTCCCTCCCTCCTTCCCTTCCCCTCACCTTCCCTCCCCTCCTCTCCACACCCCCCTCCCCTTCCCTCCCCTCCCCTCCTCCTCCCCATTCCTCCTTCCCCTTCCCTCCCCTCTGTTTTTGAGACAGAGTCTTGCTCTGTCGGCCATGCTGGAATCCTGGAGTGCAGTGGCGCGATCTGGGCTCACTGCAACTCCACCTCCCGCATTCAAGCCATTCTCCTGCCTCAGCCTCCTGGATAGCTGGGATTACAGGAGCACAGCACTACACCTGGCTAATTTTTGTATTTTTAGTATTTCACTATGTTGGCCAGGGTGCTCTCAAACTCCTGACCTTAAGTGATCCACCCACGTCAGCCTCCCAAAGTGCTGGGATTACAGGCGTGAGCCACCTTCCCGGCTGGTGCCTCTCCTTTCTGTCCTGGTGCTCTCTCCCAGAGTTCCTGGTGACTCTTGGGAACTCAAGAATGTCTCCATGTCACCTGCACACATCCACAACACTCAGAGGAACAGGGAATCCCTGAACGCAATGTGACGGCTGTGCGGAGGGGGCTCCAGTTCCCCTTGCATCTGCTTCTCTTAGGCAGGCACCAGGAGGCTGTCTGAGTCTCTCTGCTATTCATTTTGAGCTGGCCATGATGGACCTGAAATGCTGTGGGGAAGTCATTCCAAGGAGAACATTAATCGTGTCACCTTAAGGCGGTCTAGCACATGAACAAGCAACCCTCCTGGCCTGGAGCAGCTGAGTTTTTGCACACGGGGAAAGGCAGGGCGGCCTGATGGGTGGTGGAGGCTCATGAATTAGGTCCTGTGGGGAAGAAGTTGTTTTCTCAGCCTCTCTGCTTGGATTATTGCTGTGTTCATTTTCACTGTCACACAATGTACATTCTGCCCCCAAAAGCAGGGCACAGACTGGCCTCACTATAACCTCTCCTCAACTCAGACTCTTGAAAAAAAGACACCTCTCCACACTGCAGCCTCCGAGCTTCCTTAAATCAAGCCACACCCTTGCTAGAACCCTTTAGGGACTTTCCATTGCTGCAGAATCAAGTCCATGTGGCCTTGTAGCAAGATAGTCAAGGTCCTTTCTGATCTAGTTCCTGCCCAGTCTCTGGATTCTATTCTAGCCACTCTCCACCTCAACTCCTGGGCTCTAGCACCTCTAATGCCCATACCCCCTTCTCTGGAGGCTTTTCTGACCTTGACTCCGTGCAGGTTAAATGAGTAGCATCCTCATCTGAGGTCCGATAGCACACCTCACATTTCAAAATGATGGAAATCACATACGATTTTCTTTTGTGTTGTGCATACTTGCCTCCCTGTTTGTGAGCCTTTGGAGGGCAGAAACTGAGTCCTGCCCTCCAAAGGACTGTGGACTTCAATACTGTGTCCCTAGCTTGATGTGTGGTTCAGGGCTCCAGGAACATTTGCTGCAAAAATGGAGCTGGATCATAAAGATATCAGTGATTGTGCTGGAACAGGAGGCTGCCTCCAGAGGTCCTTCAGGTGTGTAGGCCTGTCTGCCCTTGTGCTAAATGGCTCCAACCTGCCTGCATTAATCCTTTCTCTCTTCCTGTCACTTCCAGCTCTCCTCCTCCTTCCGTTTGAGATATCCAAGCTTCACGGAAGAACTGAAGTTTTCTAGAGAAAACAATATCCGTGATTGCTAAATAAATAAGCCACATTCATGGCCAATTCAGCAAAACCAGGTTTGGTGGGAATGACTTCATTCTTACCAGGATGTTGCTGGCCGCCTGGAAGTCCTTTAAAAGACAAAATAAAACACCCTTTTAAAGATAATTTTAGACTCACAGAAAAATTACAAAAATATTTTAGAAAGTTCATGCATACCCTTCACCCAGCTTCCCCTAATGTTCACAACTTACGGAACCACGGCACAATGGTCAAAACCAGGAAATTAACACTGGTACAATGCTATTATTGTACCTTATGCAAATTTCACCAGTTTCTCTCTAGTGTTCTTTTTCTGTTTCAGGATCTGATTCAGGATCCCACATTGCTCATAGCTGTTGTGTTTCCTCAGACTCTTCCAATTTGTGGCAGTTCCTGATTCTTTCCTTGCTCTCACGGCCTCTGATGAGTCGTGATCAGTTCTGCAGAAGCTTTCTGTTTCTAGTTCCTGGTTGGCTTCTGGGTGATTGAAGTTCCTGGAGGCCTTCCTGTAGGATGGGTTCGGAATGAGTGCTTCTTTTTCTTTCCTCCTCTCGTTCTCCTTTCTTCCCTTGGGATTCTCCAGAGGAAGAGTCAGTTAGAGAGGAATGCATGGTGAGGAGGTGATTAGTGTGTCTTGACCTTGGGTGTTCATCTCACTGTCAGAGTTCTGGCTCCCATCTGCAGTTGATTATGCAATTAGCCATGCATGTTGACCTCAGGATAGATGTCGACGCCTTCTTGCTCCTCCTTCACTGCCTACCTTTCTCCATTCCTCCCTCTCCCAAAGTCATCTCCTTTGGTTGCAGGTTAGAGGAGGCTTCAAGCCAGTTAGGCCTGGTGTGCACAATTCCTTGGAGTCATGTGCTCTGAAACATCTCTGGCTGGCCTGCTGGGGGACATGGGAAGTGGATTTGGGAAGGGGGTCTGTGTGCTGAGTCTTACGGCCCTGTTGCATGCGCTTATGGGGTCATGTGGCCCATGAGGTTAGGGACAAGTGCAAGGGACTGAGAGAGAAGTCAGCTGTGGTAAAGAAGGTCCATCAGCTGAGTCCCATCACATTCAGAAAGTCGTCCTCCAATGAGCCTGGGCCTTTCTGAGGGACAATGGAAGAAGAGGTGAGAACCAATTCAAATTAATTCATTAATTCAATCAAATATTAATTCATCATTAATTTGACTGCAACAAGCCCTGGTTGGTTGTTATTATTATTATTATTGTTTTTGTTTTTGCTATCATGATTTTGTTGTTGTTAGGTATGCGGAAATAGGATGAATCAGATGCAATCTGTGCCCTCAGGGTGCTCAGAGAGAGACAGACCACAGAGGATCTCAACCATGTGACAAGGGCTCTGTTGGAGGGATATGTTAAGTTTGTGGTAACAGGGAGAGGGAGTGACTTAGTTGTGACAGGGATGGGCAGTGGATGGGGCAGGTGGTGCTAAAGGATTTAGAAGGGTTAGGCAGGCAACTAGGGAGGGGACTGGTGCTCCAGGAAGAGGGAAGAGCATTTGCAAAGGCCTGGAGTGGAGAGGGCCTGTGGCTGCTTGGAAGAGCTGCAGACTCCCCACTGTCTCACTCATTTGTTCATTCATCCATCCACTTGCTCTGGGCCAGGCACTGTGCTGGGCACAGGAGCCACTAAGGTGAGGCCAACCTAGCTCTGCCTTAGGGTCTCAAAGTCAGAGCAGGGAGACAGACAATTATTACAAGAGCAGAAATATACATGGATGCCTTGCAGAGGAGGGAGGATGGTACTATGGTCTAAATGTCTCCCCAAATTCATTTGTTGGAACTTAATCCCCATTGTTGTGGCATTAAGAGGTAGGCCTTCTGGAAAGTGATTAACTCAAAAGAGCTCCGCCCTTATGAATGAATTAGTGCTTTATTGAAGGACTGGAAGGAACCAGCTTAGGCCCTTTTTGCATTTTTGCTTTCTGCCATGTGAGGATGCAGCAAGGAGGCCCTCACCAGACACTGAATGCTGTGCCTTGATCTTGTATTTCCCAGCCTCCAGAACTGTGAGGAATACATTTCTGTTGTTTATAAGTTACCCAGTCTATGTTTTGTTATAGCAGCACAAAAGGCCTAAGACAGATGGGCAGGGAAGTCTTCTTAGAGGAGATCTTCGAGGTTTGACTTGAGAAAGAGTTGGGCAAGTGAAGAAGCAGGGATGGCCACTCTTTACAGGGAGAATAGCATGTGTAAAGGCCCAGATCACTTGTTCATTCATTGGTCACTTGTTTATTCACTCACTCATTGTATTCATTTATTCAACAAGTAGGTAGTGAATGCCAGTTATGCAGTTAAGTGTCTATACTATGCACAGAGACTACAAAGTGAATAATTGGGGCGCTCTCAACCTAAGAGTGTTTCAGTCAGCTTAGGCTAAGTTATGTTGTGGTGACAAACAAACCCCAAATATTGGTAGCTTATGACAATGAAGGTTTATTTTTAGCTCATGTTATATGTTCATTGCTGGTGGCAGAGAGAAGAGAGATAGTAGAACCATACATTGGTTCTTAAAGTTTCTGCTCTGGGGTGGCATAAGTCTCTTCCACTTACATTTTATTTGACAGGATGAGTCACATGGCCAAGCTTGACGTCAGTGCATCAGGGATACCAATCCTCCCACAGAGAAGGGCAGTGAATATTTTGACCAATAACACACTCTACCATATGTCTGAGTAAAGGCTAATAACTCAGTCTGACTAGAATGTATGGCATGAGGGTGGCTACAAAAATAAAGAGATTAAGAAGTCAAGGAGAAGCTATATCATGTAGGGCCTTGGGTACCAGGCTAAAGAGTTTGGGTTCCATTGATTGTCAATGGAGAGCCACTGAAGATATGAAAAGTTCTGTTGAGTTTTGAGCAAGGGAGAGTAAGATCTTATTTATGCTTTAGAAAAATCATTTCAGTAGCTTCAGGAAAAGGCCTGGGGGTGGGGGGATTGAGGCTAGAAATAAGAAAACCAACTGAAAAGTTGTGGGAATACCATAGCAGAGTGAATGTTCAAACTAAGGTTGGAACAGTAGAGACGGAGAGGGCTTCTAGAGCTGTTAGGAACAGAATCAAGGGAATTTCATTAGTGCATTGTTCAACAGGTATTTTAGAAACAAAGAATGAATGAGACCAGGTGTGGTGGCTCATGCCTGTAATCCCAGCACTTTGGGAGACCAAGGCAGGTGGATCACTTGAGGCCAGGAGTTCGAGACTAGCCTGGCCAAACATGGTGAAACCCCGTCTCTATTAAAAATATAAAAATTAGCCAGTCATGGTGGTGCATGCCTGTAATTCCAGCTACTCAGGAGGCTGAGGCGCAAGAATCCCTTGAACCTGGGAGGTAGAGGCTGCAATGAGCCAAGATCACGCTACTGCACTCCAGCCTGGGTGATGGAGTGAGACTCTGTCTCAAAAAAAAAAAAAAAAAAAAGAATAAATGAATAAGTAACAGAGTGCCCCTGAACCTTGTACATCAATAAAGTGACCAATAAATTGATCCCTTATAAAATGAGACAGACCCTGATCAAATTTTTTTCATTATTTTCAAATTTTGTTGATGACTTTCAAAAGTTTACTTTTAATTTACATATGGTAATTTTTTTTTTGGAGTACAGTTTTATGATTTTGACAAATGCATGGACTTGTGTAACCACTACCACAATTAAGATATTCAACAGTTCCATCACCCTAAAAGTCTCTCTAATGCAGCTTCTCTTTGTTAGTCCAATCCTCCCTTCTCCCCAACTCTTGGAAACCCTGATATGTTCTCTGTTGCTACAGTTTTGCCTTTGCAGAATATTGTATAAATGGGATCACACAGTATGTAGTCTTTTGAGTCTAACTTCTTTCAAATGGCGTAATGCACTTGAGATTCACCCAAGTTGTTGCACGTATCAATGTTTCTTTCCTTTTTACTGCTCGATAATGTTTCATTTTATGGCCGTGCCAGAGCTGGTTTATTCACTTGTCTTAGTCCATTTGGGCTATATAACAAAATATCATAAACTGTGTGGTTTGTAAACAACAGAAATGTATTTATCTCAGTTCCAGGGGCTGGCAAATCTAAGATAAAGGCATCAGCAGATTTGGTAGATTGAGTGTCTGGTGAGGGTCCACTTATTGGTTCATAGACAGCACCTTCTAGCTATATCTGACATGGTGGATGGGGATCTTCTGGGGCCTCTTTTGTCAGGACACTGTGTTAGTCCATTCTTTTTTTTTTTTCTGAGGCGGAGTCTCACTCTGCCACCCAGGCTAGAGTGCAGTGGTGTGATCTCAGCTCACTGCAACCTCTGCTTCCTGGGTTCAAGCAATTCTCCTACCTCAGCCTACCGAGTAGCTGGGATTACAGGCGTGCACCACCATGCCTGCTAAGTTTTGTATTTTAGTAGAGATAGGGTCTCACCATGTTGGCCAGGCTGGTCTCGAACTCCTGGCCTCAAGTGATCCACCCACCTCCCAAACTGCTGGGATTACAGGCGTGAGCCACGGTGCTCGGCCTTTGTCCATTGTTGCATTGCTATAAAGAAATACTTGAGATTGAGTGATTTATAAAGAAAAGAGGTTTTATTGGCTCATAATTCTGCAGACTGTACAGGAAGCATGGTGCTGGCATCTCCTCGACTTCTGGGGAGACCTCAGGAAGCTTTTACTCATGGTGGAAGATAAAGCAGGAGAAGGCACATCACATGGCAAAATTGTGTGTGGGGGAATGCCACATACTTTTAAACAACCAGATCTCACATGAACTCAGAGTGAGAGCTCACTTATCACCAAGGGGATGTGCCAAGCCATTAATGAGGGATCCACCTCCATGACCAAACACCTCACACCAGGCCCCACTTCCAGCACTGGAGACTATATTTCAACATGAGATTTGGAAGAGTTACATATTCTAACCATATCAGGCACTGACCCCGTTCATGAGCGGTCTGACTTCATAATTTAATCCCACCCTAAAGTCCCCACTTCCAAATACCCATGCATTGGGGATTAGGTTTCAACTTACAAATTTTGGAAGGACAGAAACATTCAGACCATAGCACCCCTCACCAGTTGAGGGACATTTTGTTGTTTCTGGTTTTGGTGTTATAACTTTATAAGAAACTCCCAAACTGTTTTGTAAAGTGGTTTTACCATTTTGCATTCCCATTAGCAATGTATGAGTGCTCCAGTGGCTCTGCAGTTGGTATTGTCAGTTTTTTCCCCATTATAGTAGGTATGTAGTGGCATGTCATTGTGGTTTCAATGTGCATTTCCCTAATGAGTAATGATGCTGAGAATCTTATGCTTATTTGCCATCCATATATCTTCTTTATTTATGCTTATTTAACATCCATATAATCTTCTTTAGTGAAGTGTCTGTTCAAATATTTTGCCCATTTTTAACTTGGGTTGCTTATTTTCTTACTGTTGAGTTTGAGAGTACTTCCTATAGTCTGTATATCCTTTGTCAGGCATATGACAGTCCATGGCTTTTCTTTTTATTCTTATAATTTTAATTTTGCTCTTTTTAGAGCAAAAGTTTCTAGTTTTAATGAAATCCAACTTATAAATTTTTTCTTTTTATGAATTAAATTCTTGATGTCATCTCCAAGAACTCTGCCTAATTGTAGGTCACGAAGATTTTACCTATATTTTATTTTAAAAGTTTAAAAGTTTTTATGTTTTACATTTAGGTCTATGATTCTTTTTGAATTAATTTTTTGTATAAAATGAACATATAGGTCAAACATTTTTTTCCTGCATATGGATGTCTAATTGTTTCAGCATCATTTATTGAAAATTCTGTCCTTTCTCCATTGAATTATTTTTTCATCTTTGCCAAAATTCAATTGATCTTATTTGTGGATCTATTTCTGAACTCTTTATTATATTTCACATAGATATATAGACAGATAGATACATAGAATGTGTCTCTCCTTTTGCCAGTACCATACTGACTCAATGACTGTAGCTTTATAAGAAGCCTTGGAATCAGATAATGTGAATCCTTTAACTTTTTTCTCCTTTTCTCAAAGCTGTTTGGCTCTTCTACATTCTTTGGATTTTTATGTGAATGTTGGAATCAGCTTGTCAATTTATACAGCCAGTTAGGATTTTGATTGTGATTGGGTTGAATCTATAGATCAATTTGGATAGAATTTACATTTTAATAATTCTGAGACTTCCAATTCATGAACATGGTATATCTCTCCATTTATTTACACTTTCTTTGATTCCTTCATTAGTGTTTTGTAGTTTTCAGCATACAGGTCCTGTACTTACTTTGTTAGATGGTAACCAAGAATTTCATTTTTAAAAGTTGCATCTGTCAATTTTTAACACTTTGTCTCTCTTGATCCATCACTCATATATTTGCTAGTGAGTCTTCACTTACTGTAGAATGCTTATTATAAAGGGAATTTTTAAATCTTGCAAAAGACAAAGGGTTTCATAAAGTTGACAGGAGCATTATTGGAGAAATACTCAAATTTACAGAGCCAGTGACAAAGGAAGATCCAGATGAGTTGGGCAAATTAACAAAAAGAGTATCGACAAGGCAGATAAAAAATGACTTGAAAGAGGGAATGATTTAAATATCAAAGGATTATGAGAAGCCTTTGGGAAAACTAATGAGCCTGGAATATTTGTATAAAAATTCTCTTGTGTAAATCAAAGATAAAATACAAGTAAGCTACATTATGTTCCTGTATATTTATGTTGGGAAAATATCAACACTTGAATTATCCTTTCTTTATTTTAAGAGTTAGAAAATGGTTGCAGTAAAAATCAAAACTTTCTTATATAAAATATGAAAAATTTAGAATAATTTTTGGTTTTATTTTAAAGTCTCAATCAACCCTTACCTTCCAGTAATTATTAGAAAAATCAGGTCACTATTTTAAGTAGATTCATTTCAATTAGCCTTATAGTTCTTACTCCTCCAGCCAGTAGACAAACCCTGGGTTTATTAGCTGATCCAAATGGACACTCAAAAATATGCCAGGCCTTCAGCTTAAGGAATGGCCAGATGCGGAATCCCAGATTTGGTGAGCTGAGAATTCCCGTGTGATGGAAGAACTCTAAGATGACCCCAAATTATCCCCACCGCTGGTACTCCAGCCCTGTGTAATCCCCTCCACTTGAGTGTGGCAGGACTTGGGACTCATTTATAATGAATAGAATAGAAAAGGTGACCAAGGTGACAGGATGTCACTTCAGTGATTGCATTAGATAAGACTGCAATGTCCTCTTGCTAGTGGACTCTCTCTCTCGCAGGCTTTGATGAAGCAGGTGAGCATGTTGGGGAGGCCCTCAGTTCAACGGGCTGCAAGGACTGAATTCATTCAACTCTGTGGTCTTGGAAGTGGGTCCTTCTCTAGTCAAGGCTTGAGATAAGATTTTGTGGATGACACTTTGATTGTAGCTTTCAGAGGGGATCCTGAAGCAGAGAACCCAGCAATGTTATTCCTGGACGCCCAGCCCACAGAAACTATGAAGTGATAAATGCATATTTTTCTAAGCTGTGAAATTTGTTACAGAGCAGTGGATAAGGAATACACCCTGCTGCATTTAGCCATTTAGCCATTCTTACATAAACCCACCGTACATATGATTCATTTAGTTCCAGTATAAACTTCTCACTAAAGACCCTGTATTAGTCCGTTCTCACACTGCTATAAATAACTACTTGATGCTGGGTAATTTCTGAAGAAAAGAGGTTTAATTGCCTCACAGTTCCGCAGGCTGTGCAGGAAGCATGGCTGGGGAGGCCACAGGAAGCTTACAATCATGGCGGAAGGGTGAAGTGGAAGCAAGCACCTTCTTCACATGGCAGAGCGGGAGAGCAAGAGTGAAGGGGGAAGTGCTACACACATTTAAACAACCAGATCTCCTGAGAACTCACTCACTATCATGAGAATAGCAAGGGGGAAATCCACCTCCATGATCCAGTCGCCTCCTATCAGGTCCCTCCCCCAACACTGGGAATTACAATTCAACATGAGATTTGGGTGGGGACACAGAGCCAAACCATATCCAAACCCTATTAGACCCACACTTCTTTCCCTCCCTCCTTCCCTTCCTCCCTCCCTCCCTCCCTTCCTTCCTTCTTTCTTTTCTTCTGTTAGGAAAGATTATGAAAGACTTTCAAATAGGAAAAAAAAAAATTACTGGGTTTTTTGTCCGGTACACTTTTCCAGGTTATTGCCTTTCATCGTCTTTGAGCTATTTTACAACTCTGTAAGTTGAAGAAAACTTAGATTAATGCAAATTATTCTTGCCCATGGGAGTACAAATGATTATGTCCAATGGAATGCAGTCTATCTTTACCCTGCGGATAGACCAGTTTTATTTCTGTATGTAAGTTGATTTCAGCATTCCTTATTGGCTTTATTGTGGGATTCTCTGAATACTCCTTTCAGTGGGTTGTAACATTGGACAGGTTCTATCATAAACTAACGAGTTAAATAAAACCTTTGATACATATTCATTTTATATGAGTAAAGAGTTATGATTTTTACCTTAAAAAACGATCTTTTAACATTTTCTTCCTCCTTCCCTTCCCTCCTTCCTGTTAACATTGAATAATTACTATGTGCCAAATTTGGTTCTATTACCTTTTCAAGACTTATTTCTTTTGACTTTCACAAAAACTTAGAGTAGGCAGTATATTACCTTATTTTATTTACAAATGAGAAAATTGTGACTCAGGGAGGTTAAGAAACTAACTCTGCTTGTAGGAGAGCACTGACTCATCCAGGACTGCTGACTCTGAACCACCTGGCCTGGGACTGAGGAGTTTCCAGGACACAGGACTTTTAGTACTAAAACGACGAGAGTCCTGGGCAAGCCAGGATGAGCCTATCACCCTGCATAGCTCCAGAAAGCCCAGGAAATGGACTCACCATGTTTAGCTTCAGATGTCCTGTCTTATCTCCCAAGCCCTGCCCAGTACATGCTGCTGTTTTGCTTCAGGGCTGTTGTCACCAAGTTCTTAGTGCTGTGTCTGCAAATGCCCCGGATGACTTTCACTCTTCCCTATGCTTTGCAAAATATTGGCTGCTTTATGTAGTGCTCTAGGGAGGGCTGTTCTAGCTCCTGCCCAATGCCCTGTGTCTATAGGCCTTTCCCTGCTCAGCCAGCAAAAGCCAAAGGCAGAGTTTTGTTGCTTCCTTCCCTGTGAAGATTCACTTCCTGCCCAGAGTCTGATCTGAAAGCAAAAGACTCTTGTTCAGCACAGCTTCCTGCGTAACAACATTAAACATCCCCTTGGCAACCATTATACAGGAATATTATAAGATAACTGTGCTTTCTATGCCCTAGGCTACAAGACCACATTGCAAAGTTTTGTGAAGTCTCCTTAAGTGTTGGGGGATACACAGATTTCCTAAACATCCCAAATAACCTCTGGATGGGCTGAGAGAAATAGGCCCCAGCTGTTTCTCTTATCTTTGAGGAAGAGGAATGGTGGATATTTCTATGCACTGCAGAATCCTATGGAAGTCACTTGGCTGAAAAACCGGGTTTCCCTCATATCATAGACTGTAACTGCTCTGATCCAGAAAGTGGCTGGAAATTTGCTGTTAACTTCAAAGGTTAACAGGATTAGACTCCCACCGATGAAATTCAAAGAAATGCTTTCAGAAGTAAGCAAACAGACAAAATTAATCAACCCTTTAACAACAGATTTTCTGGATTCAAGGGTGATGACTTCAAAAACAATTCAGTTAATTCTTTTTTTTTTTTTGACAGTCTCACTCCGTCGCCCAGGCTGGAGAGCAGTGGTGCGATCTTGGCTCACTGCAACCTCTGCCTCTGAGGTTCAAGCGATTCTCCTGCCTCAGCCTCCTGAGTAGCTGGGATTATAGGCAGCTGCCACCATGCCTGGCTAATTTTTGTATTTTTAGTAGAGACAGGGTTTCGCTATGTTGGTCAGGCTGGTAATTCTTAAAAGTCTGTTGCATTAATAGTGAACTCAACTTTTTAAAAAAACAGAAAGTTTTAGTGTTAAAAAATGATATTTGGGGATAAATTTTGCTTATCAATTCACTGTTTTCCAGTGACAAAAAAGTGCTTAGAAATCAACATTAAGATAACTTTTTTTTTCTGATTATAAAAATAATATATACTACTTATAGGAAATTTGGAAAACACAGAATAGAGAAGAAAATAAAAATTTTTCATAATTTCATAACCTGAAGATGGATATCTACTAGAAAAAATTGAGATCTGACTGTAAATAATTCATTGGGTTTTGCTTTTTAGCCTTGACCTTGAATTTAGCTCAAGATCACCACGTCCCAACATGACTTTTAATGGTTGCCCGGTAGTGTTTTGTGGATTTGCCATAATTTACCTAACCAATCTCTTATTGTTGGACATTTACATTGTTTCGAATCTTTTGCTTGTAAGTAACACTGAATTTACTGAGGCAGATACACCCAGTGCATCTTAGGTCCCTAGGAGGTCCTTAGCAATCCCTAGAAGGGGGATTGCTGGGTGGTCTGAGGTTTTGATTGTGAACATCAGAGACTCTACCAGTCACCTTGAAGACAGTAGGATTTATTCGAAGGATTCTTGACCTGGGAGGCGCCTTGAAACCAGGGCGCTCAGGGACTGCAGCTCCGTTCCTGGCCCAGAGTCAACCTTCCAGGATTGGCTTGGCGAAAATAGGGCGGAGCCGAGCAGGAGGACGAGGCGTGGACACTGCGGCAGGGCCACCCGGTGCAGGGAGGGATGGTGTGGTGCACTGTGACCCTCACAAATCCAAAGATCCGGCGGCCAAGGTCAGCCGCTCTCGGAGAGCCGAGATTCTTGGTGCTGGCTGGGCTGCTGGAGACAGCGGGTACCCCGTTCCTTCGGGAAGGTGGGGGACTAGGTCCCTGGCTCTCTCTACCCCATCAGAGCCTGGTGCGACGGAGGAGCGTAGCGAGAGCCCAGGCAGGTTGTAGGGCCAGACCAGGTTCTCTGTCAAGGTCCAGAACCCCCAGAACCTGCGGTCCATTGATTGCCAGGATGCCCGGCCGCGGAGCTCGCAGACACCGGCCCTGGCTGAGCATTTATTGACACAGCGCGCCCCCTAGTGGTCATTTCCCATTACCAACCCAACAGCCGCGGACGATGCTCCTTGGTTCAGCCTCTAGCCCCCCAGGTCTGGGAAGTCTGTAGATTCGCATTGTCCTGGGACCCAGGAGGCAACGGTTGAGGGTGGTCTAGGGGAATGGGAGAGTGTCTAGGCCCAACTCTGTCCCTAACTTGCCTGTGTGGCTCTGGCCACATCTCATCCCCATCTGGGTCCCACCTTGGACATCTGTGAAATGAGGAAGGTCATGCTGGCTTCACAGGTTTGGCCTGGGGGAGGGGAAGGGCTCTGAGCCTCTGCTCCCCTTGCCCACTTTCGGTAGGCTTGGGACCCAGGGTTGGCTGGAGCAGGCATGTGCAGTGTGGTCAGAAGATTCCAGGCCACTGGGTTTGGGGTACCATAAAATGTACAAATTCAGAGGCAGGCCCTCCTCCACTATGAAGATCACTCTTCCTACCTTAGGGTAAACAGGTTCCAAGCAGAGGAGGTGACCAGGGTGGCCAAGAGCTCAGAGCCAGGCCCTCTTGAAGGTTGGAGCGACAGAGATTGTCTCATCTGGAGGTGTCTTGGGGATGGGGAGGCTTCTTGGAGAAGGAAGTAGTGAACAGATCTCATGGGCTCCAGGGATTGAACAACCGTGAGTTCAGGGAGCAGGTACTTCAGACAGGTGGGAAAACAGCTTAAAAACCAGCTGGAAGGGGTGGCATTGGCAGGAATGGCTGAGTAAGGAGCACTTCTCCCCGAGAAAAGCAATGAGAATACTGGCCAAAATTGTCAAAACCAACTTTTTCAGAACTCTGAAAACTAATTAAAAACTTGCAATAATCCAGGGTGTACCTATTTTTTTTTAAAACAGCTAAATATTGGTAAGAACAGTGAGCTTGATGGCATTGTCCTTTTTTTTTTTTTAATAGAGACTGGGTCTCACTATGTTGCCCAGGCTGGTCTCAAACTCCTATATTCAAGCAATCCTCCCTCCTCAGCCTCCTAAAGTGTTGGGATTACAGGCATGAGCCACCACACCTGGCAGAGCTTGATGGCATTTTAACTTGCCCTAGTCCCATCCCCTTCTCCCGAGACCTGTGGTAGCCTTGAAACCCAGTGGATTCATAATCATGGTGAAAACCAGCAGTCTAGAGACAAACAGATCAGAACAGGGTTGGAGCTTCTGCAAAGTCCAATTCCCAGATAACTGTCATTATTCAACTTGTCTGGTAGTTCCCTGGAAGAAACTCCACTTGCAAGGCTGTGTTCTTTTGACCTGACTTGATACCCATTCAATACACACAGCCTTTTCTCTGAGGTTATTTGTTGAAAGTAATCAGTGGCAATTGTTTAACGTTGCAGCTGCCTGAGGCAGTGATAGTGGCTGGGGCAAATAAGAAGCTAAAAAAGATTTTAAAAGGAAAAGTTAAGGAATGAGCTGTCCATAGAGGCTTTGAAAAGCTTTGGCATATTCCTAGGAATCTATAAATGTCCCCTTTTCTGTAAGTTCCTCTGATGATGGTGGTGGTGGTGTGTGTGTGCTTGTGTGTGTGTATGTGTATTTGTGTGTGCATGTGCATGCCTGTATGCATGTTTATATGTTTGTGCATGTGTGTGTGTTTCACAAGTGCTCTCTCAGCTCTAAAAATGGAAGAATCTCAAAGGTTTTCTTTCTCTTTTTTTGAGACAGGATCTCACTCTGTCACCCAGGCTGGAGTGTAGTGGTGCGTTCAGAGCTCACTGCAGCCTTGATCTCCCAGGCTGAAGTGATTCTCCTATCTCAGCCTCCCAAGTAGCTGGGACCACAGGTGCCTGCCACCATGCCTGGCTAATTAATTTTTTTTTGGTAGAGATAGGGTCTCCCTATGTTGCCCAGGCTAAAGATTTTTCTTTATTTAGGTATAAAAAAATACAGTACTTGTCATGCACCAGTTTGGCCAATATATAGACATTATCTGTAGAGCAATTACTACAATTATAGAAAATAGAAGGTTACAGGAATTGTTTTTCCAACTAAAAAACCTGAATTAATATTGTTAACCTAAATAACAACCTGCTTATTATGCAAAAACCCTTATTCTATATGTCTGTGAGAGCTAGAAACTTGTAAGTATCATTAGTAAAAAAATCATTATAAGAAGCTAGTTATTGGTTAAAACAAACAAGTCAGTGTTATCTACAATCCCTTGCAGTGTGAGGGGCTTTGCCCAGAGTGGGAACCTCGGTCCATGACGAAGGGTGAGCTTGGTGTCTCCTTCCCTGCCCCTCTCTGTTGACTGATGCCACTTCTCCAAGGTGTGTTTGCAGTGAAACGTTCCAGTGGAAGATGCATGGGTGACCACAGAGGTTGGGCAGGGCAGGGCCTTGCCTTCTGCAAGGTGTGCCTGAGGGTCAGTTCCCTGAGATGTGACAACAGCGAGGTGTAAAGACACATGGCTCGGCTCCGTCATGCAGTCATGAGTGGGTTTGGACATTGTCCAGTTTTGCTAAAGGCCACATCTTGGGTTCCTCTAAACCAAGGGATAAGGAGTAGACAGAGAAAAGAAAGAGAGCATGGATTGGCGACCAGGTGAGGCAGAGAAGGGGAGACGTCTTCTGCTCCGGGAACATCTGCCCCTTCTCAGGCAAAACTGGAGGGGTGCTGAGGAGTCTCAAAGCAAGGTCTCAGCTCTTCCAGGCCTTCTCCAGAGGGGGTGGGTGTGGAGGTGGCCCTCACCCTGTGATCTGTCACTCCTGATCTCCACTGCCCCTCCAGAATGAATTCACAGTTGCTTCAAAGTTTAATAAGCCATTTCCCTGAATGTGGTTCAGTGCTCAGTACAGCACAGTTACTGGCATGGCAGGCCAGTGAGGTCACTTCAGGACCCAAGGTCAGGAGCTGCCATGGGGCCCCTTCCTCCCTCTTGACAGGCCTGGAGAGGGGTTGGGGAGTGGTGGGGCACTTGGAGTGGAGTATGGAGTTGGAGCAGGGCTAGGGCTCCCGAGAGAGGGCATGATGGTCAGTCTCCCTTGGGAATGGGCTGCAGAGAATCCTGCCCCACAAGTCAAGCTGTCCAGGCCTTTGCCTCCAGGCAGATAGGCACCAGGACCTCACCAGCCTTACCAGGGCGTTCAGGGACCCTAGAAAAAGACCCTGCAGCAGTTAAACACAGTCTGTTTTGCTTTGCAGCCTTGGGGAGCCAGAGGAAGTCTTTGAGTTAGACGGCGGTCTGTGGGTGACAGGGTTATGTGGATGTCTGAGCCCAGACAGAACACCAGCCTGGATTTGCCAGCATTTGAGAATAGTCATCACTGACATATATTCCTGGATATTTCAGGAACCTGGAGTTTGCTATCCCAAGGCTGATGAGGTCTCTGGGACCCACGAGGAAGGGGTGCTGGGCTGGGGAGTCACTGCCATTTTTGGAGGCTGTGGTGCCTGGCGTCTGACTGGCCTGGGCTGCAGGGGGTTTGGGTCCCCAGGCCCAGAGTGACCTCGGCCGCCTAATACAGCAGCTCCTCCCG
Organism: Homo sapiens; assembly: GCF_000001405.40. Taxonomy (NCBI): domain Eukaryota; kingdom Metazoa; phylum Chordata; class Mammalia; order Primates; family Hominidae; genus Homo; species Homo sapiens. Next base: position 66,403,148 of record NC_000016.10, on the reverse strand, counting down.
GGGGTCCGAGCCGTACAGCTCAGCCAGCATCTTAAACCTGGGTCCCCAGTCGTTAAGGAAGTCGTAATCCACGTCAGAGTCGGATGAGTCGGTGCCCAGGGAGCTGAGGGACTCGGCTATGGACTCGGAGCCCTCGTAGCCGTAGATGTGCAGCGTGTCGTAGGGGGGGCCGTCGCCGTCGTGGTCCGCCTCGTCCTTCTTCACCTCGATCATGGCTGCCATCTCCCCGGGCCCTCCGTGTGCCCCAGGCGCGTGCCTCGGTGGCTTCTGCACCTGCGCATAGAGGGAAGGCCGGGCGTCCAGCGCGGGCCGCGGGGGCTTGGCCCCGCCGCGGCGCACCGAGTTGAGCACCGACACATCGTAGCTGGTGGTGTCCATCTCGCCGCCGCCCTCCTCGTCGTAGGTGACCAGCTGCTCGTGGATCTCCGGCACGCTCTTGCCGTGCGCGCGGGCCTGCTTCCGGAGCCGCCGCCGCAGGAAGATGAGCAGGGTGATCACTGCAGCCAGGGAGCCGAGCAGCAGAGTCAGACAAGGCTGGGGGCCTGGGCGGCCCCCCATGCCCCCATCCCCACTGCCCCCTGCAACCCCACCCCCACGCCCTCCCAGCATGCCCATCCCTTTGGCCCCCCCTTCCCCTGCAACCCCATCCTTTTGGCCCCCCTTCCCCTGCAACCCCATCCCCGCCGTTCCCCCATACCCCCATCCCCGCCATCCCCCTACACCCCACACCCCGTCCCTGCCGCTCCCCCGCATACTCATCCCCACCTCGCCCGACACTCCCACCGCTGCCGTTCCCCCACACCCAGGGGCAGGTGCGGATGCTCAGCCTGTGGGAATCTCTGAGGGGTGTGGCTATGTGAGGGTCTTGGATCCCTAAGGAGGGGTAGACCTTGAAGTGCAGAGAGCTTCTAAAATTAGGCTCAGGCCTTCTAGCTTTGAGTTACTGAACAAACTACTATATACATAAGTAAAGCTGGGATGCCCTGGAAGGCAGCCCTGCCCCCCAGCCTCAGTTTCCTTGTCTGTAAAATGGAAATGATGACCTCCCTGCTCTGTTTATATTTGGGAGGATGGTTGTGAGGTCAAATGCAATTCTATTTGTGGTGGGGATGCCATCATCATCATTAATTATTAATAAAGGAGAAATCTCTGCTGGAGAAGTCCCAGAAGTCGGGCATACCGAGGCCACTCTCAGGAGGGCTACAGGCAGGAGAGGCCTGGAATCTGTATTGCAGGTGCCCCGTGGCTGTATCCAGGCCTTGCCGTGAGTGCCAGGGTGATCTCTAATCACCTGAGGGCTTCCTCTGGAGGATCAGCCCCTGCTGCGTCTCATGGCGAGTGAAATGCAGGATACAGTACATCACTGTGCTCCCCCGGTGGGATGATGCTGGGGGGTGGCCCCACGCTGCCTCCCGGCAACCCTATGGGAGGAGGCTCCAGTTCCTCACGATGGGAACATTCCACCTTCGCTGGCCTCCTCCCTTCCCAGCTTCACTCCCCCTCTGCCTTAGGAGGTATCCAGGGAAATAAACCACCTCCCAAATAAACCACTTCCACCCCAATCCTCATCCCAGGGCTGCTCCCTGGGAAATCCAAACTAAGGCCTACAATGCTCCTAAAATTTCTGAGGCCCAAACAAGAAAAAAAATATGTATCAAGGCCGGAGGAATTCTATAAAAAGAAAGAAAGCACGTGGAGACAATCTAAACTAGAAGTTTTTAAACTTTCCATTTTAGAACTGGATCCTTTTTCCTTTTTCAAAAATAGGTTTTATGTAAATACATGCCCAGAACAATGCCTGGCACTCAGTAAATGCTGAAAATATCTAAGTGGAAGGAGTGACTGTTATGTATAAGTTATTTTAAAGTGATACTGGCCTGATGCGTGGGGGAGGAGTCCTGAGTCCCACCCCCTCCTCCTCCCTGGCTCATCCCCCACCGTGAGCACCCAGGTGGTTGGAGCTCACATCCTGCATCCTGCACATGAACTGGCTAAGGGCTGCATTGCAGATTGGAGGCAGGGTTGGGCCTGAACCTCTGGCCTCTACTTTTCCTGTGAAGCCTCCCCGCCTCCCAACACCTTCCATCCCCTTCCACCCACTGTGTCTTCTCCCCACCCTGCCCAGCACTGACCTGTGATGGTGAGGATGCAGAGTAAGATGGCTACCACTGCCTGGATGCTCACGCCCACCTGGGCGGCCATATCCTCGCAGAAGGTGAACTCGCCCTGCTCGTTGCACTTGCACACGGCCACGGTCAGCGTGCTGGTGCCCGTGCGACTTGGCATCCCATTGTCTGAGATGACCACGGGTAGGAAGTGGACCTTGGTATGCTCCCGGTCAAACTGCCCATACTTGACTGTGATGTTGGCCGTGTTATCTGGAAACACCAAGGCCTCGGAGTCAGGCTTTGCCATCTGCACAGATGGGGAAACCTGGCTCCTCCAGGAAGCCCTCCCTGACTGCACCAGCCTGCGTGCTCCCTGGGCTGCTTTTCTGCCCTTTGCACCCAGCGCCTCTTGTTTCAGCCATCTGAGTGCAGGTCTGTTCCGCCACAGAGGGGATATTTTGGGGCAGCTGCTTTGACCCAATCTCCAAGGATGCCTTGGTGAAAGAAGGTCAAATCCTTTGCTTTCTGTATTTGTGGGCAACTGATGCCTCTCCCCTTCCTCTTCCCTAACCCCACTCCAGTAACAGGAGGTTTTCTCTTTCAGCTCAATTAATTAATGCTCCGTTTCAAGCTTTGACAAGCAGCGGGGAAAAATAAAGTTTTAAAAAGTCTTTTAGCATTAGGCTAATTTCTAAGGCAGCTTCTGCTCTCTCTGAAAATCCATTGTTACATTGTTGAAAACAGTAAAAACAATGGACATGTCCCTTGGGGCACAGAGAAAATGATTACATATAGAATTGCGGGTTTCCCAGGCAGTTTGGAACTGGGAAATGCTTTTGTCCAAATATTGGCCCCGCCCACCTTCCCAGATCCAATCAGTGGTTTCCTGTACCCAAGAATCCCCCAGGGAGCTTTTAAAACATGCTGATTTTCAGACCCCTATGCTCACACACACTTCTTATTCAGTGGTTCTGGGCAGAGGCCAGATAATCTGCCTTTTGCAGGGTCCCAGGAGGTTGTAATGTCAACGATCAGAGAAGGATCCAGGAACTCCCTACTCCAGGATTTACTTAGCTACACAGGCTCCACACACTGGATTGAAAAACCCAGGAATCCATCTTTTCGATTTTGAATGAAAGCCAATTATATTTCATTATTCATAATTACATTTCAGCATTAAGTCTATTATATTTCAAAATAAACTATATGTCATTGACACTTATGGGAGAAACTAGAGATTTTGACATGCAGGATGTTCATGATATAAGTGAATTTGACACCAACAGACTTGCCTCCTATTGTATATGGGTGTCTTTGGGGTGGCACTGAATCTTTCTACTGTATTGCAGATCCCCACTCTGAGATGGGACTGAGGTGGACATTGGGGAGGGGGTGACATTTTTGCCACATTATTTACTTCTAATGACAACTGGGTGTTGAATGGTCTGTCATTGACTGTCAACACATCAGGGCCACCTTCTCCATCCCACAGGAGTCTCCTTAAGGACTGGTCTGTGGTTGATCCCTCAAGTCTGCCTCCAACTTTCAGGGACCCCACTCCCCAGTCTTCCTTAAATGTAGTAATGGGCTGCTGCAATACAGCCATCCTCATCCACCATAGTTTTGCCCATTAGGGACAGGCAGGAATTCCATCCCATGCTAGGTGAAGGATCACTCTATTTAAACCCAAGGGGAATTTTCTCTATTTTTTTGAGGAAATTTCAGAGGCCATGGAAGCTTGCCTACTTGTGGCTGGAATGAAGTCAACTCAGCATCATCACTTAAGTCAGCACCTACTCCTCAGAAGCTCTGATTGGCTGCTAATGCCATCACACGGGCCACCCTGCTAATCGTGAGTAATCGTTGTAGCTGAATTAAAACAAAGCTCACTGGATCCTTGGGATTTAGGATTTCACATTTCCAGTTTTGACTCTTTGGGAATGACCTCAAAGTTCCATGTTTAATGTGCAGTTTTGCTGACCCATAGAGCCTCCAGTATGGGAGGGGACTCCTTGGCTAGTTCTTGAACTGAGCTGACTGCCTGCATCCTCACATCTGTTCTGTACTCCTCGCTGGCTCCTTGCAGGCGACGTGGACTTGGGAGTTTGGATGGAGTGTCTCTGACCATTGCATAGACCAATTGTACAATGTATGTGGCAGAAATTGTACAAAATATCTAATGATTTGAAAATCCCAGTGGGAGCCTGCCCTCAATTTGTTGGCCTGGTCTTTGACCTTGGTGCCTCAAGACTCAAATAACCTCACCCCGACCCTGTTAGAGCCAACTGACTGCATTTGTTCTTTTTTTGGAGACGGGGTCTCGCTCTGTCGCCCGGGCTGGAGTGCAGTGATGTGATCATAGCTCACTGCAGCCTCAAACTCCTGGGCTCAAGCGATCTTCCTGCCTCAGCCTCCTGAGTAGCTGAGACTACAGGTGTGGGTCATCACGCCCAGCTGAACTGATTACTTTGATGCCTACCGTGATTATCCGTGAGGGTAAAGTTGTTCTCAGTATTCAAGATGAATTTGAACTTCACGTTTCGTGGTGTTATGTCCTTGTCTATTGCGGAGATCTGCAGGACCAGCTGGAGTGTGGAAGACAGGAGATGGTCAGTGATGGTGGTGGGGTGGTGGGGTGGTCTGAGGTTTAGCGATGGAGCCTTTGGGTTTAAGTCCTGACCATGGCTGTTTCCCACCTGCAACACTCACCTATTTAGTTCTTCATAAAGCCATTCTTTCTACTTCCCTGCCCCGCCAATCTACTCCCCATATATTCCCTCTGAGCCTCAGTTTCTCCATCTGTAAAATGGGCATAATGTTATTTTCCTCAAGGCTATTGTACAGGGGAACTCCTGCTGACTCTGTTGAGCAGTTCTGCCCCCCAGCCTGCCCCAGGGTGGTGCTGCCTTCCCCTCCCACCTGAACCAGACTCACCTGGCCATGGACAGCGTTCTCACACACTTTGGGCTGGTAGGGCTTGGCAAACTCCGGGGCATTGTCATTCTCATCCAAAACTTCAATGTGGACTTGCACAATGGATTCTTTTCCTGTGGGGGTTCCTGCAGGGGAGAAGACTGTCACCATTATGGGCTCAGCTGATGCTGGCCTTGGGCGGTGGAAGATGTGTGGAAGGAGGGCTGCCCTATGGAGGCCACTTTTTGCAGGAGGAGGCTGTGGAACAGAGGCCCAGGATGGTGTTCTGGATAAAAGGAGTTTGGTGGGGGGAGGTGTTAAATCTCATCCATAAGGTTTACTGAGGTATTACTTTGATTATGAGAATCAAAAAGGTAAACCACCTAAGTGCATTAAAAAAATTGTAATTAAATTCCTAAAATTAAAAATTTAATTATTTGATTAAATACATAAAACATAATAAATTAATCATAAAAGAATTGAAAAGGTAAACAACCTAAGTGAGATTGGGTCAGTAAACTAGGCTACCGGAAAAGACTGAAATGGATGGCCACTGACAATGCCTATGTCACTTACATCTTAAACATATAATTAAAAAAAATTTTAAGGCCAGGTGCTGTGGCTCACCCCTGTAATTTCATACTTTGAAAGGCCTAGAAGGGAGGATTGCTTGGGGCCCAGAGTTGGAGACAAGCCTGGGAAACATGGTGAGACCCCATCTCTACAAAAAAAATTAAGACATTTGCTGGGCAATGTGGTGCACGCCTGTAGTCCCAGCTGCTCAGGAGGCTGAGGTGGGAGGATCATTTGAACTCAGGAATTAGAGGCTGCAGTGAGCTGTGATCGTGCCACTGCACTTCATCCTGGACAACAGAGTGAGACCCTGTTTCTCTCTTAAAAAAAAAATTAGTACCATGAGAAAGTGGTTCTGGAATAAGGTTAAGTAAAGGTTAAGTAAAAATGTGGAATATAATATCTTACACAAACATTACAATCTCATGTAAGTATAAAAATATGTATAAAAATAAAAATACATGAATGTGCTAATAGTAACTGTCTCTGCATGGTGGCATTGGTGGGAGGAGTATTTTCTTCTCATTTTCTGTATTTTCCGTATTTTAAACCATTTAAATGTAAAGAGTCTATGAATGGGATTATGTGGAGGAGAAAGAAGCAAAGACTGATCTGGCCAAACATGCAGGAGTCCATTACAGTTTGGGGCAGCAGCTGTGTTGGCAGAAGTGAGTCTGGGTGGGCCCGGCAGGCGCCAGGGATCCTTGGCCTAGCGGGCTCCTGGGTAAAGTGGGAGTATTAATAGTTCTCCTGGAGGGTGATTGTGATTTTCTAATATAGATAGAGGATGCAAAACTCCAACTCTTGCCCCTCCCTCTGGCAAAAATTACACAATTTCTAGAGAAACTCACAATCTCAAAATTGGAAGCTGCTTCACATTTTGAATTCTACCTATTAACTGGTGCATAAACACCCTCTGAAGGAACATTTCCCAAACAGCCATGATAACTAAGAATCATGGGACCCTTGTTAAATGCACATCTCTGGCTCACTGGACCAGAACCTGCAGGGTGGAGTAGAGCTTTATGCTTAATAGGTGACTTGGGTGATTCTCGTCACAGAGACATCTGCACAGCCTGTTTCATGACAGTGGTTTTCAAACTGTGACATGCATGAGATTCCGATTCAGTGTGGGGGTGAGGCCCGAGATGCAACAAGGTCTCAGGGGATGTTGATACTGCTGGGTTCAAGGACCACACTTGGGCATGGGAGCTCTATAGCATCCCAACCAGCGGGTGCTTCAGCAGGCACTTCTAATACGTCTAGAGACCCCAAATTATTGATTATGCCAGTTTTGGAAGAATGAGGGAAAAGGAAAAGAATCCAGGTGCCCTGGCAGATGTGGCCACTCACCAGTGGAATCCAGTTCTTTGGCCTCCACAGTCAGGTTATACCAGGGGTAGACTTCTCTGTCCAGTTCTTTCTCATTGTAAATGTCCCCCTTTTTTGTGACTCGGAAGAACTGGCCCTTGTCACTGGTCCTGCGGATGGAGTATCTGCCCAGGGGAGAGAGTTTCATGGCTTTCCATTGTTCTTTGCTGAGTCTACACTCCTCAGCATGATGGACAAGGCCCTTCTGCATCTGTCCCCTGCATCCCACTCCATGCCCCTCTCTCACTGCTCATTGCACTCTGCCACTCAGACAAGAGTGGACCTACACAGAGGGATTCAGGATAGCAAGATAATGTCTTTGATCTTAGTTACATTGCCATCACTGGACTGGAGGTGGTACCTGAGACCATCAGATGCACTTTCAGAGCTGAACAGGTGACATCACACCATAGCTGGGACTTGTTTTAGTGATTAATGAAAAGATCATTGGGCAAGAGCCAGGAAGGAATACAAAAAGAGCTGGAAGAGATAAGAAGTAATTACAAAGAAATTAACTTTGTGAAATAAAAAACTTAAAAAGTTCTTTCAGAAATCAGGAAAAATCTATGGAAAGATAAATATATATGTTTTGTGTATATAGGAATAATAGTTGCTATTAATGAGGAAAATCCCAGAACAAACAGAACAGAAGAAATAACAAAAAAAAAAAAAAAAAAAAAGAAAAGAAAAGTTTCCTGATCTGAAGAAAGGCTTGAGTCTACACATTATAAGATGTCATTGACATCAGGCATCATTGAAAAAAACCCCAATACTTAGGCAAATCCTGACGACACTTACGAATTTCAAGGCTGTGTGAAGAAACTGAAAAGAGTCCAGACAGAAAGAAATAATTTCCTTATGAGGAAAGAAAAATCAGATTTGCCTCAGATGCCCCCACAAAATTAAATACTAGAATACATTGATAGTATTTTTGAAGGGAAGTGTTTATAATCTGAGGATTATACGAATACATCTAGGTGTTATTAGAAGGCAAGGTTGGGCATGGTGGCTCACATCTGTAATTTGAGTGCTTTGGGAGAGGCTGAAGCTGGAGGTTTGCTTGAGGCCAGGAGTTCAAGACCAGCCCAGCCCAGGTGACAGAGTGAGACCCTGTCTCACCAAAAAAAAAAAAAAAAAAAAAAAAAAAAAAAAAAAAAAAAAAAAAGATTAGCCTGGTGTGGTGGTGTGTGCCTGTAGTCCCAGATACTCAGAGGCTGAGGTGGGAGGGTTGCTTCAGCCTAGATGTTCAAGGCTGTAGTGAGCTATGGTTGTGCCACTGCACTCTAGCCTGGGTGACAGAGGAAGAACCTGTCCCCCCCACCCCCCAAAAAAGGCAAAGAACTAAGATATTTGTGTCCTGAATTTTTTTTTGAAAACTTACTGTATCTAACTAAACATCTCAATATAAAGTAAAAACCTGGCATGGGAAGAATTAAAACAAAACTATTGATTTTTTTTATCATACATAGAAAAGCAATGGGTGTGTGTATGTCTATAATAGTTTTAACTAGAAAATATAGGTCCAAGAAAACATTTTAAATTTTGCAGATAGAAGTAAATCTCACTGGTAGAAATAAAAATGGATGCACCTCATCCAAATATCTAGGAGAAAAAAAAAATAAAGAAACATAGACTGTATAGCAAAGATGAGGAAAAAGAAAAAAGCCATTAAATTTGATAAATGAGAAATGTAAAACAAGATAAAAGAAGGAACATCAAACATATCAATTATGATGAAAAATGTAAATAGGTTAAACACAAAGCATTTCAGTTTAGATTAAAAAGCAAAGCCAAATGCATTCTTGTTTTCAAGAGACAACTTAATGCCAAATGACCTGGAAAAATTAAAAGTAAAGGTTGTAAAATTTGCATTAGGCGTATATGAATAACATGAAAACAGGACTAACAAATGTAACATCAGGAAACAGAATTAAAGGCAAAATATTTAAGCAGAACAAATTGGCTAATTACATTTGGATGAAAGTTACAAACCATAATGAAGGTAAAATAGTTGCAAACCTTTGTTAACTGAATAGAAAAATTTAAATACATAAAGTCAAAACTTAGATATTCTAGGAAGAAGTGGACACAAATACAATTGTATCACATCACAGAACAAGCTAAAGCAAAACAAAAAAAACACCCTATGACTTATAAATGAAAATAAAGAAATCAAGTCAATCTCTTAAATAAACCCTTGGATCAAAGGAGAAACAAAAATTATAATTACAGGCTATTTAGAAAAGAATGGCAATGAAGAGTAGTCCCAAAACTTAGGATATGAGGCCAAAATGGAAGAACATATTTTGTCCTTAATAAGAAGACTTAATACCCTTGAAACATTAGCTATACCAAAATTAATATATAAACACTAGAATTCTAATGTTTAAAAAACCTGGATACAAAATTTTAAATTTCACAAAAGAAAAAATGAGAGTTGACAAAAAATTATATCAAATAAAAAAGCAACATGGGAAGGACTTTTATGTATATCTAAGATCTAGTGTAAAGCTATATGGTTTGGATCTGTGTCCCCACCGAATCTCATGTTGAAATGTAATCCCCAGTGTTGGAGGTGGGCCCTGGTGGGAGGTGGATAGACCATGGGACAGAGTTCTCATGAATGGGTTAGCTCCATCCCCTAGGTTCTGTTCTCAAGCTAGTGAGTTATCATGAGACCAGGTTGTTGAAAAGTGTGTAACAACTCCCTTCCCACTCCTGTTCTGGCCGTGTAAGACGTGCCTGCTTCCCCAGGACTGTAAGTTTTCTGAGGCCTCCCCAGAAGGAGAAGCCACTATACTTCCTGTTAAACCTCTTTTCTTTATAAATTACCCAGTCTTAACTATTTCTTTATAGGAGAATGGACTTATACAAGCTAGTAGAATAAAACAGAATAGCTTTGCTATAGAATGATGGATAGGACAGAGAATTAGAAGTAGATACAGGTATATACAGAAAACTTAGTATATAATGAAGGTGGGAAAACGATGACTTATTATTATAATATTTAGTAAATGGTGCTGGCAAAATCAGCTATGCATCTACAATAAAATAAGATTGAATTGAATTTATACTTACTATTGCATATTATATGGCTCTAAAAAGTATCTGTTGGAACTATATCATTTTTTTCTAAAGATTGTAAAAGAGAAATTTAGTTAAGATAGAAGAGCAAATATCGATGAAACCAGCATGGCATGATCCAAAAAAATTTTAAAACAATCAAACATCAAAAGCAAACAGACAACAACAAACCCACCATAAATGCATCCACATGTTTGTGTGGTCACGAAAAGAAAGGAGCAATAGGACCAGGTTAGGCCACGAACATGAGTTATCTGAGAGTGGGGGTTATCAGTGTTTTCTTGGTAGATCTCTGTGTTGTTTCACTGTATAAAATGAACACTTCTTACTTTTGTGGTTTGGGGAAGATAGATTCAAGAATACAGTTTTAGTGAAGGGGCCTCTGGTGTGTCGTCTGATTGGTTGCTTTCTTGACTGTCAGATCTTACCACATAGGACTGGTGAGAGCTGTGGTGCAGAGAATAAGCCTTCAAGGCCGGACAGAGGACAAGTAGCTCTGGATGCCCAGGACCATGCTAGGTGGGGGAGTCCAGGCAGGTCAAGATGCCAGGCTGCCAAGTGCAAGAGCTTGGGCTTCTGGTCTTGCCTCTGTCACTTTCCCTGTAAGTGCTAGGAGAAGCCAGTTCCCCTCTCTGAGTCCTGGCCTCAGACCAGCAGGCATAGGAACATCCAGGCCGGATTGTCCTTATCATTCTCATCGACACACGCCCCCTTACCCAATGCTATGCCTAGCCGCATCAGGGTCCATGGCCAGCACTGTGCCAATCAGAGGCTTCTTCTGGTTTTCCTTCAGCTGGAAGTGGTAGAAAGGCTGCTGGAAAATGGGGGGCTCGTCCACATCTGTGATGTTGATAATGACCTGGGCTCTGTTTCCCGCGGGAGGGCTCATGTATCGGAGGTCGATGGTGGGGTCTGTGGCCTCGACGATGAAGCTGTATTGCTGGATGTATTCATAATCCAGAGGCTGCGTAAGGAAAAAGGATGGTGAGTGCCTGCTCTGGGCCAAGCATGTGTGTGGCACATGATCTGCACAGCAACTATGCAAGGTAGTACCAGGATGACACCCATTTTATAGATGAGGGGCCCATGGCCTCGACAAGTGATATTTCTGAGGTCATCAAGACAGCGGCTGGGCCTGGTGTCTGTCTTCAGCTGCTCCCCATTTCATCTCAGCAGCCTCATGGCCACACCCACAACCCTGGCTGTGTGCCTGGCCCTATTTCCAGCGTTTGGGACATAGAATGGATCAACTATGGTCCTGCTCTTAAGAGCGTCACTAGTGGTTCTACCCACAGGTCCTTAAGGACAGGCTTTTTCTTTGTTCTTGAGACAGAATATTGCTCTTGGTACCCAGATTGGAGTGCAATGGCACGACCTCCGCTCACTACAACTTCCACCTCCCAGGTTCAAGCGATTCTCCTGCCTCAGCCTTCCAAGTAGCTGGGATTACAGGCACCTGCCACCACGCCCAGCTAATTTTGGTATTTTTAGTAGAGACGGGGTTTCACCATATTGGCCAGGCTGGTCTCAAACTCCTGACCTCAGGTGATCCACCTGCCTCGGCCTCACAAAGTGCTGGGATTAGAGGCGTGAACCACCGGGCCCGGCCGGACATGCTTTTTCTTTATGCCTTTGCTCAAGATCCTTCTCCTGCCCTTGCCTGCCTAGAAAACTCCTACTCATCCCTCAGGAAGCCAAGCAGAAGGTAATCAGATGCTCTCTCAGAAACCCCTCCTAGCAGAGGTAATTGCTCCCTGTTCAGAGCTGCTGTGTATCACTTACACCTGGCTGTACTTTTTTTGTTCATGCATATGTCTTCCCCATTCGCTGAGACCTTTGCTGACACTGGAGGCTGTGTCTGCCTCTCCTTGGTGTTTCCAAGCCCCAGCATGGGGCTGGTTCAGAGAAGGACTCAGGCCCAGGACTTGCAATCCTCTGCATGGCCATTCCAGAGGCATTTTTTATGCCCCTCACAGGACCTCTCCCTCCTCTTCCAGATTCAGTTAATCTGGCTTCTCTGGCTGTCAGCAGCATCCAGTGTCAGTGGCCATCCATGTCACCACAATTACTCACTGTTTTCTTCATGCTGATGGATTTCTACTGGCCAGGACACATGGCAGGCCAGAAAGTGCCAGAGAGGTAATAACTCCAGGGGCAGCCCCCAGTCAACACCACGGACAGCGGGTGTATAAATACCCCAGCTCCTTCACCCTCAGCTTCTCCAACTCTGGGATGTGTTCCACACTTACCCCGCAGTGGGTCATTGCTCCTGGGGCTTCCTGGGATCACCTCCCAGATAAACAATTTACACCCAGTCATGGCCTTAAGATTTGCTTCCCAAGTAACTCGGCCTAAGACACTGGATCACAGTCTCCATGAACACATGACCACCTTGGAGCTTTGATGGTCCTTTGATGGTCTCTGGCCCAGGAGCAATCCCCAAGCAGGACCTGTGGGTGCCAAGAGCCCCAAGCCTCACGTTTGACATTGTTGCCATTGGCCTACAAACCTTCATGGGCTTGATGATGCCCTCGTTGTGGGCGGGGTTTGTCTCAATGGTGAAAGCGTCCTGGTAGTCGCCCCGCAAGATGCTGTACTTGGTCATCCGGTTCTGGGGCTCATCTGGGTCCTCAACAAACAGAGAGCCCACAGAGGTGCCCACACGGGTGTCTTCAGGCACGACAAATGTGTACTTGGCTGATGCAAACAGAGCACCCCAAAGGGCTTTGGGTTAATGAGATAGACAAGGCGATTGCCTCTTTCAGCTATTCTAACATATTTTGATAAAAGAAATGGGCATAATAAAATAATCATAAATAATAATACCCCTGGGATTCTCAAGGTAAAGAGGGTCTTCCCTATCTGTATGTCCATCCATCCATCCCTCCATCCAATAAATAGCTATTGAGCACCTATTGTATGCCAGGCACTTTGCTAGGGGACCTATCAATGGACAAGAGAGACAAGTCCTGCCTTCAGGGAGCTTATGCCATGTACGAGGAAGCCACTTCAGGACAATTGGCCTGTCTCTAGGGTGGCTGAACAACTGAATGACAGTATCAGCACTGGGAGTTGCAAGTGGAGAGCCATCTGCCCCAGGCATGGGAAAAGCTCTCATTAGACATTCTCTGTGGGGTGGATCAGTGTGTAGGTGGGGTCAGGGCCCAGCCCTGGCTCTGGATATAGAACTTTGCTGTCCCCATGTTCACTGGCTTGTGGGAATTTCTAGCTGGGACCTGAGTCTCAGGGCTTTGATTTTCCCAAGCCCATGGGATCTGGGTGAAACTGCTTGTGTCTCATGGTGGGACACAGTACAGTGGTGGCACCCAGCAGGGAGTGGGATTTCCCTCTGGCCTATGAGGGGATTGTGGCAGGGGGCGGCAGGATGGCCTTGGGAATGTGGTATTGGGATGGAAGCAGGGCCCCTCCCTTCACCCAAAGGACTCCTTTGGGCATCAGGCCTACCCTGGGATAGAGGGAGAGGTAAAGTGATTTGTAACTCTTTTCCCAGAGCCCCAAGTCACTGAGTCTGGGGTATCCCAGCCCCCCTTCCCAGGGCCCTAGAGGAGGGGCTCACTCTGGGTGAAGAAGGGGAAGTTGTCATTGATGTCTTGCAGAGTGACCAGCACGGTGGCCGTGCCCGAGTCCCCCCGGAGGCCCTGGGCATCTCGCGCTTCCACCACGATCTCATACCTGGCCTGCTTCTCTCGGTCCAAGCTTTTCGTTATTGTGATAATACGTCCTGCAAAAAGATTCCCAGCAGGAACCATGTTACCAGCTTCTAGAAAATACCGATGCCTAGGGCCTGCCCAGAGAGAACCTGACTTAAGAGCTTCCCTGGTGATTCCACTGTGCAAATGGGGCTGAGAACTGTGAGTCTACAACCCACTACCTCCATAGCCTATACTGTGAGGCCAAAGCTGGCCCAATAGTTGGGTTCGGTATTGGTCCTCGCCACCTGAAATATTGTGTTGACAAAGACCATGAGGCCATATCTAGGCTCAGATGGAAAGAGTGCTGTGATAGATTAGTGATGTCTGCCTTGGTGCACTGTAGCATAGTAGTGGCATCTGTGCTATGTATTTGCCATCTCTCTGAAAGACAGTTCCACTGGACTTCTTTCTTGCTCCCAAGAGTCAGTCCTTATATTTTTTGTTAAGTCATCACATAAGCAATTACTATGGGCCTTGCTGCCTTTATACATGATCTAACTCAAACTTTACAGCTACCATACGATATAAATATAAGCATTCCTACCTCCTAGATGAGGGAACTAAGGCTTGCAGAAGTTAGTTGATTTGTCCAAGGTCTCTAGAGGGGGTGAGTGGCAGAGCTGGCTTTGGAAACCAGATCTGTCTGAACCTGCACCCAGAGCGGCTAGCCACCATCCTCTGCTGCCCCTTGGCCACTTCTTGGGTAACAAGATCCTGATTTTGTTCCCTGGACTTGAGTCCACCTCTTGGGCACCTGCCTGCTTCCTTCTCCCTTGACCAGCCGCCTTGTCTTTACATATGATACTGACTACTTCCATGGTACAGTGTGGTTCAGTAGCTAGTGACACCTGTCAGACTGGACTTCCCTTAGCACATGCACCTGGAGTATCCACCTCCCCTTGTCCCTCCAAATCAGTGACTGTCCAGGAGTGTTAGTCACACAGACCAGAATTATCGATGGCAAAATACTCTTTCCCCTTCAGGATTTGGTACATGACAGAGGCGTGGTCTCCCACAGTGGGGTCGTCTGCATCCACTGCTGTCACAGAGATGACTGAGGTCCCTGCAGAGAGAGAATCCTGGGGTTGCTGACTTGTGACTGCTAGGCCCCTTACCCCATTCCTGGAACAGAGCAGATGGGGCTCAGGCTGTGCTCTGTCCCCACCTCCCCCAGGTCCTGGGAATAAAAGGCTGTTTTGTTTTCTGAGGAGCCTGCATGGGGGCAAAGTGCTGGTGGCAGTGGGGGCCCAGCCAGGTCAACCTTGAAGGGGTCAAAGAGATCAGGTGGTTTGTGTGCTTCCTGGGGAAATGAGGGAGGGGGCGGAGGGTTGGGGTCAGGGAGAGAAATGGAGGACAGCAATGAGCTGCTTCTCCCTCTCCTGGAAAGGTGCCCCCAAAGGAGTGGTGTCATTTCTTGCATCCCCTTGAACTCCAGGATCTCACACTCAACCCGAAGGTCTGGTCCCAGGGCCCTGGCTGGAGACTCTGGACTGAAGAGGGAAGCTCTTTTCTGGCACCCTCTGGAGTCTGAGGTGTACTGAAGAGGTGGAGTAGTAACCTCCTGAGCCCAGAGCCCAGGCTGGTGACATACCTTGGGGCTAGTGCTCTGTCCCCCACACCACTCCTGCATGGCCCCTAGAGATGAATCCTTTTGCCTTAGTGGCAGGCCATGACAGTCGTCACATGTAAAGGCTACACTCTTGGTGTGCTAGTCCTGACAGTCAGAGGAAGTGAGTGAAGTTTGTTCCAAAGAGTAGTGAGATATGCCTCTGATGGCCAGGGGTGAGTTCATGATCAAAATCAGGGCACAGTCTATGACTAGGGTCAGGACTCAGTCCATGATCAGAATCAGGGCTCAGTCTATGACTAGGGGCAGGGCTCAGTCCATGATCAGGATCAGGGCTAAGTTTATGACTAGGGTCAGGGCTCAGTCCACGATCAGGATCAGGGCTTGGTCTGTGACCAGTGTCAGGGTTCAACCCATGATCAGGATCAGGGCTCAGTCCAGGATCAGGATCAGGGCCAAGTTTATGACTGTAGTCAGGGCTCAGTCCATGATTAGGATCAGGGCTTGGTCTATGACTAGGGTCAGAGCTCAGCCTGTGGCCAGATCAGAGCTTGTTAGGAACTAGAGTTTCTTTCAAATCATGTAAAGTGGCAACACAGGCATTACAATCACTACCCTGAACTCACTGGATTCCTACCCCAGGCAGTGAAGTGGCTGATGTGAGAGGTGCCCCCAGGCTGGGGATGAGGGAGGGAGGAGGACAGAGTGGGCATGCAACGTACCCACAGCCGACGACTCAGGCACGGACGCATTGAACAACCGATGCGTGAACACAGGCCAGTTGTCGTTCACGTCATGAACTTTGATGGTGAAGCTGGAAGGAGTCTCCAGGTTTTCGCCAGTGTCCTTGTCCACAATGACAGCAGTGAGGTGGTACTCTGAGATATTCTCCCGGTCCAGCCTCTCAATGGCGAACACGTCTCCTGTCTCTGCATCGACCCGGAAGACCTTGCCCACATATTCTCCTTTGAGCAGGTACTTGGCATTCTTGCGACTCACGCTTGACTTGATCTAGAAAAGAAGAGGTGACGTGAGCTGGGAATGGGCGGCAGTGGCTGTGTGTGAGTGTGTGAGTGAGAGTGTGTGTACACAGGTGTGCCTGTGCATGTGTGTATGTGGTGTGTGTGGTGCTGGCCAGGGTCCCTAAATATGATACTGAGATTTTTTATCAAGAACCTCTGGCAGCCATAAAAAAGAATAAAATCATGTCCTTTGCAGGAACATGGATAGAGCTGCAGGCCATAATCCTAAATGAACCTAAGTGAACTAACCCAGAAGCAACAAATCCAATACCACATATTCTCACTTATAAGTAGGAGCTAAACAATTGGTACATATGGCCATAAAAATGGAAATAATAGACACTGGAGACTCCAAAAGAGGGGAGGTTGGGATGAGGGCGAGGGTAGACAAATAACCTATTGGCCATAATGTTCACTATTTGGGTAATGGGTATGCTAGAAGCCCAATCCCCACGAATATGCAATATACATGTAACAAACATGGACATGTACCCCTGAAAATAAAATTTTTAAAAAGCCAAAAAAAAAAAAGAACCTCTGACTAGTCACCAATGAGTTGTTCTCATGGTGTGAGTTGCCTGGCAGAGCCCCAGCATGCCTAGAATGGTGCCTGAACAGAGTAGGTGCTTAGAAAACATTTTTTGAGTGGAAAAAATATACCTGGTGCCATTGGAAGGCAAAGGATATTTTTGCCCTGTAGAAGTCACTTAACCTCTCTAAGTTTTAGTTGCCTCATTTGTAAAATGGAAATATTGCTTCTGATGTTGCTTTGCTCTGAGGAGTAGAACAGCACTTTTGAAGATGAGTTCTGGGAAACACTGAACTCTTCTGCTGTTCCACGCAAAGATGGGGTCCTAGCCAGTGGTGTGCTGGCGCTGGATTGTATCAGCTTGGCTTTCAAGAACCAGCTTAAATTTTCAGGAATATTTGTGAGCTGATTGTTAAATACAGCCACTATTACAAATTAAATTATATGAACTTACAATTAAATAAATCATGAAAAACAACGAATTCTCAGAATTCATCGCTTCCTAATTGTTTTGCTACCTTTGACTGTGTTTTGAGGTTATCTGTGTTTATGGTATCTGTATGATGGAAATGCTACATAATGATGTGCTCATGAGGATCTTCTCCTGTCTTGTCTTGGCCTTCGATGACATCACATTGATAGCTTGAAATGAGACATGGTGAGAATATTTACACCATGGAAATTGGCAAGTGCTACGCATCAGAACTTTTCCCCTGGACAGCCAGTTGTCAAACATATATCAGCACACCCCTGGGCCCAGTACAGAAAATGGTGCATAAAATATTCTCTTCTTGGAGATTTACAATGTACAGCTCTGCAGAAAAGAACTCCAGTGAGCTTTGTGTAACTCAGGATTTTCCATACTTCTTAGACCACAGAACCATTTTTCTGTGTAACATGTACTGTTCATGTCCCAAGGAGTAAGATTTGGAAAATAATATATGTAAAGCATCTTACACCAAACAGGGTTCTATAAATGCTAGCTAATAATTATCAATAATAGAGCCACAGGTTAGAGGATCTCCATTTAAAGAATCATAGAAACAGAAAATATTAGGAACGGTATAGTTCCTATAGAATAGTATTCTATGCATATACAATGATACTCTCATAGAAGGTTAGTATGTCCCCAAAATAGAATTCTATTCAATTAAAAAATATAACTTGGTGCCTGGGAGGTGCCAGGCCCCCACTAGGAGTACAGAGGGTACAGATCCCATTGTGGCTCTCAGGATCTAGGTTTGCAGCCTCAGAGGCTGGCATGCTGAGGAAGTGCAACATTGCTTTTTTGTTTGTTTGTTTGTTTTTTGAGTTTAGCTCTGTTGCCCAGGCTGGAGTGCAGTGGCACGATCTTGGCTCACTGCAACCTCCGCCTCCTGGGTTCAAGCGATTATTCTGCCTCAGCCTCCTGAGTAGCTGGGATTATAGGCATGTGCCACCGTGCCTGGCTAATTTTTCTATTTTTAGTAGAGACAGGGTTTCACCATGTTGGCCAGGCTGGTCTCAAACTCCTGACCTCAAGTGATCTGCCTGCCTTGGCCTCCCAAAGTGCTGTGATTACAGGTGTGAGCCACCACGCCCAGCCTCTTTTTTTTTTTTTTTTTTTTGAGACAGGTACTCCGGAGTAGCTGGGACTACAAGTGTGCACCACCAAGCTCGGCTAATTTTTGTATTTTTTTGTAGAGATGAGGTCTCACTATGTTGTCCAGGCTGTTGTCAAACTCCTGGGCTCAAGCAATTCTCCTGCCTTGGCCTCTCAGAATGCTGGGATTACAGGCATGAGCTACTGAGTCTGCCTCACATTATTTAAAGTCAAATAGAGCAAGGGCTTTTGTGTGAAGGCATCTGGTGAGGACTCTTTAGAAAGGCTGGACTCGGGGGGCATGGTGGCTCATGCCTGTAATCCCAGCACTTTGGGAGTCCAAGGTGGGTGGATCACTTGAGGTCAGAAGTTTGAGACCAGCCTGGCCAACATGGTGAAACCCCATCTCTATTAAAAATACAAAAAAAAAAAATTAGCTGGGTGTGGTGGCACACCCAGCTGTAGTCTCAGCTACTTGGGAGGCTGAGGGAGGAGGATCATTTGAGCCTGGGAGGCAGAGGTTGCAGTGAGCCAAGATCACGCCACTGCACTCCAGCCTGGGTGACAGAGCGAGACTCAGACTCAAAAAAAAAAAAAAAAAAAAAAAAGGCTGGACTCCTCCAGAGAACTCAAGAGAGGCTGGGGTCTCAAGAAAGAAGAGGGAGATTCCAGAGGGTATGGCCACATCCCATGAGGTCTGGAAAGTGTCCCCAGGGTTTAGCAGCAGTGCAGTCATTGGAGCCCTCAGTGAGGGCACTGACAGGGGTTGATAGGGTGGGAAGTTAGATGATGCAGCCTAGGGAAGATTCTAGAAGGGGAGGAAGTGGAGACAGGGAGTGAGGATTGCCCCCTTGGTCGGGCAGGGTGGGAGAGAGGTGGGCAGCAACAAGCATCTTGGAGCAAGGCTGTGGCGTGCAGGGGGCAGGTGGGTTCATGAGGAGGTACTAAGGCCCAGTGGCCAGGATGCATGATGAACAGCTGGACTAGAGGCAAGAAGCCATGCCTCAGCTCTGTAACCTGTGACCTGCGAGGACAGTGGAGACTCAAAGAGAAGGGGACAGTTTGGGGCCCTGTGTGAGTTGCTCAAGGTGAGGATAAGATGGTGGCCTTCCAACTGGGCTCTCGGTGAGTGTGTTAGGACCCACCAGGGCAGGGAGGATGGAGGGAGGAAATCAGCTTGGATCTGTGTGATTGGAGTTCTGCATACAATTTCATGTGAATATCCAGTTTCTGTTTTCCTTCCCTTCAATTTTTCTTCCCTAGACTTTATTTTTTAGAACAGTTCCAGATTTACAGAAAAATTGAGAAACTAGGGCAGAGAGTTTCCAGATGCCTGCTCCTCTTTTTCCCGGAGTATGAACATCTTACATGAATGTGGTGCATTTGTTATAATTAATGGACCAATACGGATGCATTATTATTTACCAGAGGGCATAGTTTATGCAGAGTTCCTTAGTTTTTTTTTACCTAATGTCTTTTTTCTATTCCAGGATCCCACACTGGATACTACATTCCACAGAGGTGTCATGTTTCTTTAAGTGCCTCATGGCTGTGATAGTTTCTTAGACTTTCATTGGTTTCTGATGACCTCGACAGGTTTGAGGAGTATGAGTCACGTATTTTGCAGGATGCCCCTCTGTTGGAATTTGTCTGATGTTTCTCTCATGATTAGATGAGGGTTATGGGTTTCTGGGAGCCTCCACTCTCCCTACCCCTGTTTTCTAAGATCACTGTATTTAAACATAACATCTTAATGCCAAAAACCCATATTTGTGGGTTCAGAAGGCGGCTCAGGACTTGCTCCCATTGTCCAGCCAGGTCTGTAAACAAAGGCTCCAGGCTCTGACCTTGATAAACAGGGACTTCCTTCCCTCAGATTACATCCTCAGGAGCCGGAGGTGATCCTTGGAGCCCTGTCCTTGTCTTTTCCAGGCACCCTTGTTTCTTCCCAGCGTGACGACCCCTTGTGGTTCCTCGGAGACCCAGCCCCATGCCAGGGGCCAAGTGAATGCTGTTGGCAAATGACAGCAGGCCTGGCGTTCTTCCTGCTGCTAGAAACCCTTGGGCGAGCCCTTGAAAGGTAGCCCCCACTTTCTACGGACTTTCCCTGACTCACTCCATAGATTTTCCTTGAGGTCAGACATTCTTTTTAGAGGCTGATTCAAGGCACAATTATCCCACCGGGAAGGATGCAGGTGGATTGACGACATTTTCCTGTATGACACAGAGCTCGCATTTGTGTTGAGAGTCAGGAATGCTGGTTTTCCTAGGGCGGCATTCTCCTGGGGCTCTGTCCTGGTCTCCTAGTGTGACCCTGGGCAAGTGTCTTCCCCTATGAGTGGCCATGCTGGAGGACTTCAAGATCCCAGTTATTGTTGGGAGCCATGGGCACAGCCAGCTGGTTGTGGGTGGGGCTCCGAGTGGAGATTCCCCAGCTGGCCCCATTCCCATCCAATTTTGTCAGATGCTACACAGATCTTTCCTAATTTCCCAAATGGGAAAATTTCATGGCAGCCATGGTTGGCCCTGCCCTAAACCCTGAACCCTGGGGCCACACCGGCCTTCTCAGTCTGAGCATGGGATGGCCCTATAGCCAGTCCACGGACCAAGGTCTGCTGGGGCATTTCTGGTGCCATGGCCAGACTGGGCCTTCCCATCAAAAGTTCCTCTCCAGCCTGTTTCTCTACAGCCAGAGGGCACCCCCACACCATTTGTGGGGTTCTTTGTCTGACATATGCTGCCCCTCTAGACCAGGATGGGTAAACTGTTTCTGTAAAGGGCAGGGAGCAAATATTTGTAGCCTTATGGTCATTTGGTCTTTGTCACCACCACTCAACTTTGCCATTGTAGCATGAAAGCAGCTGCGGGCAATCTGTAGATGAATGAGTGTGGCTGTGTTCCAATAAAACTTTATTTGCAAGTCCAGGCAGTGGGCTGGATTGGGCCCGCAGGGGGTAGTTTGCTGATCCTTGCTCTAGACCACCCTCTCCATGAGGGTGGGGACCATGTCTGTCTTAGCCCACTGTTGTTACCTTTCTGGCACCCAGTCCGGTGCTTGGAATGGTCCTTCCTTTCTCTAGCACATTGACATGTTCTTTTTTGCACCTGTCATTTAGATTCCAAGAAGCTGACAAAGTGAGATTTTAACGCACTCAAAATAAACTTTCTTCCTCATTGAAAACTCTGAAAGCACACGGTCCATCTACCTGTCATTGTGTGTGAAATTCCACTACTAGGGCCATTCCTTTCAATTAGACTGGATAGCTTTGACATCAGTGACAGTTTGACATGGTAAGGCAATTCAGCAGTCACTCAGATATGCTCTGAGCTCTAGGAGGATGGGCTTAGGATAGACATGTTTTAAAGGAGGACAAAGTGAGGGTCAGAGTCTGAGGTCCTGCCCTGGAGGGCAGGCTTGGGTCAGGTACCTCATTACAGGTGTTGTGGAATATGGGGAGCTGTGTGGGGTCACAGGGAACCAGGGATAGCCTGAGAGAAGGGGTTTTTGAGGAGGTTCAAAGGCCTAGACTGGAGTTGGCAAAAATATGGCCTGGATGATTAACTTCATCTTCAGCACAATTTTGTGGAAGGCTGCACAGTTCTTTTCCGATCTTTCAAATGGGAAAATTTCACGGCAGGGTTGGCTGGTCTTGTCCTAAACCTTGAACCCCCAGGCCAGGTGAGCCTCATCAGCTTGGGCACTGGATGGCCCTTCTGTTAGTGATATCTAGTTTACAGACCAAGGTCTGGGAGAAATTGAACCATAGAGTTCACCACCACCTCCACCACCATCATCATCACCTCCATTATCACCACTATCAACACTTATCTTTCATCACTACCATCATCACTACCACCATCTCCATCAACACTTATCCTTCACCATTACCACCACCATCATCACCACCATCACAACCACTATCACAACCACCACCTTCCCCTTTACCATCACTACCACCACCACCACCACCTTGTCCTTCCCCAACCTCACCACCATCACCATC